>NC_000018.10:76044306-76345661 GCF_000001405.40 Homo sapiens
CATCATCCTTAGCAAACTAATGCAGAAACAGAAAGCCAAATACCGCATGTTTTCACTTACAAGCGGGAGCTAAATGATGAGAACACGTGGACACAAAGAGGGGAACAACAGACACTGGGACGTACTTGAGGGCGTAGGTTGGGAGAAGGGAGAGCATCAAAAAAAAAATAACTACTGGATACTAGGTACCTGGGTGATGAAATAATCTGTACAACAAACCCCCATGACACGGGTTTACCCATGTAAGGAAACTGCATGTGTACCCCTGAACCAAAATAAAGTTAAAAAAAAATTGTAATTTGCCTTTTGGTTCTTAAAACACACACACACACAGAGAGATAGAGATAGAGAGAGAGAGAGAGAGAGAAAGAGAAAAGAAAGGGCATTCTCCATTTTCTCCATTTTAATGTATCCATGCAATGTTGCTAAACGTTTAATAAACCCCATAGGCGTTAATCTGGCCATTTCCATGATGGCAACCAAGCATCATTAACCAAGGCCAAACAGCCAACTACCTAAAATGCAAAGGCATGGGAACTCAGGGCCCGGGATCACAGGATGAAGCAGAGGAGGGAAACAGCCACGTCACAGGCTTTGTGTTCTCATGACCAGGCAAGTAGAGACAGCTAAGGAATTATTCTTTTTGCTGAAGATATTAACTAGAAATAAAAAATTATCTGAAGGCTTAAGGTTATGGTCTTACAGAAGACTCTAGGCTCCTGAAAAATGTCACTGGTAATTGGCTGAGCACAAACGAGCACCTTTAGTGATAGGGACACAATGGGGATGAGGGATGATGTAGACAAAGAGCTCATGTCCTGTGGGGACTTGCCCTCATCTTCCCGTGCCACAGTGGGTGTGTTTGACTTATGGGAACTCATGTTTCCAGCCATGAAAATCAAGACAGTCGGATATTCTTCATCATAAGTGTTTCAAAGCACTGGTTAACAATTACAGAATTTAAAATAAGCTTCTCAAAACTATTTCCTTGGGGAAAATTCCCACCTAAAAACCACAATTACAAAAAAGAGAACATAATCTTCAAATGCAGTATTTTAAACAGCTTCCCAGCATGGATGATGCAAATATCAAAATGTGGAGGGCTGATCACACCCCATCCCCATGCACACGCCCCTCAAGAACCGTCTCGCAAGGAGTTGCTCACAGCTTTGGAGAAATGCAAAATGCTGGGATGTTTCAGATAGAGGAACACCCAAACCCAGGCTGAAGGATGCAGGAAGTCATCGCCATTTGTCAACTCCACCTGGAAAGCTTTGTCTCAGGTCACATACACACACACCTGCACAATCACAACCACACAGACACACACACAAGCCCAATTTTAGGAGCATTGCATTTGACTTGTAATTCATTTCTAAACTTTTGAAGAGCCTGGAATCAGCAGGAGATTGGACACCAGAAGTAATAAGCAAATTCATCTTTTAAGAAAAGTTTCTTGAAGCAGGAAAAACATTTTCAAACTCTCTTCCCCTTAGAGTCAAAAAGCTTCTGGTTGCTACTTGCTCTGTGCCTGCAAGGGCTGCTGGTGACCAGCTGAAACAAAGTTGAGGAGCCCCAAGGAGGTGTCCCAGGTCAAGCTGGAAGAAAGTGGATGAAGAGGAAGAAGCATCCAGGCCATCATGGAGGCTCTTCTAAGAGCAGAGGGGGCCTGGGAGCACAGGGGCTCCTGCTGAGCTCTTCTGCAGACTCATATTAGGGGACAGCTCCAACTTTGTCACTTGCCAGCCCTCAGATGGCCATGTGTCCCACCTGAAAATACCTCTCTGGCCCTATGCAATTCTCTGACCCTGCCAACCACATGGCTAGTTGTTCCTGGCCAGGTAAGAATACTTGTGTTGGTTCTGGAAAGTGGCAGGTGCCCTTGAACGTCATGGAAAGTTCAGAGGATTTCATTGCTGGAGTCTCTTTTCAATATTGTAAGAAGAATTCTTGCTCTGAGATGGCTGAAAAGGCCCTTGATGCTGGGAAAATTACAAGTAGTACTTTGATAAGAACGAGTCTAACATATCAAGTTAAAGAAAATTCTCATCAACCTAAAATTTTTGTGGCTCTGTGGAATTGAAAATTATCTGGTAAATAATCCTCATTTCACAATATTTCAATATCACCCTTCTTTCAACTCACTAGATATGTGAAAACTTTTCTCGTCTCTTATCTCAATACTAAGCCCCCACATTAAAATCCCTTTGCTTCACGCCAGAACATCTGCCATGTTTATGTTTCTCTTTGTCTTTATCAAATCTCCCTTCAGTTCCAGACCATCTTTTCCCGACATCCAATGTAATGATTCTTCTCTGAAATTTTACTGTGGACAACCTATCTTCTTGGAAGACAGCAAGATTCTCAATGAATGAGATGCTTAAGAATTATTCAGCAATTACACAAAAATGCACCACGTCTAGGCCCTGTCCTTAAAGATTTTGTTTCGGGGGAGTGTCTAGAAATTCACATGCTACCAAAGTAACATACATGGTGTTTTGGGGGAGTGTCTAGAAATTCACGTTACCAAAGTAACATATATGGTGTTGAGTTGGTAGTCACAGTCCATGTGTGGGGCTTGCTACCATAACAGCAGATGCCTATGGTAGCCTGATGACAGTTTTTCAATTCTTCTTGTCTTTCACACTCCAGTTTATTTACATTAAGTTATAAAGCTGTAGGTGTGGAGTAACCAATAGCCCTTACAGCATCTTTGGGAAAATTAGATTAAAACTCTCTAATTTCAAAGTGCAGTCCCCATCCTGGGAAGCAGGGTTATACTGGCAGAACTCCATACAGACCTCAGTCTCCACCAGGCTCTTGGCCACCAAACAATCTGAACAACAATTGTGGTGTCCCTAGCTAGGTTTATTGGGGTAGAGAGTAAAAATCCCCCTTAGCTGATGAATTTTGCAGTGTTTTGATCACCTGAATGGCTTAGTTTTTGAAATTTAGCCAAATGTTAGAAAACCTTGGCAACACAATTGTACTCATGGAAATAATATTCATCACTACAGCAAAAAAATGGGAAGAAAGAAGCATCAAGGATAATTTTTGAAAGCATCAAACTGAGAGAAGAAGTAAAGGCAGGAAAAAGAAAGTCTGACTTGCCAAGTTTGCTTAATCAATTCACAAATATTTTTAAGCACTGACTGGGTGTAAATGCTATCCTAGGCACTTGGGGAAAAACAAGGAAAAAATGTGGCACCTGCCGCCAATAGTGCATAATCGAATTAGGGAGCCAGGGTAATTAAGATAATGAAAACACCTTCATTTATGTTTCCATAGCAGTGTGCACATCCCCATTTTAGCTCTGATCACCTAGCTGTGCTGTTGTTTACTTATCTGTCTTTCTTCCTTCCCACTCTGTGAACACCTCAGAAGCGGGCCAAGAGCATTTCCATTTTAGAGTGCAATGGCCACTGCAATCCCGGGCTCATGGGGAAAGTTCAGGAGGGAATCAAAGAAGCTAATGCCAAGGCCACCTGCTTTAGACATTGCTTGAGAGGGTGGGGAGCAATAAGGACACCAGGACAGGAATGCGAACACCCACTCATAAGAGCACAGAGAGACCAGGCGTGGTGGCTCATGCCTGTAATCCCAACACTTTGGGAGGGCGAGGCGGGTGGATCACGAGGTCAGGAGTTCGAGACAAGTCTGGCCAACATAGTGACACCCCATCTCCACTAAAAATACAAAAAAAATTAGCCAGGTGTGGTGGCGGGTGCCTGTAATCCCAGCTACTCGGGAGGCTGAGGTAGGAGCATCACTTGAACCTGGGAGGCAGAGGTTGCAGTGAGCCGAGTTCGCACCATTGCACTCCAGCTCGGGCAACAGTGCAAGACTCTGTCTCAAAAAAAAAAAAAAAAAAACACAACAGCACAGAGGAACCAAGGGAGACCAGACGGCTCCCTTACAGAAACAGTTATAAAGGCGTGCAACCTGAAGTCAAAGTGGCAGGGCTCCACACTCCACCTGTTGACCTGGGGACTGGCCCTCACCTCTCTAAATGTCAGTGACCTCATCTGCTAAGTAGGCGATACACCTTCATCAGCACAGTCGTGTGTGGATTAAAGACACGTTGATTGAAGAGGTGTCTGAGGGCGTGGCTGGCACTCGACGCGGGGCCATAGAACTAGTAGAGGCTGATTTGTCGGTTGTCTGCTCCACAAGAACACAAGCTCCACGAGAAAAAGCAGCTTTTACCTTCTTGTTTCCTTTTGGGTTCCCTGTACCTAGAACAGAGCCTGCCGTGGAGCGAGGACTTTACAAAGGGGGATGAATGGAGGAGTGATTCGTGGTAGCCATTGTTGCTGTTGTTTTTATTACTGTCATGCCCTGTTGTTAAAACCCTGGCAGGCAGAGTCATGTGTGATGGATGCAAGGACTGAAAAGTTGGAAATTAACTTGTCCTTGAAAATCACGTGAAGGCCTAGAGATGAAAAAAATCACTGTAACCTCAAGAATGGTGACTGTCATTTAAAAAAAGATGAGCCAATCCAACAGGGAATGTTTTCTCTCCAGCCCCTTCTTTCCCCTGTTATGCATCCCCCCACCTTTTGACTTTTAACCTTATGCACGTTCAAAATAAAAGGTCCCACAATTTTATTTTAAACAATTATCATAGGTCCTACCTTAGGACCCAAGCTGGAGCCATTTCAGTTTTCCTATCATATCCTGTAAAATCACACCATTGAAAAAAGATTGATTGCTTACCGAACGGATCAAACTGATGACCACCAGGATGCACACGGATTAGAAGACAGCAGTGCAAAGGGCCAGAGGGGATCCCGGGCTGCCGCGCTCTCCTTTTTTTCTTCCACGTCCTGGAGGAGGTCACCAGTGCTAAGCAAGGTGCTCGGATTAAGATCCCTTCTCTTCCCATGCTCAGCGGGATTGCTCATCAGTGATGTTCACCAGGTCCAGTTCAGAACCTGCACTGTGTCATCAGGATGGGCCGCTCTTAAGAAACAGCCATAGCCTTTCTTTCCTGAGTGCACAAGCACAATCGTGGCTGGCATGGCGTGGAATGAGGACCCCAGGAATGGACATGTTTACTCCTCACCATCTAACGGTTTTAGGCTGAATGTACAGTAGTTGGCTCATTGAAGAAACAGTCAGTTCAACCCAAACTCCCAAATGGCTGATTTCCAGTGGTCCCTCTGAAATTTTGAGAGATTGTTTTTCTTGCATCCTAGGATGATCTGTAAGATGTTCATTAGCAGGGCATCTGTGATAAGCCATGACCTTGAATCCTTTCTAAAAGGCACTAAGTCCTTGCTCCAGTTGGCTCAGGGGCACTGTTCTGAGATGAGCAATTACCTGTGCACGAACACGGCTGTCTGCAAATGTTTAGAAAAGTTGGAGATGCCCCTAGTTAGACACAGTGTTAAACACAAACGTAAGGCAATGAGCCTTACATTTCATTAGTTGTGGTAATCTTAAAATATGTGTGTATTTACAATGAGATACCATCTCACACCAGTTAGAATGGCGATCATTAAAAAGTCAGGAAACAACAGGTGCTGGAGAGGATGTGGAGAACTAGGAATACTTTTACACTGTTGGTGGGACTATAAACTAGTTCAACCATTGTGGAAGTCAGTGTGGTGATTCCTCAGGGATCTAGAACTAGAAATACCATTTGACCCAGCCATCCCATTACTGGGTATATACCCAAAGGATTATAAATCATGGTGCTATAAAGACACACGCACATGTATGTTTATAGTGGCACTATTCACAATAGCAAAGACTTGAAACCAACCTAAATGTCCAACAACAATAGACTGGATTAAGAAAATGTGGCACATATACACCATGGAATACTATGCAGCCGTAAAAAATGATGAGTTCATGTCCTTTGTAGGGACATGGATGAATCTGGAAACCATCATTCTCAGCAAACTATCACAAGGACAAAAAACCAAACACCGCATGTTCTCACTCATAGGTGGGAGTTGAACAATGAGAACACACGGACACAGGAAGGGGAACATCACACACCAGGGACTGTTGTGGGGCGGGGGGAGTGGGGAAGGTTAGCATTAGGAGATATACCTAATGTTAATGAAGAGTTAATGGGTGCAGCACACCAACATGGCACATGTATACATATGTAACAAACCTGCACATTGTGCACATGTACCCTTAAAACTTAAAGTATAATAATAATATAATATAATATAATATAATAAAAAATACGTGTGCATTTAAATATGTTCCTCAATTTACTCATCAATTTTCAGTACTGTTTTTTTACAGGTGTGTAAAGGCAACTTAGCTTTTGAGAAAAATGAGACATTTTGCTGTTATTTTATTCTCTTTTAGAAAATGCCGCACAAAGGTGTGGGGAAAGTGTCAACAGAAAGATGGAATTCTTTTGTTTTTTAAACATATATAAAGTTTTCTCACAGAATACTTCTCTTCTGGTTTTAAAAGTATTGAAGACTCATTATAACATTTAATTAACAGTGAGAAATTCATCACATTAACGATGCTCAGTTAAAATCCAGGCCCCAGGAAGGCACTCAAAACGTATAGGTTAAGTTCTAGTCAACATTAACATCCGCCACTTTGCACTGTTGTGTAGCTCTCGATTAAACACACTTTGGGATCATAATGTACATGGAATGCAATCAATGGTGCAACCTTGGAGAAACCAAATCTGAAATATCTCCTCCTCTCTGGGCAGCCACCACCAACCCACTTACACACCTGGAGCTGTCCATCTGAGCTAAGGTTAAAATGAATACACACCCGTTCTGTCCCAGGGTTCACACGAACAGGAGAAATAACTTAGAGTAGAAATTTGAAACAGAGTCAGTTTGGTGGCTTCTTTTTCGCCTACAGAGAGTTTCAGAATCCTCTCAAACACTGTTGAAAGCAGGGGAAAGGCTGCTTTCTGTATTGCTGCAATTTCCAGAAAACATTAACTTTATAAAGCACAGATTCCAGCTTTTGGTATCTTTTGACAATCTCAATAGGGGTAAAGATCAAGGATTTCCCTACCAGCAATTTGCAGATGCTGCTCGAAGCTCTTTCTTTTGGAAGAGATGAGGAAAACAGAATAATAAAATTCTTTCCAAAAGGAAACAATAGTTAACTGTATTGAAGCTGCAGCTAATTTGGGTTTGTGAGCATTCCCGCACTATGTTTCTGGGTTTTCTTTCTGAGATAGTCTTCTCCCCTCCGCCATTTCATGCATGTATTTATATGTATCATTTTCTTTCTGTCTGTCTTTTAGGTTCTGTTTGTACTGAGGCTTCGAATATAGAGCCAAGTCTTGTTTATTTCCTGCTATGCAGTTATCCCAAGATTGCGAGCCTGTTTTGGAAAAAAAAAAAGGATTTTTTTTTAATTTGGAAAGCATCCTGTTCTGTAGTATTTCAAATTTAGAATTCCATTTAGCTGCAAAATGAAAACAAAGAGATAAAGCGCAGTCCTGTGTGTTCAAGTTCAGATGAATCTCAGCCACATTCCATAGATTATTTTGATTTAGTTTTAACAAAATACCACATTAAATCACTCTAATGAGCTGTGTCTGTTCCCCTCTCCGCACAAGGTCATTAGGTACAAGACAGCATCTTTCTGCACTGTCTTCACTATTTCATGTCAGAGATGTCAAAAAAGACTTTGATGGTTTTCTATCGCAGAGAATAGGACACAACTGTTCCTAAAGGGAAAGGGTATGTACCTTCGCAGGGAAGCGATTTGTCATGTTTCTCCAGGACTGGTTCCCGACACTCACGGCTGAGAAGTGCAGGCACACATCTCGTCCTGGGAGGAAAGTTCACCACCCCTTCCCTCCTGCTCACTCACAAATAAGCTCATCTCACACACTTCCTTCCAGCAGCCTCCTTCCACGTCTGTGCTTCCGGGGGATGAAAGGAAAAACCTGAAATTAGCATACATATTTAAAATACCTGTCATTAAATGAATTGTGCCTCTTTTTTTTTAGGGTACCAGCTGTCTTTTTAATTAATGAGAGTTGCAGGTACATGATGCTCACAAATATTGCACCACACACCCCGTACACCCATGGCAGGCCAGACGCTCACTTCCATTGTGCCGTGGGATGCAGACAAGGTGAGGGCAGCCAGGTATCAGAAGGTGAACAGCTCGGAGTTACACCTGATACACTAATTACAGAGCAACAGCTCCTGTTCCGGCTTCCAATGAGGGGTCTGAACAGCCTCGTCAGTGCTTTCCGAGGTTGTTAGCGTGACTAATTATCTCCTGGTGTAGTTTCCGTGAAGGCTGGTATTCAGAGGAACAGTAAGCAGGTGGATGCCCATTGAGGGCTAGGTAAACTGAAACAGGCTTCAAGGCAATGCATTGGTGGATACAGAGCCTGGGTTAAAGTTCAGCAAAGTTTCCCAAAATGGAAGATAAAGTCAAAGTCTAAGGACCCGAGCCACGAATTAACATGAGTGAAGCTGGCAATGATCTGCATTACTAAACAACTGTGTATTGCTGGTTGATTGTAACATTTTGCTGGTTGATAGGCATTTGCAAGTTCATATCAGATAATTCTTAGGTATATTTTTTATTTTGTGGCTACTGTCTCTTAGCCAAACTTCACTTCTGTACACTAGGGTGTTAGTGAATAGGATATCTGTGAAAAAGATGTCTGTGATCAAATCTTAAAGCACTTCTACCAAACTAAAAGATAAGATTATGCCAAATGAGGTCACGTGGAGAGATTTACTAACATACAAAAGTCTTGAGGAACTTCATGGAAACGGGCTTGCAGTCGAAGTTGTTTTAAACTCTTTTTCCACCTTTCTCTTGGGTCCCACCAAGACATTCTGAAATGAAGAAAATCAAGCCCAGCAGCCATATTTATTTTTTAAGAAAAGAAATTGGAATCTCTTCTCTCTGCACAGATTTCACAGCACTGTGCTTTGTTTGCCATCTGATCCTTGTGACAACCCTGGACCATGAGCAGCAAAGGTGCCACCACCCTCTGATGAGAAAGATGTGGGGATGTTGGGGGCTGGAGGTGGCTGAGGCAGACCCAAGTCATGGGCACTGGAGTAGCAGCCAGATTAATCACAGGGAGTGCGTAAAAGAATAAAGAATGAGAAGGGGCTCGTGCAGATGCGGGGGCAGGGGGTGGCACCCTGGAAGCCATGCAGGAGTGCTCTTTAAGAACCTGGAAATCAGTTTTCGCTTTGAGAATTAAGCTACACCACCAACACAGCATGATCAGAGCTAAACAAAACAAAACTCCATCAACGAGATGGACTGCCTTCACATCCAGCATGAATTAAAAGCAGGCTTGTCAAACACATCTCAGGGCGAGAAGGCCCTTTGGTATGACACGATGCAGGCCTAAAATGGAAGCACCAGAAAGAACAGTTATGTGGGGAAACTGCTGCAAAGCCCACCTAAGTACCGACCCTGGGAGCGAGTCCTCTGCCCCCAGCCCCAGCGCCTGCCCTGCCTAACAGGTATATCTTACTGCGGACCTGAGCCACGAATTAACATGAGTGAAGCTGGCAATGATCTGCGTTACTAAAAAACTGTGTATTGCTGGTTGATTGTAACATTTTGCTGGTTGATAGGGATGTGCAAATTCATATCAGATAATTCTTAGGTATATTTTTTATTTTGTGGCTAGTGTCTCTTAGCCAAATACCATTTGTGTACACTATTTGTGTACATGATGCTCACAAATATTGCACCACATACCCCGTACACCCATGGCAGGCCAGACGCTCACTTCCATTGTGCCTTGGGATGCAGACAAGGTGAGGGCAGCCAGGTATCAGAAGGTGAGCAGCTCGGAGTTGCACGTGATACGCTAATTACAGAGCAACAGCTCCTGTTCCGGCTTCCAATGAGGGGTCTGAACAGCCTTTGTGTACCATTCGTGTGGCTGGACGTTGGAATCATCAAACTCCGTGCTCCTGTTCTGACTGCCTGTTCCCCAAGCATCCTTCTGATTGTTTGACTTCCCAAGTAGCTTGCCTACAGGGAGAGAATGTGTTGGTCAGGATGAAGCCAACATCTGGTCCACTTGACACTTATATTACTCACTGTAAATTAATGAACTGGCACTCTGGTTTCCTGTGTCAGTCTCCTCTGAGATGTGCTAACACGAGTCAGTGTTCTTGAGCCAGACCAACTCTGAGACCCTGAAAAATCCAAGCCTGTAGATGGAGGGACTGCACCAAGCCAGGCCGGAAGTCCACTCTAAAGTTTCTGCAGACCCCAGTTAAAGTAAATGTCATTCCCAAAGATAAGCACAAAAATAATCATCCCTTCAATCACAAATTGACCTGAAAATTGTAAGGCAGTGTATGTAATCCAGAGATGCCAAGTCAGCAGGGGACTAAACCGGAGACCTGGTGGTAATAAATGGCTGATACCACAGATAAAAGTATGGGGCAGGCCTGGGTGAGCACTGAGACCTCAGAGGCCTTCTCCCACCCCCTGTCAAGGTGGGACAGGGACAGGAGCATCTCACTCATGAGAAATGACCTTGTAGGTGTACAGGAATTAGAATCAACGGAAAGGGAGCCTCTTAAAAGAATTTTTTAACTAGCTGCAGAGTTTCTTCCCAATCGACATTTTCTTATATGATCCTGATGACAATGTGACAATAACATACCAGGTGTCATAGAAGAACCACACTGACATTAGACTGTTTCACACAAATGAAGTCACTGTTGAAATAAGAAGAGAGAGTGTCAGAAATGAGAACGCAGAGCTGCACTATCCTCTGTTGGGGTCCCTTGCAGTCACTTGGTGTGTTACAATCCGCAGTCCCAAGTGTAGGCAGACACAGATACACATGTACGTACAGCCCCAAGTGTGGGCACATGTACATACAGCCCCAAGTATGTACACATGTGTGTACAGCCCCAAGTGTGAGCACATGAAGATACACGTGTGTGTACAGCCCCAAGTGTGAGCACATGAAGATACACGTGTATGTACAGCCCCAAGTGTGGGCACATGCGGATTCACGTGTACGTACTGTCCCAAGTCCTCCGGAAAGTGTGAGGTGGAGGACAGCAGAACCAACTGCTCTGGGTCGTCAAGAGCTTTCTGAGTCAGGTGGATTTGCAGCAGAGCTGCTTTGCTCTTGCAGTGCCAGATAAGCTCCCCGGGAACGCCATTGGTGTGCAACGAGACATTAATGGTGGCCCGGAGCCTTGGACCCTGACCGGTGAGAGCAACGCCTTTCCTTGGCACATCTTCCTGAATTAAAGCGTGAACCCCACAGGCATGGGAACAGAGGAAACAAGGCGGCCTTCCGTTCTTACAGCTCCATTTCCCATACTCACATCCATTATCTTCCGTGGATTGAGTCATTCCGATTCTGGCAAATCTCAGAAAAATTGCAAATGTGCTTGTCTCCGACTGCCGTGTGGATAGTTCACTATGCTGTGAGTTCATGGTGCTATTTAGTTTACCTCGATCAGGCGCCATGGTCCAAATTGCATACATTTTCGACATTAGGAGTAACTGGTGAATGATGACTGCCCTCCTGCTTCAGAGGAGTGTGGTCTGTTTGGGTGCTGGCCACATCCTTGTGTTGTTCAGACGGTTGTCTGTTTGGAAGAGCTGAAGTAAATCACATCCACAGATAATAGCGCAGTAGGGACAGTGCCTAGGGGAGGGAAAAAAAAAAGAATAATACCTGAGTCATTTCATGTGCTATTTTCAGGAAAGGATATTTGAAAATTTCAAAGACATTTGGTAATTTCAAAGACATTTGATAATTCTAAACAGCTCGTTAAATTACCCTGCTAACTGTAGAAGAGGAAGATCGTCCAAATCTCTGCTCATATTGCTGAGGGGGCCAGGCATTAGGAAGAACTCCTGCACAGATTTTTGGCGAACACCAGGGCCCTTTTTTTTCTAAAGACATTCCCTCTATTGCCCGCTGCTTGCTGCTTCATAACACTTGACAAATTCACAGTTCTTAAAAGCCCCCATAAATGTTTTGAAAATTGCTCCATTTTATCAGGGAGTTCTCTGAGCCTTGTCCCTGATACTCACCATGTTTTCATTCTCCATTCCTTGTTTATCTTTATTTTTATGCATTTTCCAACATATAAGGGCTGTCGTTATTAGTATCAGCATTCTCGTTATTACTATCATGACGTTAACCACGGAAAAGACTCAGCATCTGCGAGCTAGAAATTCCCGCAATTGTGAGATTCTCATCACTTCCCCAAAACTAATAAAAAAAAGTAAATAAAACCATCTAAAGAAAAAAGTAAGGCATCTTAAGCTGTTATGTGCTTCAGGAAAAATCCATGTGCATATCTTACTTCTTGCAAGTCAGCTTAAGCTGGCCAGGGGCCGGAGCATGGCTCGGTCACAGATATTGAGAAATCCTTCACCGAATTCCATTTGGACAGGAGGAGTAATTTCAGGGTATGTGGGTGGGAGAGACTTGGAGAAAGGGAGACGAGAGAGCATAGAGTCCCTGATGGAGTACGGGGGAGGGGACGAGGAGGAAGGATGGAGTGAGTTAGTAAAATTGCACTAGAGACCTAAAATTATAGATCTGTTCGGAATATTAATCCCCACAGCTGCTAGAAGGAGGCCAGCCGATTGAAACTTCTTTGGAAGACTTTCCTGGACAAGTTCTATTAAAAATGAGATAGTGTACTGTAAATACAGGATCACGTGCTCCAGCATTTTGTCAGCGCTCCAGCGCCTGATTCATTCCCAATAGCACAATCTACTGGATATTATACCGGGACTGTTAGGAACAGCCGGTGCATGTTTCCATCACTCAGAATGGCTACCTTTTTAAACACAAGCATGTAAATGAAATATTTTCCCCAGTCAAGCCAACCCCGGGCCTGGTACCAAGCAAACACGGGTGCACTGCGGTCTTCGTGCAAATCGGAGTTGACGCCTACGCTGGGTATCAATCTCTTCCGGTCCAGCACTGACACGAGAACTTTAATACCAATGAGGAGTCGGACCAGCCACCAGCATCGGCATTAAAAGAAAAAGAAATCCAATGGGAAACCGATTTTCCTTCAACAGCTGCTCGCCGGTGTTTAATTTCTACCCTGGAAGTCCACTTTTCAGAGATTATCTAATAATTGTGGCTGAGTATGGGCTAGGTAATAATATATCAATAATAGTTCCCCTTCTCCTCCAATCTTGCAGCCAGTAGTCGCGGAGATCACTAAGATATTTCACAACACTTTCGAGAGCGCCTAGACTTTTAGGGGGTTCATGGGCAGTGTCGGAAGATATTCTTCCCCAAATGACACAGAGCGGGCCCCTCGGCTTCCAGCCAATCCACTCATCTCGGCGCCACCCGGGGAAATCTTGGAGCTGTTCTCCGAATTCCTCATTCGTTTCCAGGATGGCCGTCTCTGACATTAGTGGCATTAGCATTAAATCACAGCCTGGATGCTAAATCACACCCTGATTTAGCACGAGGAACACGAGGAACAAAAACCCTCGTGGCTGGGATGGAATAGCTTCATGGGCTCCGAGGCAGCATGCACAGCAGCGCCCAGAGCAGCTGCAAGGATGGTAGGTAGTTAATAAACTAAACGTGTGATGCCGGCCTTGGTAAGAGGCATTTGGAGCCAGCCGGGTGCGTGCATAGAGGAGGGGGTATACAGATACTTAAAAGCTACTGACATGTACTCACAACCTAACCCATTTCCTCCTGCACCCCAGCTCTGTCTCTAGTTCACTGAACGGCATCTTATAGCTCCGACAGGTGCACACGTGATCCTGACATAAAATCAAGGGACGTTTTGTCTGATCAGCCTCCTATGTCCCCTCTTAATATAAGAGCAAAGGCACCCCCAAGAGCAGAGATTTAAGGAGAGATATTTCAACAAGGGAAAAGGGAAGCCTTCCCAGCTGAGGGTGACACTTGAGGCCCATCACCGAGCAGGGGGGCTCTGGAAGATGCTAGAAAGTAAACGTGATGAAGATAATAGAATGATATTCTTGAATGTGGGATGAGAGAGAACTAACTCACGCCTTCTCTATCATATGAATTGCCTTGTCCACATGCACACGCATACACACGAGTGCACATGTGTGGGATTGAGGGTGATGTTCTCGTGGGAACAAGGGAGGCCTTCCTCTTTAAGACTTTCTGTCTTGGTCGTTGTTCCTTCTCAAAAGCCCCGGTGACTCTCATCTCCTTGTTGTCAGAGGTGGCATCTGACATGGGACGCAGAGTGTGTGACTGCAAGGCACCTTGTGGTTGCGGACTCAGTTCATACCCTGTGAGTCCTTGGACGCTCCAGAGTTATTACCGGATTGTAAATCCAGGGTTTTCACATATATAAAGCTGAAACCAGAATGTGGTTTCAGAAAAATCACACTGATGCAACTGTTTGGAAACAGCCTCATTTCCTGAGGCGTCCTCTGAGGTGGCTTCCCCGAGCCTGCGGGCAGGGCGTGCAGCCCCCTCAGAGGACCTGCTGGCCTAGTAGCCGGGAGGAAACAGCGGCCGAGAGCACACCCAACTGTTTTCTAAACTCAGTTACCACCTGCAGGGTAGGGTGCAGGCCCCCAAAGGGATGTGTCCACGTCCCAACCCCCAGAACTTATAAATGTGCAAAGAAGGACCTTATTTAGAAAAAGTCTCTCTGCAGGTGTAATTAAGTTAAGGATCTTAAGATGTGGTCATCCTGGACTATCTGATCAGGACCTAAATCAATGATGAGTGTCCTTGAAAAGAAAGGTGGAGTAAGGTTTGGGACAGAGAAGAGAAAGCTATACAGAGACAGAGGGAGAGATGGGAGTGAGGTTGCCACAAGCCAAGGAACACTTGGAGCCACCAGAAGCGGGAGAGGCAAGGAAGGACACTCCCCTAGAGCCCCCATGAGAAGCAGGGTCCTGCAGAAACCTTGATATCAGACTTCTGTCCTTCAGAACTCTGAGAGGATGAATTTATGTTGTCATCAGCCACCGGGTTGTGGTAATGTTGCAGAAGCGTAGGAAACTAATACCCTACCACAGAAAGGGAGAAAGCTCACTTTATCCTAGGCAATAACTTTTATCCAGAAAAATTCTCCTTCAATAGATATAACTAAGATTTCACCTGTAAAAAACAAAACAACAACAACAACAAAATGTAGATTTATTTATGCCACCTTCTCATGAAACAAACAACCCTCAAATAGACACGTTAACATCTGTTTAGAATTTGCAACCAGAAAGCACAGGTCATACCAGGAACACACTGCCACTTACTGCTATGGTCTGAATTTTTGTGTAGCCCCCAAATTCATATGTTGAAATAGTCACTCCCAGTGATTAGAT
Source organism: Homo sapiens (assembly GCF_000001405.40). Lineage (NCBI taxonomy): Eukaryota > Metazoa > Chordata > Mammalia > Primates > Hominidae > Homo > Homo sapiens. Next base: position 76,059,583 of record NC_000018.10, read on the forward strand.
TATGGAGATGGACCCATCATGAACGGAATTCGTGCCTTTATGTAAGAAGTCCCAGAACCCTCATCGGTAACCCTTCCTTCCACCACGTGAGAAGATGGCCATATATGAACCAGGAAACAGCCCTCACCAAACACTGAAGCTGCTGGTGCCTTGATCTGGGACCTCCCAGCTTCCAGAACTGTGAGAAAGACATTTTTGCTGGTTATAAGGTTATAAGTCACCCAGTTTATGATAGTTTGTTATCACATCCCAATCAACACTAAGACACTCACTAATGTACACTTAACTTAGGTTTCCAAATGGAAATCTTAATTTCCCATTTTAAAATATCTATGTTTCTATTATTTTGCAGTTTTCTCTAAATACACAAAATGACCAGTGCTGTATATTTGCAATGATAAAAGTATTCAGATGCTAAGCCCAAACGAAAACTCTGGGTCAGAAGTGAATTTTTGCTGGCTCCTTAAAAGTAGAATGGCCATGAGGAAGGAGAAATGACCAGTTTTTGAAGCTTGGGTACACTGAGAAATCAAACAAAAATGATACGATTTTTATATACTCCCTCATGATACTGAGCGAGTGTTCAGTGGAAAGCGAAGGGAGTGCCCCGTGTTTTGCCTGTGTGTCTTTTCTAGCGTGGGTCCTGGAACCAACAATAGGAATGCTCCACAGAAGCAGAGGAGTTGAGTGGTCCAAGTACCAGATCTGGAGCTCTCAATCTGTAGCCGCAGGACCAACAGGCTGTTTAACTTCTCTCTGCCTTGATAGCCTCATATTTAAAATGGGGTGAATGAGAGCAACTAATTTAGAACATAACTGTGAAGATTAAATGAGACATTATATGCCAATCCCTTAAGACAGTGTCCCAAACAAAGTAGTGCTCAATGAAAGTTAGCTGTTACTCTGAACCTTCAATAGATGCAGGATCTGATGACACTTTGCAATGTTGGTTCAAAAGCCTTGGAAATTCTTGAGGAAAGTAAGATTCACACACTCCCCCGGGGCAGAGAGAACCTAAGTTCTAGGATTGCTAAATTTCACTCAACAATCTTCGGACAGCACCCTGATTTCCAATGTTTTGTTAGTATGGGATTGTGTTTGTTTCATATTTATGATATTTTACATTTTGTGAATTTCTCTTTGAATTTCATTCAAATATTTGTTACTGTTTCTTAATTAAAGTGAAATGTTTATAACATGAAATTAATCATTTCAAAGTGGACCATTCAGTGGCACTTAGTACCTTCACAGTGTACTGCAACTACCTCCTCTATCTAGTTCCAAAATATTTTTCATCACCCTAAAAGGAGGTCTCATACCCATGTATAAGTTAATTGCCAATCACCCTGCCTACAAATCCCTCAGAATCACTAATCTGTTTTCTGTCTCTGTGTCTCTACTTTTCTATTCTGAATATTTCACATACATGCAATCATACAATAGACGACATTTTATGTCTGGATTTTTCCACTTAGTATAAGATTGTTGAGGTTCATCCAAGTTTTAGCCTGTATGAGTATATCACTCCAAAATCCTTTTTAGGGCTGAATAAAGTTCCATTCTATGGATATACGGCAATTTCTTTATCCATCAACTCTTGATCAACATTTGGGCTGTTTCCACCTTTATGCCATTGTGAATGGTGCTGCTATGAATATGCATGTACATGAAGATGTTTGAGTCCCTATTTTCAATTCTTCACCATATATACCTAGGAGTGGAATTACTGGTTTGTATGGTAATTCTACGTTTAACTTGTTGAGGATGCCAAACTTATAATTCTGTTCATTTGTTGCAGATCTTCACAGTGGCTGTACCATTTTACATTCCCACCAGCAATGTATAAGGATTCCGGTTCTTCCACATTCTTTCCATTGCTTGTTATTTTCTCTTTTGTTTTTTTGGTTGGTGGATTGGTTGGTAGGTTGGTTGGTTAATTATAGCCATCCTATATGGGTGTGAAGTGCTATTTCACTGTGGCTTTCTTTGACTTGCATTTTCTTATTGACTAATGAATGATGTTGAGCATCTCTTCATGTGTCTGTTATCCACTTGCATATCTTCTTTGAAGAAATGTCTATTCAAGCTCTTTGCCTATTTTTAACTGGGCTGTCTTTTTGTGGTGGAGTTGTAAGAATTCTTTATGTATGCAACATACAAATCCCTTATCAGACATGTGATTTGCAAATATTCTATCCCATTACATAGGTTCCTTTTTATTTTTTTTTTTTTTGATTCATTGAAATTTTATTTTTTATGTTGTGCTTAATTTCCTGCTTCCCTGATAAACACAGCAGCTTTGGGTGGGGTCTCTTAGTCTTTTGCCCAAGTGGACATCATAGGCCCCCAACTCCTTCACTCACAGGAAAGTGAAGAATTGGGTGAAAGAGAAATTATGAGGAAAGTAGTTTCATAAGTTTAGAACAGCGACTTCATTATGGACCCTGGGATGTAAATTCTAGCTCCATGTCTCAGTAGCTGTGAGACCGTGGGCTAACTCTTGGGCCTGCTAATCCTATTTCCTCTTCTGAATGGTGGGGACAGTGACAGTGCGTGCCTCCTAGGGCTGCTGTGAGGTTCATGCAGATGATCACTTTAACTAAAATAATGAAAACAATATTAGCTATTCATAATATTTTTGGTGAAGAAATATTTTCAAAATAGGCACAAGTTAGCATATTTGCTTTTTTATTTCCATTTTTTATTATACTTCAAGTTCTGGGATACATGTGCAGAACGTGCAGGTTTGTTACATAGGTATACATGTGCCATGATGATTTGCTGCACCCATCAACCCATCATCTACAGTAGGTATTTATCCTAATGCTATCCCTCCCCTTTCCCCCAACCCCCAGTATGTGATGTTCCCCTCCATGTGCCCATATGTTCTCATTGTTCAACTCCCACTTATGAGTAAGAACATGTGGTGTTTGTTTTTCTGTTCCTGAGTTAGTTTGCTGGGAATGATGGTTTCCAGCTTCAACCATGTCCCTGCAAAGGACATGAACTCATTCTTTTTTATGGTTGCATAGTATTCCAAATGCCCATCAATGTTAGACTGGATAAAGAAAATGTGGCACATATTTTTTATGTAGCCTCTTCAGCAATAGGTCTAAAGCACAGTCTCTATGTCAGAATGGCTATTTCTTTAATTTCAACATATCAGCACTTACTTCTTTTTTTCTTTCCAAAGCTACTTCCTTTCCAGGAAAAAAACTCCTTCTCCAGGTTCCATTCCTTTTAGCACTACAGTGAGCATAGTGTGAACAGCGACAGCCATTCTTGAAGCCTCAGCTGTAGCCAGTTGGAATGGGGTAGCTAAACCACCACAGCCCCAATACCTAATGAGCTTTCTCTGTGCCTATTAGAGGGTTGGAAGGAAAATAGATCATCATAATCATAATCAATTAATCAAAAACTTTAATAAACTATGAAATAGTATTTCCTGAGTACCTCTTGTGTTTTTATAATCCTAAGAAGAAAAAAAAAAAAGAGGTACAGAACTCAGACCAGCAATAAAACAAGTAATCCACAGTAAAGTATCAAGTATCAAGTATAATAACCCTTTCAAAGATAGAAAAACTAAACTTTGCTGAACAGGAAATTAGAGAATTCCGTATAGTAAGGTGTCAATTGCAAGGCATCCACGAATAGTTAAAGGTGGAAGAAGAGAGAGCAGAGGCTGGTGTTCCGATGAAAAATGCAACACAGTGGCTGAACTTCAGCATCCGTGTGTTACCAGGCATTTGCGGGTGCAGCTCAGTGATAGTCAGCCGAGACCCTGACAACATAAGCGACAGAGGATCTACCTACTCAGTGGAGAGCTCACTCCTTTCTTTCTTTATTTCTTTCCAAAGCTGCTTGCTTTCCAGCAAAAACTCCTTCTCCAGGCTCCCCTCTTTTTAGCACTACAGTGAGAGTAATACAAACAGTGGCTGCATCTGGGTCAAACATGAGTACGGTGGATTCGAGGCTTTTCAAAAATGTCCACCAAAGTGCCCCAAATAGCAGAGGAATAAGATGCAGCCAAGCAGATAGCAGGGGCATATCCCAAAACAGTCCTACAGAAGACCAAAGTTTCCTGAACATTTTTGGCCCCTCTCAGAAGGTTGTCCAAGATCTGTGTTTGATTCCTTGATATGTTAAAAAAAATTGTTTTACATGAAAATGTATTAGATAATTTTAAGGGAAAAAAGGTGGGTAAAAATGCTGCTCTAGGAGACCTTTTCCCCTCTAGTTTCCCTTTTTTTTTTTTTTTTTTTTTTTGGAGATGGAGTCTTACTCTGTCACCTAGGCTGGAGTGCAGTGGTGTGATCCCAGCTCACTGCAACCTCCACCTCCTGGGTTCAAGCGATTCTTGTGCCTCAGCCTCCCAAGTAGCTGGGATTACAGGCACACACCACCATGCCCAGCTAATTTTGTATATTTACTAGAGATGAAGTTTCACCATGTTAGCAGGGGTTGATCTCGAACTCCCGACCTCAGATGATCTGCCTGCACTGGCCTCCCAAAGTGCTGGGATTACAGGCGTGAGCCACTGCGCCCAGCCAGTTTCCCATACTGCTTGGCACACTGATTTGCACACCAGTTTCAATAGCATGGGTTTCAAAAAAGTTAAATTCCAGAAAGAAAGTGAATACAGAAAGATCTTAGGAATTATGGGAGTGCAGAGGAGGCAGCATTCGCTGAGGCTGGGCCAGGGATGGGCCGGCCTGGAACGTGGGGAGAAGTGGGGAGCCCTTGGGAAGGGATGGCAGACACCATTGTTTCCCAGTGAGCAGGCATCCCTTCTTCCCTGCTGCAGAGCCTGGATCTTGTTTAGGCAGCAACATGGCCAGCGCTAGGGGTTTGGACTAAACTATTCAAGACTATCCCTTTCTCTCTGTCAGATGCTCTCTTTCCACACCTTGTCACCAGAGAGCCAGAGGAAGTGTGAAGCCCATTGGCCAGAAGGGGAGTTCGGCTGCAACTTCTGTAAAAGCTATTTCATCCCTCATTAAAGAGAAAAAAAAAAAGCAAAAAACCCCAGCAGACTGGCACCATGCATACACTTGTGCACGCTCACACACACACACACACACACACACACGCACACCTGCAGACAGCTCTCCCTCCCTCCCGTGCATTGCTGGCTCACTCCTCTGGGCCTTTGGAGACATTATTTTTTAAAGCCGTAGCTGATGCCTTGTTGCTGGAAGGGAAAGGCCAAAAGAACTGTAGAAAATGTGAAATCCAGTGCCTGGAAATCACTCAGCCATTTGGCTGAACTTGGAACCACCAGTCCCCAGCATTTGCGTGATCTTATAGGTCAATCTTCCTCCCAGATCATGGGAGAAGCCTCTGAACTTGCTCCTGTTCCCATCCTCATCCCTTCCCAGTCCTGCACTGCAGCAAGAGTAACCCTATTAGGGCCTAAGGAAGGTGAAGGCAGACTCCTTCTTTGCTCAGAACCTGCAAGGCCTCCCATTTTGCTCATTTGGAACACAAGCAAAGTCTTCCCGCGGGCAGCAGGCTTACCTGTCTGCCCTCCCCTCTCACCGCTTTGACTCTGCTTTCTCCCAGCCCTCACTCCACCCCCACCACACCCAGCTGCTCAGGCTTCCTGCAGCGCCTGGAATCTGCCAGGCGGTCTCCTCCCACAGGACACTTGTCCTGCCTTCCCCTTGGTCTAGGCTGAGATAAGCACATGACTAACTCCTCAATGTCCTCCAATCATCGCTGCTGTGATCATGCTGTTTTTAAAATGCAAACCACACTCACTCACCTCCCAGTAGCTTCATCCTCCTATCATCTTCCTCTACCCCTTCCACAGGCTTAGCACTTCTTCGTGAACATAATTTACTGATTTATACTATTATGGTTAATTATCTATCTCCTCCTCCTAGAATCAAAATCCCATACATTTTTATTTCTAGTCTGTTTGTTTTGTTGATGTAATCAAGGTTAAAGCACAGTGCCTGGCACAGGGTGGGTGCCCAGCAAATATGTGTTCAATAAAATATGTGTCAAATACTATTTCTGCAGTAGGACAGTGACTCTGACAAACCCTCCAAAAATGTGTGATGATTGAATGAAAATATAATTTAGCAAACAAAAACTTACATGCTACCACCTTTATAAAATGGATCTGATACATGGAACAAGATGATTTTCCAATACAGTCACAAATTCCATGCAGTGTAAAATAAGTACAGATTACTTATTTTAAATAAGTACATAAAATATAAAACTTAAAATGTACTTAAAATATAACATGTACTTAAAATGTAAAACTTGATCAGAATTATTGTGAAAAATATTGCTGCATGGACAATGCCAAGGACATGTTATAAAACTATTGTTCCTTATGACTCTATGAATATTGCTTCTAGGTCTCAATCTCCTTTCTATCCAAAAGAGAAAAAAAGATGATTTGTGTGAACAGCACTCCAGGTCACCTCCTCGAGGGCCCTCTCTTCATCCTCCTGACCTATGTGCGTATTAGCCCACAAACATGGGTAAACCCTTTCATTTACTTTATCTGCTTGCATTCCCATCTGCCTAGATTTTCTGGGAGAAAGTCCTAAACTAGGAGCACTGGCTGCACAAAATAATATATTTTCTAGTCCCAACTACTATCTTTGTAGTCACCCCAATGAAAAACACATATTCCTTTTATTCCATTCAACACTGAAGCTGCGTCATTGTCTCAGGTCAATACCCGAGGTTCATTGTCTCACGCCAAGGAAGTCGAGGACGTGGACACACAGGAAGTGAGTTTAAGAGCGGAGGTTTCATAGGCGAGAGAAAAAAGAAGACAAAAGCTCTCTCTCCTACAAAGAGACGGGGCTCCCAAGTGGGTCTTCAGGTTCCCTGGTGAAATGCAAGGGGTTTTATAGATGAGCTTGAGGAGCTGGTATCTGATTACATAGGGCATGAGAGATCGGTTGGACCAGGCGTACCATTTGCATAGCGTGCAAAGAAGCCGGCCGTCCCGCCCTCACCTTTTATTATGCAAACGGGTTCTCTACCTGGCTGGTGCCATGGTGCCTGCTTCTTTACTGCACACATGATTGACAAAGAAAAGGAAAATGAAGCCTCCATGTTGAACACGGCTGGCCCTCAGGTAGACGTTTCCTATTGGCACAGCTACCAGCATTCACCTGTTCAAGCTTCTAGCTTGCTTATCTCTGTCTGTAGCTCGATTTCACAGGCTGCTCTTTGTTAGAAAAGAAATGATTTGGGGGCTGCTTTTTGATAAAAGGGAGGCCTTACCGAAGACTCTGTTACCTTCACTATTTGCCTAAATAATTTTAGTCTAGCTCCTACATCAACACCATTTCCAACCTCCTCTCGCTCCTTCCACACTCACATCCTGGTCCCCAATTGCTGATTCCCTGCCTTCAATTTTGCTTTTTCAAGAAGATCCAGACCAGCCTTTGCACAGATGTTGTTCTGTGTGTCTTCACTCCACCTTTGGTACCACTTTTCCATTTCTTGTTTTTCAACTTTTCCATTGCTGTATAACCTTCATCTAGCAAATTATTATTAATTTTTCCTTTTTTGTTTTGAGACAGGGTCTCACTCTGTCATGCAGGCTAGAGTGCAGTGGTGGCATCATAGCTCACTGCAACCTTGAACTCCTGTGCTCAAGCAATCCTCCTGCCTCAGCTTCCCGAGTAGCTGAGAATACAGGCACATGCCTCCACACCCACCTACAGAGCAAATTATTAAAATCCAAATCTTCTATTTGCTTCCTAATTTATGTATTTTAAAGTTATTATTTTAGTTATTATTTAGTTAAAATAATAACTTATAAAGTTATTATTTTAGATCCTAGACATCTAAAGATTACAAAAGGCACTCCTGACTTACCACAATCCACTGTAAACCAATTAACTTACCACTACTGAAACATGACAAGCCCCTTAAAATTGTCCAGTGTCTTTTCTCTTCTTTTGCCCTTTGCACTATTTTGATATACTACTATATTCTACATAGTATATATATGCACGTGTGTGTATTATAAACTACATAAGATAGTATTTTTGTTGTTGTTTTAGAAAACCAATATATTTATCCTTTTCAGTAGAGTCCTTCCTTCCTGCAGTGTTATCCTATCTGGAGTCATTTTCTTTTTAAAAAAGTCTTTTTAAAAATATCTATTATTTATTTATTTATAACTGTCAAACACTAATTATGTATAATTTTGGAGTACAATGTGATGTTTTGATCTATATCTATATCTATGTATCTATATATACACATATATGTACACACATATATATGTGTATATGTACACATATATGTACACATATATATGTGTATATATACACATATATATGTGTGTGTGTGTATATATATATATATTTTTTTTTTTTTTTGAGACGGAGTCTTGCTGTCACCTAGGCTGGAGTGCAGTGTCGCGATCTCGGCTCACTGCAAGCTCCGCCTCCCAGGTTCACGCCATTCTCCTGCCTCAGCCTCCCGTGTAGCTGGGACTACAAGTGCCCACCACCACGCCCGGCTAATTTTTTTGTATTTTTAGTAGAGATGGGGTTTTGCAGTGTTGGCCAGGATGGTCTCGATTTCCTGACCTCGTGATCTGCCCACCTCGGCCTCCCAAAGTGCTGAGATTACAAGTGTGAGCCACCGCGCCCAGCCTGATCTGTGTATATATTATAGAAAGATTCAATTGAGCTAATTAACATACCTATAACCTCCACCAATTTATTATTCTCTTTTGTGCTGAGAAAATTAATAATCTATTCTTTCATGAATTTTGAATGACACAGTACATTATTATTAACTGCGGTCACCATGCACTGCAACAGATCACTAAAAACTTATTCCTTCAGTCTGACTGAGACTTTTCCCCCTGGATCAACAACTTCCTGTTCCCCACTCCCGCCCCTCCTCCAGCCTCTGGCAACCACAATTCTACTCTCTGTTTCTATAAGATCGACTTTTAAAATTCGACATATAAGTGAGGTCATACAGCATTTGTCTTTTTGTTTGTGGCTTATCTCATTTAGCGTATGTCCTTCAGTTCCATCCACAGTGCCACCAATGACTGAATTTCCCACTTTTTTAGGCCTGCATAGTATTCTGTTGTGTATATACACCATTTTCTTTATCCAGTCGTCCACTGACAGACCCTTAGGTTGCTTCCATATTTTATTTATTGTGAATAATGCTGAAATGAACATACAAATGCAGATATCTCTTCAACATAATGATTTTAATTTCTTTGGCTAAATACTCAGAATTGGGATTGCTGAATCTTATAGTAATTCTATTTTTAGTTTTCTGAGGGACCTTCATACAGTTTTCCAAAATGAGTACTAATTTTCATTCCAACCAACAGGGTACAAGATTTCCTTATCTCCACATGCTTCACCAACACTTATCATTCATCTTTTTAATAATAGCCATACTAACAGGTGTTTTGTAATATCTCATTATGGTTTTAATTTGCATTTCCCTAATGATTAGAGATGTCAAAGGTTTTTAATATATTTGTTGCCTTTCACATCTTTTCTTTAGAGAACTATCTGTTCAGACCCTTTGCCCATCTTTGAAATCAAATTATCTATTTTCTTGCTGAGTTTATTGAGTTCCTTACATATTTTGGATATTAACCCCTTACTAGATGTATGGTTTGCAAATATTTTCCATGGATTCTCTCTTCACTCTGTTGATTGCTTCCTTTGCTATGCAGAAACCTTTTTTGTTTGATATAATCCCACTTGTCTACTTTTGGTTTTGTTGCCTGAGTTTGTGTAGTCACATCTGAGAAATTATTGGCCAGACCAGTGTCATGGAGCTTTTTCTCAACATTCTTCTAGTAGCTTTATAGTTCCAGGTCTTATGTTTAAGTCTTTTTATTCATTTTTGAGTTGATTTTTTTATATAGTGTGAAATAGGGTCCAATTTTATTCTTCAGCATATGGATATCTAGTTTTCTCAAGACCATTTGTTAAAGAGACTATCCTTTCCCCATTGTGTGTTCTTGGCACCTCTGGAGAAAATCAATCAACCCTAAATAACTGGGTTTATTTCTAGGCTTTCAATCCTGTTCCATTGGTCAATGTGTCTGTTTTTATGCCAGTACTATCTTGTTTTTATTACAATAGCATTGTATGATATTTTGAAACCTAGAGGCTGGAAACTGAAGCTATTTTATTTAGCTTCAAGAACTACCTTTATTATTTCTTGAAATAACTCACGCTGGCATTGAATTATTTCAACTTTTGTTTAACTGAATTATTTATTTTGCTTTTATTTCTAAAGGATGATTTCTCTGACTATAAAATTTTATATGTAGTTTTTTCCCCCTTTCACACTTTAAACATGCCATTCTATTGTCTTCTGGCTTTCATAGTTTCTATAAAAAATCAGTTTTAAGTCTTATTATTGTTACCTTGTGTCTTCTAACTCTGGCTACTTTTAGTTTCTCTCTCTGTCTCCTCTCTCTTTCTCTCTCTCTCCCCCCCACTTTTTTTTGGAGGGTGGGTGGGCAGGGCAGTGGTTTAGTACACTGAGTTGGAAGTACCTAGGTGCCCAGGCATGATTTGCTTTATATTTATCAAAACTGAGGTTTTTGAGCTTCTTAAAATCAGTAAGCTGATGTTGTTTATCAGTTTTGAAAATTTCTCAGCCATGTTATTTTCACATTGTTTCTTTTCCAATATCTCCCATCGTGCCTTCTGGAACTCCAGTTACACATATGTTCGACCTTTTGACTTTATCCCATGTCTCTTCTAGGTTTTCCATTTTTTTAACTTTTTTTTCTCTTTGCCTTAAGTTTGGATTTTTGTTTGTTTGCTTTTCTTCTATCTCATTAACTCTGTATTCTATCAAGTTCAGTATTCTGTTACACTCATCCAATAACTCTCCATTTCAGATATTGTATTTTTCAGATCCAGAATATCTATTTGATTATGTTGTATATTCCTAGTGCATGGTACTTATTCCTAAGAAATGGTATTTATTTCTAGAGTGTAACCTTGTCCTGGGACATGGACTCTGAGCCCTCTACTGATAGACCAGATAACATATCGAGGCTCTTCCTCCAGGTCAGTGCTTGAACTCTAACTACTTTTCCCTCAGACCCTCCATGGTTGAAATCTTTGTTCATCTCTTTATCTTGCCAGCTCTTATTTCTTACTAAGTTTCTTGAAAGTTTCTTTGCAAATATGCAGCCTAGAAATTGGCCAGTAATTGAGAGAAATGTTCTACGAATGTATGAGTGATTTCTTTGTGATTTCCTTCACCACGGTACTTTTGCCCTCTTAGACCAACTGCTTTAGCAGGCTTGGATCTGACCTGTGTGTCCTCAGCTAGTACAATTGCCACTGTCTTCTTGGATTCTATTCCTCCTGTGTTTTTCTGAGGTGAGTATGGAAATAATTTTGTATATTTCCCTTCTCTGAGAGACGGTAGCCCCTGAAGTCTTATGCACAGCATTTCCCACCACTTCCATCAAACTGTTGCTTTACATAATTTGTCCAGCTTTTATGGTTGTTTTAGGAGAGAGGGGTGATTATTCTAATTCGAGCTTCTCCATTATGACTGGAACCAGAGATTCCATTTTCTTCTTTACGTAGAGAAAATAAAAATAAAAATAAAAATAAAAAATAAAAAACAAAAATCTCTTTATTTCCAAAGCTAAAATCTTCCCTTAGGTTTTAACCCTATTTCTTCCTCCTTCTAAAATTTTATTTTATCTTCAATTCTCTCTTCCGTCTCCACTGGTTCTTTCTTGTCTGTCTGAAATCAAACAAATCGTAATCTGAAAATAAACAAACAAGCAAACAAACAAAATTTTATTTCAGATCTTGCATCTGTTTCCTAGTTTATATTTTCTTTCATTAAACATCTTTAAAATAATTACACTACTTCTTCAGAGTCCTCTTCCTTGTCATTTACTGCCACTTCTTTCTCTGTCAATCTGGCTTTGCTTCCTATATGCTACAATAATTTTTCAGTTATAAGAAAAAACATTTTTTCACATTTTAGCATGTCTGAAATAGGAATTAGTCTTATGATCAATGGAATCATAAATTGGATGAAATATGATAAAATTAGATATTTCAATATTACCTTTCACCTTCTAATCCCCAAAGCCAATGGCTTTTCTTATATTATGTTCTTCATGATCTCTCTGAATCATATGGCATCTCTTCCTTCTCAAAATTTTCTTCCACTGCCTTTAATGATATCCACAGCCCTTTTGGTTTATTTCTGAAGCTTGTCTTTCTTCTGCCCCTAATACGTAAGTTTTTTCTTAAACCAATTATCTTATCTCTACTTTGTCAATCAGACTCAAATTTTACCTTTTAGTACTGAAGTTCTACCCATTACATTATCTATCATTTTCAAGTAATTGTTATATTAACTTCTCCTAGAAAATTCTAAAGTTGCATAAACAGGCATTAGAGCAATTCCGCTCTATGGCCCATAAGCCTGTTGTTCGGATTTTCCTATTTCTCACAATGGCATCAAAGCCTCCAGGACTCTAACATTTAATGCATGAGGGTCATTTCTTATCCTCCGAGGCTATGCTTCCTACCTGTAGTCAGGATCCTAGTCTCTACCCTAACACTTGAGATCATTCCTTTCTCTCTCTCCATTTCTTTTATGAACATCTCAACTCAAATTCATATTATAATTGTCCTGAAAAATTGCAAAGCCTTGGTACTGGCTGCAGTAGAGTGTATTAACTATGATCCCATGAAGTATACTTCCCTGCATCTGTCCAAGGCCCTTTGCCATGTAAAGCTGTCACTGTTCTCATCAAGATGCAGTTGATAGCTTTACACTCTTGAATCTAGGCTGCCTCTGTACATTGGTCTGATTAATGCAATGGGTAAGAGTGACATTTTCAGAGCTAAGTTCAGAGCAACTTCCACTCTGGTCACTTAAAACACTTCCTTGTGACTGTCTTGCAAAGATGGTTTGGCTACTGGGAAATAAGATATCACACCATGTGGAAGAGAACTGAGGCACCCTAGCCAACAGCTGGAACCAACTTCCAAACCTGGATGAGATCTTATAGCTTTATACTCCAAGTCAGGTCATGAGAAGACTGCAGTCATACGAATGATCCCAGCTGAGCCCAACAGAAGAACCACCCAGGTTGCTGACCTATGGCATTTTGAATAATTACAGATTTTTTTAAAATAGACTAATGTCTGAGGTGGTAACTGATATTGGCATCAAGTAACACATAATACCCCTGGCTTCCAGTGTCTCAAAGCTATCCTAATATTGCTGTCTGTTACAGACCAAATGTTTGTGTCTTCCGAGATTCACATGTTGAAGCCGTAACTTCCAATGGAATGCTATTTGGAGATAGGACCCTTGAGGTTTAGATGAGGTCACAAGTGCAGTGCCCTCAGGATGGAATTTAGTGCCCTTAAAAGAAGAGGAAGACATAGAAAAATCTTCCCTTCTCTTCACATGTACCCCCAGGAAAAGCCATGTGAGGACATAGCAAGAAGACAGCCATCTGTAGCCAAGAAGTGGGTCTTACCAGAACCCAACCATGCTGACACTCTGATTTGAGACTTCTGTACTCCAAAACTGTGAGAGAATAGATTTCTGTTTTGAAGCCACTCAATCTATGGTATTTTGTTATGGCAACCTGAACTGATGTAGACGCTGCCCAATTAATCTTCCTGAAGTCCATCCCTCCATGATGCAATGGTTCTCTATGTCCTACCATTAAAACTCAATATCCACTTTTTTACTTCACCCACCAGTCACTTCTTATGCCATTATGAGAGTTCCCCTTTCTATAAGTATTAAGGACATGACTATCTCCTTTGACTAAGATCCCGTCAGAGACATTGGCCTCATTTTGCAGTGATTCTGTAGCTACGTACACTTGCTGCTGGTGCCTCGCTGAGCACCCTGGAGGGGGACAAAGCACTGTGCTCCCTGACCAGCAATGTGGAGACACATCTCTGGGGCTTCAGCATCTGAAAGTTTATCTCATCGGACTTGCCAGGCTAGTACCAATCGGTTGGTTTTATGGATGAGTCACAACTAAATGCGTTAAGTAAGCTGGTCCTTTCAAGCAGCATGGTATAAGACTAAAGGGTGTGGAATGTGGAACCCTACAGATGTGAGCTCTGCCACTATCCAAACATGTGACCTTTGAGAAGTCACTTTATCTCTCTGAAAAAAAGTCAACCCATCTGTAAGTTGGAAGCAAGTTTGAGAAATATATACTGGTGCTTATCCCAGAATCTCACCCATCTTAAGTGCTCACCAAATTGTGGTTATTGGCAAGTCCCTGTTATCTATGGACATTGTATTAGTTTCTTGTGGTCGTTGTAAACAATTTCCACCAACTTGGGGGCTTAATCAACAGAATTTTTTTGTCTTTCCATCTGGAGGCTACAAGTCTGAAATTGGCATCATTGGGCCAAAATCAAGGTGTTTATGGGCCACGCTCCCTCCGGAGGCTCAAGGGAAACATTTGTTCCTGGCTTCTCCCAGTTTCTGGTGGCTGCCAGCCTTCCTTGACTCATGGCCACATCACTTCAAGCTCTTCTGTGATCACATTGTCTCCTCCTCTTCAGCCTTTCAAATCTCCCTCTGCCTCCCTCTTCTTAGGCCTTTTGTGATATATCTGGGATAATCGAAGAAAATGTCCTCATCTCAAGATCCCTAATTTAATTCCATCTATAAAGATCCTTTTTTAAAACAATATTGCATTTACAGATTCCAGAGATTAACATATATATATCTTTCAGCCTTCCACAAATGCAGAGCAAACTACCACATTAGCAACTTAGAATAACACACATTTATTTTCTCACAATTTCCATGGGTCAGGACGTTGGGCACAGCTAAACTGGGCTCTTAGCTAAGGGTCTCACAAGGTGACAATCAAGGTATCAGCCAGATACCTTGGGGAGCTCAAAGTCCTCTTCCAAGCTCACACAGTTGTTGGCAGAACCCAGTTCCTTGCGGTTGTACGTCTAAGACTTCTGTTTCGCTGCTGGCTGTCAGCCAGGGCCACTCTCTCTTCCTTGCCATGCGACCCTTTCCCAGAATGCAGAGCCCTCTCACACAGCAAAGTTTACATTTTTAGGGCAGGCAGAAGAATCTCTGTCTCCAGCCTGCCAAGACAGAGCCTATATAATGTAAGCTCGTCAAGGGAATGACATCCCCCTCAGCTTTGCCATATTGTCTTGGCAAGTCACAGCTTCCAGCACACTCAAGAGATGGGACTTATACAGGGTATTCCACATGGGCGATTACCCTAGTGTGTGTCCACTGCATGTAGGAATAAAATAAATAGTAATAATGACAGCAGAAGTGGTACTTCAAATGAGAAGTGTTATGGTTTGAATGTGTCCCCCTCCAAAAGCATTTGGGGACAATGCTTTCTGGGGGACACATGTAAACCGCAGCACTTTTTGGCAAGTTAATCCCCAATGCAACAGTGTTGGGAGCTGGCACCTAATAGGAGGTGTCTAGGTCATGAGGGTTCCATCCTCATAAATGAGTTAATGCCAATTATAAAAGGGCTTGGGGGCGCTGCAAGTTCAAACTCTTGCCCTTCCATCTTCCACCGTGGGATGGCCTGGCCAAGAAGGCCCTCTCTAGATGTGGGCCCCTTGGTCTTGGACTTCCCAGACTCCACAACCATGAGCCAAATAAATTTCTGTTGTTTTGTAAGTACCCAGTCTGTGGTATTCTGTTATAGCAGCACAAGAGGTATTTCCAGTGAGTATGAAGAATGCATAAATCATGGGAATAAACTTTGGCATAAAATAAAATAGATTATTTAATTATTTCAAACTCTAAACCAAATCACTACTGCTCCAAATTATGGTTTACAACTATGATGGCATTCATAGTCTGACCCAGTTATCTCACCCTGAGAAATTTGTACTAAACTAGTAATTCAAAAGAGCTCCCTTCCTCCAGATGAAAAGCTTTAAACTGGAAACAGGAGCCCACTTAGCAGGTCCCATAGCTCCAGCAAGGACTGACTCTGCTGCTTTGTCTGAGCAAAATTAACCAGCAGCATGGCTCAGAGGTTCCTGGGAACCTGTGGCAACATCGGGTAGCAGGTGGGGCTTAGGTCAGCTCTGAAAGATGTGACAGGTGTGTGGAGAGGACAGGAAGTTGCCCAGGTCAGAAAATCTAGCATGTGTTAGGCATGTTCACAAATAAGCCCATCTATCAGCTGGCTACAGTGAAGGATACACAGAATTGAGAATTAGCAAGGTCCTCTAACCCAGGTATCCCAGACTCCTGTGCCCTCCAACAGCTATAGTTCCCTTTATTTTATAAATAACAGTAACTTCAGCTACTATACCCAGCTCTGCAGTAAGCTCAGCCTTTCAGATTTCCCTCATCCAGCGTCTCTGGGAATCCACAGCAGGGTCTCCAGGTTCCATGAGTCATGCTCGCTGGCTGTGCCAGCCATTCCTCTGGACTGCTGAGATTCTTCTGCAGGTGACCTCAGGACTTCAGAAAAAATGGTGCAGCTTCTAGGCTACCAACCAGCAGAAATGTGACTCCACGCAGGACGGAAGCAGCATAATGGGCTATTATATCAAGCAATGTAATTGCTCAGTTTTTCAAACTTCTTTATTTGAAAAGCAGAAGCTTTATGTAACCATAAGTCTCACTAAAATATTTTTACCAAAACAAAAATGTAGAAATAGAAACACTATCAGCAGCATTTAATTAGCCAGTTTTTCTTAGTATTAGACGTTAGGACTTAAACATTATTGGAGTGCAATAATGCAAAGTGTCAATTCAGTCATCTTAGGCTGAAGTAAATCAGGGTGACATGAGATCCTTGAATTCCAAACAAGCAGCTTGGAATATTATCTCATAAGCAAGGAAAAGTGTTTGAAATCTTCTACTAGGAGGCTGATATGATGAAAGCTTGAACGAGGATTCCCATGGCAGCCGCACACAGAATATACTGGAAATCTGAACCAAGCACTGCTTCTAATTGAGGGCAGTGGCAATGGATTTGATGCTAGAGACATTGATAAGGAAGAATTTTTATGGAATGAAGTTATGTAGCTGTTGGGAGAAAGGGAGAGGGAAATTTAAACAAAGTCAAGGTTTTGAACATGGACAATGGGGTGAAGACGGACGCAGCCAATACAAATGGGGAAGGCACAAGGGCAGCCCTGAGAAAGCAGAAGTGAGGAGGCCCCCTTTGCATGGCTTAATTTCAGTGACTCCGGTGAGTCTTCATGAACGTTGCCAATGAGTAGTTGTAGGGAGATTATCAACACCTCTGCTTCAATATCATCAAGGATACAGTGACATACTCCCAACTCTGCTTATGACAGGCACTCAACACAGGGTTTGGGGATGAAAGATTGAAAGCATCAATGAATTACTTTAGCTGGAAAGACATGAAGGTAAAGAAAAACATTTAATAATTACATGTGACCACTTTCAATGTTCACTTATCTACAAATAGCCTCGTGTCCACTCTGTCTGTATACAATCCAAAATAACTCAAGAGTTATAATCATTAACATTAAAGGTAGACAAACTGAGAAGAATGGACCTCCTGCCTTCAGTATCCAGTGAGAAATATGTTAAAAGGCACAAATAAACAACAATTTCTGGAAAAAAAGAAAGAAGTCCAAGTAAAACTGCTTAAAATAGGAAAGATAAATTCAGACAACACCCAAAAGATTGATTCTCACCTGGAGTTTCTATGATAGTCAGAAGGCTTAAATATCTGTTTTGTCACTATCTCTTTGGATTCCACCCCACTGGATAGGGGTGTTTTGAAATACTGCATGAGCTGAAATGTCTTTGAATAAGAATTAATCCAGACTTGAATTAATAGGTGGATAAGTAAGTAGGTGAAGATTGAAAATAGTGTTGATTTGTAGGCAGAAATTCAAGATGTTAACATGTAGTAAATTCCCTCTTTGTTATTTGAAATAGACCCTCCGGTCACACAGTGGGCTAAAGAGACCCTCTCACAACATGCCTGTTTTCTGGCCTGTCCTTGTTTTCAGACACCGTAGGGTCGATGGAGTTGAGGACAGTGTCTGTCGCCTGTCTCTCCCATGAATAAATGCAGCGCACATGTGGTGGGCAGGCCTCCACTTTTATGTACATGTTTACCTCCATAAAACAGTCATTGTGGAGCTGTTTGAGTGTGTGGGGGAGTTCTCAACATCTTTCCAACTCTGTCTTCACGGAAAAGTGATAATTCACCAATAAAAACATGAATGCCAGGAAAAGAGGGGAGGAAATAATAGTGTCATCAGTAGCTGTGAGCTAACAACAGTGTAACAGGAGGAAGAGTGGCTTTTTAAACCAGAAAGGTAGGTCCAGCACCCTCCTAAATAACGCTGTGATATGGCACAAGTCATTCACCCTCTCTGAGCCAAAGATGCTTTCATCCTCCAAAGCAAAATTCTTACAGCTGCCCACTCTATTTCCTAGGGCTGTGGTGAGGAATAAATGATTAATGCAGATGTAGTCTGTGGGGATAGTGACCAGGAAGAATAAAAATATATAAAAATACTTCAAAACATCAAGAAGATTAGACTAGACAATAAGAAAAATTTGTTTTCTTCCAAAATACCTAGTTACTCATCCCAGGATTGGGAAATTCAGTGGCGTAATGACATCCTTAAGATGGATCCTTTGCACCTCACATGAGTCCGTCCTCATTCCAGCTGCTGTCTCCACTCAGGGCCAGAGGACAGCAGGTGCCCTGAGCATCATAGCATTGCCCACTGCTTGCTCAGGCGCAGAAGACATGGTCTCTCCTTCTTGCATCTCTGTGATTTTCTTTTAAAAGTCACTGTACCAAACTATAAATTACGCAAAATATCATCTCCATTTTATGTATGCAATTGAGTGCATTTTGACAAATGCAATTACACTATTGTAATCACCTACACAAGATGTAGGGTGTCTCCATCACCCCAAACGTTTCCCGTGCACTCCCCTCCGGTCCATCCTTTTCCCACCCTGCCCCTAGAAAGCCAGAATCTGTGAATGTCAGCATGGAAGAGTTTGCCTGGTCCAGGACTTCCTAGGGCCCAGCCTTTCACTCAGCAGCCTGTGTTGGAGGTTGACCCGTGCTGCTGTGCCCTCTGCAGCTCTCTCCTGGGGACCGCTCCGTAGCACTCTGTCCTTCGGTGGGGACACTGTCACTTGTTTATGCACCCACCTGATGATGGACATTTGGGTTGTTTCCAGTTTGGAGTGAATATAAGGAAAGCATCTATGAACACTCATGTGCAAGTGTGCACAAGGCTTTGTGTGGATACACATGCTCATTTCTCTTGAGTAAATTCTTATGAATGGAATGGCAGGATTCTTTGCTGAGTTCATATTTAACTTCACGAGAAACGGCCCCGCAAATGGCCAGAGTGGAAAACAGTTTCACTCACCCGCAAGCAAGGTGGGGGAGTAACAGCTGCTCCACACACTCGCCAGCACTTGTCATTCTCCATCTTTTCAATTTTACTTGCATTTTTTCTTCATTAATGCTAAAGGTGAAATGCCAAAATGATTGTCCCAGAAGCCCAGGCTGAAGGCTTGCCCTCCTGTCTCAAGAGACAGAAGTACGTCTTTCCATTTCACGCGACAAAGGAGGTGGAATTATCATGATTGTTTCCAATCAATTAAAATGCATGTCCTAAGCCCAAGAATGAATTTTAGATTCAGTGTGGAGACCTGAACCTAAACAGCCTCTACTAGGCATAAGGGGAACCAGCTCCTGGACAAAGTTAAGTGTCTTTCACTAGTTTAAAAAAAAAAAAAAAAGAAGGCCCTTGTATGTAAAAAAGTATTATGTATGTAAAATATAACTATATATTCAGAAATGTATGGATTAAAATGGATATATTTAGAAATGCATATATTTATATATTTAGAAAATGCATATAGATCAAAGGCCATGTGAACCACAGATTGACTTATTTTTTCAATATAAGCAATTATGTATTCATTCGTTTTTCATTCAGTGAATACATCATTATTAAACAACGATGTTATGAAAAGTATGAGATGCTAACAGGAAGAGAAATGTGGCCTACTGTGCACCACCTAGAAGAGTTCGCACAACCCTGTATGGCTAAGTTTCACTCACCTTCATCATAAATATATAAATGGATGCCAATCTATTTCTTAAATTATGTAATCAAAATGCAGTTTCTAACGTATTTGGATTGAGGTATTTGATAATATTATCTTGAAGCACAGTCCAATCATCTCTGCCATAAACTGATGAAAATAGTGTTTAATTACTTATTTCTTTTTTTTTTTTTTTTTTTTTGAGACAGAGTCTCGCTCTGTCCCCCAGACTGGAGTGCGGTGGCGCGATCTCGGCTCACTGCAAGCTCTGCCTCCCGGGTTCACGCCATTCTCCTGCCTCAGCCTCCGGAGTAGCTGGGACTACAGGCACCCGCCACCTCACCCGGCTAATTTTTTGTATTTTTAGTAGAGACGGGGTTTCACCGTATTAGCCAGGATGGTCTCGATCTCCTGACCTCGTGATTCGCCCGCCTCGGCCTCCCAAAGAGCTGGGATTACAGGCGTGAGCCACCGCGCCCGGCCACCTATTTCTTATATACTAAAAGCTACAGAGAAAGAAAATGGAAGAATGTCTTAGAGAATCATACACAGAGAAACCAACACTATTCTAAAGGTGCTGTGTTTGAAGAGCAATTACACTGTATTTTGAAAAAGAAAAAAGTAAAATCAATTACATCAATGATCTCAGGAATTCCATCACTAGCGGATCCCAGTTTCTGCAACCAGAGGTGCCCGTGTTCCGCAGGCCGTGTGCACAGTGTGGCGGAGACATGGGCAGGGGCTGGTGCTCTCACCTCCCACACTGAGGCTGGTGCCTGTTGGCAAGCAGGGTCTGTCCGTTTCATCTGGTCACTTTGGATGTCCGTGAGTTGTGATGATATATACATAACCAGGTGCTGTTCTTAACTAGGTATCATTCTGCACCTATTTCTCCAATAAATCTCAATGGCATCTTAAAGCAAAGCAGACACAGCCGCAGTCATGCTGACAGAGGACCTGGCTATTAAGCTGTCTGCAGACTCCAGAATCAGTGAAATGTTTGACAGCGCAGGGACAAATACGTATTAGCAACATTGCTTAATCCATGTTTCAAGGGCAGAATTTGAAACCATGCTTCTGCACGGAGCAGGCTACAATGGCTGGAAGGATACTGTCATAAAGAAATGCCAGAGGCCACGCCGCGATGCACCTCCCCAGCCCCTGGGCTCACCAGCCTCCCTTGGACAGAGCATGTCTCATAAGACAGAAGGTGTGGAGCTCTGACATGAACACAATAAAAAATTTAAAAACTTAATAAAACATTTTTTCAAAGGAGTGATCAGACTGACCCCATGGTCCTGGAGCCCCATGTTCTTCATTCCTGGAGAAGCAACATGAGTTGGGAAAACTCAATCTGTCCAAACGATGGAAAGGTCTGTTTGTGACCAAAGGTCCGAGGCAGCCAGAAGGAAGGATCCTCACCCAGGCAGATAAGTAATCTGTGCATACACACACTTGCCTCTGTCCACACACACTGTGACCCTCTTGCATGAAAGTATAAATAAATAAGGAACTCCAAATTTAGCCACTGTCCAGGCTAAACTCAAACACCACAATAAGACTTGGCAAAGTTATAAAACCATATAGGCTAGACCTTTTTATGATGGACAGGTAACACCATACAATATCTTTCTTTAAATGACTTATTTGTCCTCTTTAAGCCAGTGTTTGGGAGCACTGGCTTCTGTGAAGTTTATTGGGCGTGGACTCCAGCAGAGTGGACTCACTTCCCAGCATATCCAAAAGGGCTGGCGGTGGTAGGCCTGCTGCTCATACAGACTGTGCTTCTCCACCTCCAGGAGGAAGTTGTGCTCCCAGATTTGGGCAAATGATCTTGAAGGCAAAGATGAGATCTGAGTTTTTTAATTTTTCCTGCAGGATGGGAACGAATTGCAGCCTAACACTGAGGAAGAGGGAGGGGAGGTGCTTTTCCAGCCTGGGAGCCCCACATCTCCTAAGGTGCAGTGATGCCGCTTCCAGGCAAGTGCTGATGGACGGTGCCGGCCATGGTGCTGCCCCAGGGGCCTAGTTCTAGACCAGAGGCTGGCACTTCCATCCTCCAGTCGTCAGGCAGCTGGAGCCCAGTCGAGGATGCAGGACGAGCCTCCCCGCCGCAAGCTGGCTCCCCATCCTGCCCTGGTTGCCAGCCTAGTACCAATGCATTCAGCGGCCACACGTGGCCACAGAAATGAGGGAGAGACAGGAGAGTGAGGAATTCTCCCCAATGCTGGTGTGAAAGTGGGAGACACCTGAGCCAGCAAACAAACGGGTAGGTTTCATAAAGCCGTGTTCCTTTCTCTCCCTAGCTTGCTATCACCCTCGGGAAGATTAAATAAAGAAGACGCTATTGATCTGTGAAACATAATCTAATTTCAAAGGAAAACTTTCCAGATGCCATATTCATCGTGGGTGGCAGCAGCAACTATTTGGTCTGCAGCCCCTGGCTGCTTTTCCAGGACTTAACTGGTCTTCACAGCAGCCTCAAATCCTGCAGATCGAGGCAGGGGGGCTCACAGGGACTCACGGGCTGGGTGCTGGGGATCTTGAAGAACAGCTTCCAGATGGACAAACACAGGTCCTTCCATGGAGCCTCCCAGCCAGTCATCTGTGTCAGGGCATTTTTAGGGGTGTCCGTGGAGCAACGGTGAACAGCTCCAGGTGCTGATGGGGCTTCACCTGTGCATTCCTGCTGAGGGGGATGCTGTCCCCTCCTGCCTGCAATGACCGCTTCACTAGCTGCACTGTGGGTACACTGGCGCCTCGCCTGCAGCCCCCAGGAAACTGAACACCTGTCTCTGTGGCCGAGGTAAAGACACCGGAAGTAAAGCAATATCTGTAAAAGAGGCATTGCCAAAAATTAAGAAGAAATGCTGATAAGGCTGGACACAGTAGCTCACGCCTGTAATCCCAACAATTTGGGAGGCAGAGGTGGGCGGATCACCTGAGGTCAGGAGTTCGAGACTAGCCTGACCAACGTGGTGAAACCCCATCTCTACTAAATACAAAAAATTTAGCTGGGCATGTGGAGGGCACCTGTAATCCCAGTTACTTGGGAGGCTGAAGCAGGACAATCACTTGAACCTTGGAGGCAGATGTTGCAGTGAGCCGAGATTGTGCCACTGCACTCCAACCTGGGCAACAGTGCGAGACTCTGTGGAAAGAAAGAGAGAGAGAGAGAGAGAGAGAAAGGAAGGAAGGAAGGAAGAAAGAAAAAAGGAAGGAAGGAAAGAAAGAAAGAAAAAGAAAGAAAGAAAGAAAGAGAAAAAGAAAGAAAGAGAAAGAAAGAAAGACTGATAAATAGTGGACAGCCCATGGTGAGCCCTGAGGATGTTGCCCCGGACATCGAGTCCTCGTCAGCCTGGGAAGTGAAGTTTAAGCACCTCCTCCACAGTTAGTACCAGGAAAAAAAGGCATTAAAACATCAGACACAGGAAAAAAGCATCACTCCAGAGTGCATGGCTGTAATTTCAAGATGCATATAAAGGGCTAGCACTGCCCTGTGGCGTGTTTCCTGACGCCAACCTGCCTCCCTATTACTTCATGGGTACACTGCAGGAAAACTCTTGCAGCATGGCTGAACCTATTTGGGAAGCTTAGATCAAGTTTGCTAGGAGGCCAGGAAATAAATAGAATAATCCATAGAGGTCTCTTCCAGTGCATGTTTCTAAGAAAAGTGAACAGAATTTCTTGTTTCAGTATTTGTTAAAGATTTTAGACAAGCATCTCTTGCAATCTCATCAATTAATACAAACTCAGCTGAATGTACTTCATCCCAAAGAGGCTTGATTCCAACAAGGTCTTTTAAACCTCAGAAATTGAAGCTTTCATTCAGTAGACCTCTGCTTCGTCTCAAGAAGCTAAAACCTAGAAAGACCCTGCAGCAAAGATCAAAACATCATCATTTCCTAAAAAGATTGTTGGTGGTTCCCATTACCTAGGATTAGCCCTGCAATTACAACTCATGAGCAGAAAGTTTTCATGAATCAGTGTAGAATTGTCACTGCTTTATGGCCTTTAAGAATAACTGTAGAGATATTTTATTTTTTATCTAGATTCAAAACAAGAACATGGTTTAAACAAAAAAAAGGAAAAAAGATATATCAATAGTTTTGATTACAGATTATTAAAGAAAAAAAAAGAATCCTCCTGAAACTTCTGGCTTATTTAAACACTGGACAGAATTTTCCCCAGCAAATTCCTCTTCTTAGAAAATCATGCTCTGCCTCATTTTTGTCATGCAAGTAATGCACATATACTATTTTTAGAAATTGTAGGCAATTAAAATCATTTCTCTGTCACAATTCTGCTAATTTTATTGTTGATAACCACGTTCAAACATTTTATAATCAACTTAGTAATTTTTGTCAAGACCACTAGTATCCCTTGGGTCAGCTCACAGTGTCACAGGATGCATGGGGTGTTGCTGCACCAGCTGGAAACTTCTGTGGCTGGGCACACCTTCTGCCTGAGTATTGCTCACACCCCCTGGGCTTGTTCCGCCCACTCGGGTTGGCAGGCTACACTGGGGTTGCACTACCAGCCCAGATCCCATACGTGCCAAGGGCAAGCCAGGCCCAGAGAAGTGAGGGGTGTGAGGGCAAGTGAGTGCAGGATCTGGCCACTGCACACACCAAGCACACTGGCTGCTATGGCTGGGTGGGCAGCTCCAGGTACTGACAAAGGTGCTGGCTTTGTGTGAGGCTGGAGCTAGACCAGATGTACCTCACACAGCTTTCACTGCGGGCATCCGTGTCTGGATTAGGGGAATGCAGTGGCGCCCAGAATCTTGCAGATGCCAGGAGCCACAGAGCTCCAAAGAGGGTGTCACAGTCCTAGCTCAGGGAGCCCCTAGGTCTGGGCTCCCCAAAGGACCACAGCTCTTCTCTCCTTGTTGCCCTCAATTTGGCGAGTGGTGGGAGCATGTTTCAGTCCTGCTTGTGTTACAGCTCTTTCAGTCCCACCATTCAGCAGGTCCTGAATTCTTGTCCCATAGCCAGGAAGAATGAGGTACACAGACAAGTGGAAGGTGAGCAAGGTGGAGAGAAGTTTCATTGAGAGACAAAACATCTCTCAGGAGACCCAAAGTGAGTACCTCCTTTTGCAGGCAGGTTGTACTGACAAGTGTCCAGCTCTTAGCAGAGAGGAGACCGGCAGTGGGTAGCTCCTTTCTCCAGGCAGGTTGTCCCAATGTCTCTGTGAGTCTGGCTGTGTCCAGGGTTTTTAAGAGCTTCAGAAAGGGGAAAGTGCATGTTGATTGGTCCATAGGTGGCCATAGGTGAGCCCAGGAAAAGCACCATAAGTTCTCACTCTGGGCCACAGTCTCCACCCAGAACTGATAGCCTAGCCCCCAGCTTCAGGCCATCCCTGGCTTGGAGGTGAGGCTTCACTGGGGACCTGCCCCTTTCCACCCAGGAGCCTGTCTGCCTCCTGCCACCATCAATCATGTTGTCCATGGCTCCCAGGCTGTTCCTGACAAGGGGCACCTGCAGGCCTGCACCCAACTACCCTCAGCCCCCTCTTGGCCTCCCTCCCATGCTCGTCAGCACCCAAAGTCTGGAGGGTGCCAAGGCAGCAGGGGGCTGGCATGTCAGTGTCTCCCTGGGTGCACACATACCTACCAGGTCATGACAGCACCCAGGCTTGACCCCAACTTTGTTTGGAAATCACGGTGGTTGGTGGGAGTGGGGAGAGACCAGGAAGTGGGAGCAGGCACTTCTGAGTCTGCAGGGGCAGGGGGGCTTACCAGGCCTCCTAAAAGCACAGGGATGCTGGGGTATGCAGCCACAGCTGGGTGGCTGCAGTTGTGCCTGGGAGCACAGGGCTCTCACCCTGCCAACTCAGTAGAGGGTGGGGATCCCATTTGTCCCTGACTCCCACTGGTTCCATACCACTCTGAGCACCCAATCCCAGCTATGCCTCCCTCGCTGCAGCCAGTGTCTTCACAGTGACAGCTCCAGATGGATCGCCATCACCATCAACAGTAATTACTCAGTAAAGTGTTTGACCAACTAGAAGAATAAGGCACTCATTCATCACTAAGTCACTGTTCTTCTCAACTTGACTGTGTTGAGTTTAGCTTGCTAATAAGCCACCCAAGAAGTAAGTGAGAAAGGAGGAAGCTGAGTGGAGGACATAAAATAAGAAAAGAGTCACTATTTTCTCTTGGATTATTTGACTTTTATCAACAAACTGTAAATCTGGCAAATCCACAGAGAGTTTTTTTCCTTTGTGGCATGGGTGTTGATATTTTCATGGAGTCTTAACTCTAGGGATTTCACCAACATTCAGACCTCCACCCCTCAATATACTTATAACTAAGCAACAAAGTCTAGCTGTACACTAGCCACTCTTGGTTCTACCTCCCAGTGACATCTCAAGCCCTTCTAATTCTGCTTACCTCTGTGGGTGACCTTTGCCCATGCTGTGATTATCTTGGGCTTGCATGATCTCCTGCATGGATCTTCACTTTCTTTCCTGTCTCCCTCTAATCCATTCTAGGCACAGTGGTGGAAATATTCTTATATAAGTCAGGCATCCATTAAATCTTAGATTTAATTTTGTGTATAGCTGAGTTCAATTAATTCTCTTCCACAGGACCTAAGCATTTCAGCCATGCCACTGTATTGTAATTCTCTGAATAATATCTATTCATCATCTGGTTTCCCAAACTGAATAAGGAGATTTTCTTCTGAAAAACTTCACAAGTTAGTGAAGGATGAAGACACATAAATAAAAATATATCCTTGTGGACTATGGTAGTGATACTACAGAGGGAAAAACAAAATCCTATGAAATATATTCAAGAAAGAAAGAAAAACTTGGAAAGAAATTTGTTATCCAATTGATAATCATATTTAGCTTCTAACTTGGGGTCAACCTGAAGATTTAATAAACATGAATTTTAAGTCTTCATTAAGGTCAATGATAAACACTACAAACACAATGACAGAGAAACATCCTCATAGAAACAATCATTTATCAAACTTCTTTAAGTAAAATAATTTAACCATGTGTGATGTTTTTAAATATTAGAAAGTGCTTTTATGATGGTTTAGAATCACACCAAGGAGTTTCATGGGGGTCGTCTCACCTTGTCTTAACAATTACCCTGTGAGTCAGGTGTTATCATTTCCACACAGGAAGCAGGTGCAGGTAGGTCAAATAATGTACAAGTGGTGACACCAGAACTGGAACTCAATATTTGTGGCACCAGAGATCATACCTTCAACCACTGTGTGATTGAAGTCCTTATAGGCTTACAGAAGGTTTAATGTAAATTTTTAATTGGGAAGAATGACATAAACATTATGCAAAAAACCTGAAACCAGAAATATGTGAGATGAGTACCCATTCACTCACCAAGACATCACTCCCTTCCTTTTCACCTTCCGACCCCTACTTTTCCAAAATCCTAGAAACACAGAGGCTTTTGTAATTTTAAGCAGGGCCCTGTAATTAAAAATCCATACCTACAGCATAACTAGACTCAAATAATGCCCAAACTTCAAATTACCTGTAAGTAGAAATATAACCCTTAGAGCATTATCCACTATTCAATTGCATGTTTTTGTGGAGAAAAAGGAAAGTCCAAGAAAAAAACTTCATGGGGGAGCAAAGAGAGGAGTTAGCTGCCGGCCAAAGATTGATCCAAAATGACCACCAGAAAGAGAAAATCCATTATATGTGCAAAATGAAAGGAGTCCTGAACAATCAGATGCTACAAAAAGGAGCTATAAATGCAGTCAGTTTGAGTGGCGGGCTTTGATTGAAAGATATTGCTTCTGGGGGAAGAAAAACTTACAAAGGAATGGTGAGACATGCTTTGGATACTGGGTATAAAAGGGAAAATAAACAAAATAGTTAAATTGATGACCCTATGAGAATACCTCCACTGATGAAAATTCTCTGAAGAAACAACCACAAAGTAAAAGAAAAGTCAACACTCTAAATTGACTAAATATGCTAAGCAAGCATTTGGGGTATGAATGGGGTATGAATAACCATTTGGCAACCATCACAGCAATATCTCAATCACTCATGACTTAGCCTCTAGTGGATACAAACCCATGCTGAATGTTTAATGAGTAACAGGACAATTACATGGTCTCAAAGTATCTCCCCATAAGACACAGATTACAAACGTAAAAACGGAACCTTTAAAGTAACTTTGCCATAAAAAAATAGTAACTTTACAGTATATGAACTTGTAGAGTTCACCTTAACCAGGTAATCAACATAACATCACCAGAAATGGGACATCTAACATCATGTGCCTCCTGATATAATATACTTTGAAAACATTATTGTTGTGGTATTTAAAAAATAGATTATAATCATGAGAAACATCAGACAAAACCAAATCAAGATTTATTCTATAAAACAAATTGCCTGTGCTCACCAAAAATATCAAGGTCCTAACAGTCATGGGAAAACCAATGCACCACCGCACATTTGCAGTGGAAAGAGCCCTAATGATTGAACACTGCACAACTTTTGGCCCTAGAATTTTTTTCCTTAAAAGAACATTAACAGGAAAACTGGTAGCATTTGAATTAAGATCTGCAGACTAGATAGCTGATGGTATAATGCTAATGTTAATTTTTTACTTTTATACTTGTACCATGTTTTTATAACAGAATGTTCTTGTTTTGAGTGCAGAACCCTGGAGTATTTAAGGGTAAAAGAGAACAATGTTTGCAATTTCCTTTCAAATGGTTTAAAAATATATATAGAAAGAGAGAGAGGGAGAGAATGAAAAGGCAAACATGATAAAATGTTAACCTTTGAGAAATCTGGGAGAGGGACATATAGGTATGCTATGAATTATTTGTACAGCTTTTCTGAAAGTCTATAATATGTCAAAATAAAAAAGTAAAAATTGTAAATTAGAACTTATCACTCCCAAGATAACAGTTCAGTCCAGTGATTTATCATTGATTATCCAATAAAATAAATTTTAGATTAAAATAAAATCTGTGAGATTATTTCAAAAGCATGCATATGATACATTGTAAAATATCATTTTATATAAAATTATGTATAACTAATTTCATTACCGTGATGTTTTAGACCAATACCAAATTTCCTGCTGTTTCATGTTTTCTCTTTCTGGTATTTCTACTTCTAAAACCTCTTTAGTTCATTTTCTAACAAACAGAAGTTTGACCTTTGTTTGATATTTTAAAATTTTCTGTATTTCCAACATCTTTAAGGCAATTGAATGCTTACCACTCTTTATTCCAATTAGTAATATCTCTTTATTCAGTACCATCTGCAAAATTCATGAAGTTTTTGTTTTAGCTCTTTCTATTGGATCATTAATTAAGACATAAAGCTAGTCCAAATAGCAAATGCAGAATAGGCCAGGAGCCAACCTGAGGAAATACGGGATATGTTTGCAACCTCCATAAGCAAGTATTTGGTGCTTACCCAACGTGCTACTTGTAGAATCATATCAAATCCCTTTCACAGCCATATTTAATAGTCTGATGCAAAAACAAAACCATCATATTGGTATTTCATAAATGGTTTTTAAATTAGTCAAACTGCTCAACTTTTTTAAATATGTGATTACAAGATTGATCTCAAGAACATCTACTCCAACTATTTTACTCATCAGGAATTTTTATGAAGTACCTATCTTGTTTAAGATACTTTGCTTGGTGCAAGAATTGAGATGGAAAAAGAAGTATAAGGCATCACTTCTGTCCTCATAGAACATTCCTGGTTCCCGTACTCTATAGATCTCTTTCACAATGTTTATCACGTTCTTGGTGTTTGTTTCCATCCCTGCCTTTCCCATGAGATACAGTTGTGCAGATTTTTGTCTTCTATACCTAGTAACCAGGACAATGCCTAACACTGGCATAAACTCTTAGAAAATTAGTTTAATATTAAAGGAAGTAAATGCACCGAGCGTCCTACTTAGCTAGACGGAAGGTGAGAAAAGATCAAAAAGAGGTGAGAACAGAAAGTCTGTTTGGATGCAGAGTAAATGAAGATGCTAAGAGGGTGGGTGTGTGGGGGTAAGAAAGGCAGACACAGGTCCCCATGCCTCTCAGCCAGCCCAGTCTATCCAAAGCTTTCCCCAGGACCAGGCACGGTGTGGAGGACAGCATCCTTCAGTGGTTAAGCAGCCAAGATTCACAATAAGGGGTTCCCTGAGGTGGGACTGGAGAGTGAATGTGGGTGTTGTGTGGGAAGGAGGACCAGGTAATGAAAAGCACAACTTCATATTCTTCTGAACCTCCCCGCATTCTCCACCTTGCCCCCAGAATAGAAAAGAAGAGGCAGAGAGAAAGCTTCACCTATGAGAAATGAAACCCAGCCTAAAGATGAGGAATCGAGCAAGGCTTTGTGCTCCCGTCTTAAGGAAATGGCAGAGACAATAAGTAGGGATGGCCAGCCAGGGAGTGAGAAGGTCCCAGAGACAGAACTTTCAGAGCTAACACCAGAAAGCTTTGGGAAAACCACGGCAAGTTGTGAGCGCTAAGAGTAAGGAAATTCCAAGAAGGGCAGCATCTCCATGACCTGGAAGACCTAGAACAGTCTTCAGATGGGTCAGGATGGGAGCTAAACACAGCCCTAAAGATGTACTTACACCAATATTAAATTGCAACACTCTTGAGAGTTATTGTTTCTTGTGTTGAGCTTTTCTGCACGATGAGCCTTAGGCATGCAGCAAGACAGATGAGCCCCAAATCACACCAAGTTCCAGGTCATGGGGGCCCAGATGCTGGCTGGGGCCTCCATGGGGAGGAGGCCTGAGGATGAGACATGCCTCTCCTACTCTATTCCAGCCCTGAGAAGTGGGGATGAGGCAAAGGGGAGCGCAATGGCTGCTGAATTCCATTCTCTTTCCTTCCTCCATGGGAAAAGGTAGTCTTGCCCAAAGTTGTACAGACTCACAAGCAGGAGTTACCAGAGAATATCTCTCAAGATCTTATTTCACTCCAAGTTTCTGGAAACAAGGGCTAAATACCGTATTGTAAGCAATGAACACTCAACAGCCACTTAGGTCTCCATTGTGACAAACTGAAATCAACAATATATTTCTTGTATCTAGATAAAAATATAAGCTTTATAATCAGTATACTTAATCTTCCAGTGAAACATTCTAACACAACATTTGATTTTCAAAATAAACAAATCACCTGTAGTGACGATATCCCAAGTTTCATGGGAACTTCTCAGGAACATGGCTAAATATGAGTCAATCTATAATAAACTATAAATATCTTAATGCATTTATTCAACAAGCTTTTGTTAATCATGTATACAAGGCACTCTGGAACTAGGAGTACAGAAATGAATAAAAGCATGTAATTTAATTCAAATATCTCATAAATTCTTATGTTTTGGGAGATAAAAGAAAAGGTATTAGCTAACATTAGATTTTCCTTAGGTTAAATATACATGTTAAACTGTTCAATGGAATACCAATATATACTTATTTATACATACACACGCTCATATATAATATATATAATAGATATAATGCCACTATATTAAATATATAATATATATAATGCCACTATATTAGGTATGTATACACTATGTATACTATATATATAATTATACATATATATACTGTATATGCATATATACACAATTATATATACAATATATAAAGTTATATATTATATATACACTATTTCATATATATATATATATATAATATATATAATGCCACTATATTAAACCAGTAGAGGAAAAACAAGAGAGGGATAAGGAAAATCTAAATCAAAACAACAAAATCAGGAAAGACAAAAAAAGGGATGTGTAAACATTTTAAAGTACTACAGAGAAGCAGATCTGAATATACCACAACTCAAACTCAGCATAAATGGACTGAACTCTCCATGAAATGGCAGTGTATGTGAGATTAGACTAGGTAATTCAACTGCAGGCATATCTTGAAGATATTACAGGTTCTGTGCCAGACCACTGCAATCAAGTGATTATCTCAACAAAGCGAGTCACACAGATTTTTTGTTTTCCCAGTGCATATAAAAGTTATGTTTACACTATATGACAGCCTATTAAGTATGCAATAGCATTACATAATTTAAAAATACTTTAGTGTTAAAAATTCTTATGATCATCTGAGCCTTCAGCGAGTTGTAATCTTTTTGCCAGTGGAGGGTCTTGCCTAGACTCTGATGGTTGCCAACTGATCAGGGTGGTGGTTGCTGCTGTGGAAATTTTTAAAACTAAGACATCAATGAAGTTTGCCACATCGATTGTCTCTTCCTTTCAAGAAAGATTTTTCTATACATGCAATGCTCTTTAATATTTTAACCAGATAACTTCTTTCAAAATTGAAGTCAATCCTCTCATACCCTGCCAGTGCTTTCTCAGCTAAGTTTATGTAATATTCTAAATCCTTGATTGCCATTTTAACAATGTTCTAACATCTTCACCGGAATTAGATTCTATCTCACGAAACCATTTTCTTTGGTTATTCATAGGATGCAACTCCCCATCTGTTCAAGTTTTACCATGAGATTGCAGCAATTCAAACACATCGCCAGGCTTCACTTTTAATTTTAGTTCTCCTGCTACTTCTACAACATCTGCAGTTACTTCCTCCACTAAAATCTTGAACCCCACAAAGTCATCCATGAGGGCTGGAATCAGCTTCTTCCAAACTCCTGTTAATGTTGATATTTTGGCTTCCTCCCATGAATCACGAATGTTCTTAATGCATCTAGAAAGGTGAATTTTTCCCAGAAGTTTACTTTGCCCAGATCCATCAGAGAAATCACTATCACAGCTATGTAGCCCTATGAAGTGTATTGTGATAACACTTGATATCATAATACACTTATAATGATAACATAGTTATCATTATACATAATATATTATAACCTAATACAGTTGTAATGATAACACTTGAAAATCAAAATTACTCATTGATTCATGGACTGCAGAATGCATGTTGAGTCAGCAGGCATGAAAACAACATTAATCTTTTAGTACATCTTCATCAGAGCTCCCAGGTAACCAGGTACATTGTCAATGAGTAGTAGTATTTTAAAATAAATTTTTTTTTCTGAGCAGTAGGTCTCAACAGTGGGCTTAAAATATTCAATAAACCATGCTGTAAACAAATGTTTTGTCATATAGGCTTTGAATTCCATTTACAGAGCACAGGCAGAGTAGAGTAGTATAATTTTTAAGGTTCTTAGGATTTTAGAAATGGTTAATGAACATTGGCTTCAGCTTAAAGTCAGCAGCTACATTTACCTCTAACAAGAGAGTCAGCCTGTCCTTTGAGGTTCTGAAGCCAGGCATTGACTTCTCTCTAGTCATGAAAGTCCTAGAAGGCATCTTCTTCCAATAGAAGGCTGTCTCATCTACATTGAAAATCTGTTGTTTGGTGGAGCCACTTTCATCTATGATCTCAGCTAGATCTTCCAAATAACTTGCTGTAGCTTCTACATCAGCACTTGCTGCTTCACCTTGACTTTTAGGTTATGGAGGTGGCTTATTTTATTTTCTCAAACCTCATGAGCCAATCTCTGCTAGCTTCAAACTTTCTTTCTGCAGCTTATTCGTCTCTCTCAACCTTCATAGAATTGAGGAGAGTTGAGGAATTGCTCTGGATTAGGCTTTGGCTTAAGAAAATGTTATAGCTGGTTTGATCTTCCATTCACATCATTAAAATGTTCTTCATATCCGCAATAAGCCTGGTTTTCTATCTTAACATTTATATGTTCAATGGAGTAGCACTTTTAATTTTCTTCAAGAATTTTTCCTTTGCATTCACAACTTAGCTAACCGGCACATGAGCTCTGGATTTCAGCCTGTCTCTGCTATTGACCTGCCTTCCTCACTAAGCTTAATTATTTCTAGCTTTTGATTTAAAGTGAGGGACATGAGATTCTTCCTTTTACTTAAACACTCAGGAGGCCCCAGGAAAGAGAATGAAATGGGAGAGCAGCCAGTAGATAGAGCAGTCAGAACACACATCACATTTATCCTAAGTTTGCCATCTTATATGGGCATGGTTTGTGGTACCCCAAAACAATTACAATAACAACAGTGATCACTGATCACAGATCTCCATAGTAACAGATATAATAATAGTGAAAAAGTTTGAGATATTGCGAGAATTACAAAAATGCAACACAGAGGCCCAAAGAGAGCACGTGCTATTGGAAAATGGTGCTGATAGAGTTACTCAACCCAAGTTGACATCATTAAAATATTAACAAAAACATATGAATCCTAGAAATAGATTAAGCAAAAAATGTTCAATATTTGATAAAGAAAATTACAAATCTTTGTCGAAAGATTAGGTTAACAATTACCTATATAAATAAGTATATAATTACCTATATAAATAACAGGTAAGGTTAGCAATTACCTATAAATACATATATATGTAGACATGTCATATTTATGTATGTATAGGAAATTGTTAATGTTTGTCTGAATACAGACACTTCCTGCTTGAAATGTTTTTCATATGAACACATTTTAGTTACCATGGTTTTGTTAAATAAAATCTATCCCCCAACAACACAGCTCAAATTTCAGTTTCCAGGGCTTATCTACCATAAGTAACTGAATAGAGTGCCAATTGTGCTGCCATTTTTTTAATCCACAGATCACCATATAAAGAACAGATGTACATATTGAACAGTGATCAATCTTGTCACTTATTTCAAAGTCTGCTAGAAACTAGTCACTGCTACTCTGTTATTCAGTTCATGCACAGAAAGAAAAGCATTCAGTTGCCTCCTCCTCTCTCCATGATAAACCCACATGACATCTTACAAAAAATGGACAATGGAAGAGGAAATTTTGCAAGATCAAAGTGTGGTGTATTCATTTCCTATTACTGCTGTAACAAATGACCATCAACTTAGAGGCTTAAAACAACATGAGTTTATTCTCTTACAGGTCTAGGGATCAAAAGTCTAGGACAAATCTTATGGGGCTAAAATCAAGGTGTGGGCAGGTCTGACTGCTTCTGGGTCTGGCTGATTCTGGGGAGAATCCATTCCTTGCCTCTTCCAGCTTCCAGAGGTTGCCTTGGCATTCCTTGGCTCATGGCCACATCACTTCAGTCTCTGCTCTGTCTTCACATCTCCTCCTCTCTTTTATCTCCTGCCACTCTCTCATAAGAATGCATGTGATTCCATCAGGTCCACTTAGATAACCCCAGATCTCCTCCTATCTCAAGATCCTTGTCTTAATCACATCTGCGGAGGCTCTTTTGCCATGTAAGATAATAGTCATACATTCTGGAGATTAGGATGTGTACATTTTGGGGGCAGCTGTTATTCAGCCTACTATATGCAGCAAAGAAACAAAAATAATAACACTAGGTGTAAAATTAGATGTAATTAGAAGATAACCGACCATGAGAGTGTTGGCACTACCATCATTTGAAAGACTAGAGGAATTTAGTGAAGGTCACTAATGAACATTAATGAGGAAAGAGATCGTGATGAAGATATCTCAGAGGAATAGATGCCAGTGAAAAGTTTCACATCAAAAGAAATTGTAGAACTTTGACAGTTTCTCAAAGAACTAAAAATAGAATTATCATTTGTCCCAGTAATCCCATTATTGGGTATATACCCAAAGAAAAATAAATCATTCTACCAAAAAAATACATCCACTCATATGTTTATCATTGCACTATTTACAATTGCAAAGACATGGAATCACTCTAGGTGTCCATTAACAGTGGATTGAATAAAGAAAATATGATACATATACACCATAGAGTACTACGCAGCCATAAAAAATGACGAAATCATGTCCTGTGCAGCAACATGGATGCAGCTGGAGGCCATCATCCTAAGCAAATTAACACAGATAGGGAAAACCAAATACCATGTTCTCACTTACAAATGAGAGCTAAATATTGGGTACACATGGACATAAAGATGGGAACGATAGACACTGAGGACTACCAGAGAGGGGAGGGAGGAAGAGAGGAAACTGTTTTTAAAAACTACCTATCAGGTACTATGTTCACTATTTGGGTGATGAGATCAATAGAAGCTCAAGCCTCAGCATTATGCAATATGCCCATATAACAAACCTGCACATGTACCTCCTGAATCTAAATAAATAAATAAAATGTTTTAAACAAACAAAAGAGAAACTTGCAGACATATTTTGCAACAATGAAAGTACACAGAATGAAATGTTGGAAGCTAACCTAAACTTAAGTGTATGACAATTCTCCAAAAACAGAGGGAGAGAAGACAATAAAACTCAAGAAAAGAAAAATTAACAAAATTCAGTATGGTGGGTAGTCCCTTACACAGAAGGTAAGAGCAATAGAATCACAAAAGGTATACAAAAGGATAAGCAGTACTGGTAATGTTCTATTCCTTAAGTTGAGTAGTGGGCACACAGAGAGTATGTTTCTTGCTTTATGTGTGTGTGTGTCTGTGTGTGTTCTTTATATATAGCACATATGTGAATGTATGTAGGTAGATCATATATACATGTTTACATATGAACTTTTTCAAGCCAAAATGCTTTAATGCTTTGAATGCTTAATAAATTATCCTCTTTGGAAAGCATCCTAAATGTAATTATAATGCCAATAATAATTAGCGATAACGAAAACACAGTTCTGTGGAGACTGTGCAAAATTTCTTTTATTTTTCTCCTTGCCACATGATGGGAGGACACAACAGAAGGACAACAAACCTCCCAGAAAGTCTAGAATGTTCTGAAGGTCTTCATAGAGTGTTCTGCCATTAGCTAATAGCCAGTTACAAGTCTCTTTTACAATTCTAGAGAAACACTTCCCACAAAGAATTCTGGGCTGTTTTCTTGTTTGTTTGTTTGTTTGTTTGTTGTTTATTTGTTTTTGAAGTGCAATTCCATGTGAAACTGTAGCGCTCAGTTAATCACATCTGTGGTCAATCTCACCCATTCAAATTATAAAGTCCTGTAAGATCCAACTTGGAGAAGCTCCCTGGACAAATCTGGGACAATCTGAGGAAAAACAATACAAATGATAGGAATGAATCATAACCTGTGGGATAAAATAAAGACCATGAAGCCGGGCACGGTGGTTCACGCCTGTAATCCCGGTACTTTGGGAGGCCGAGGCAGGCAGATCAAGAGGTCAGGAGACTGAGACCATCCTGGCCAACGCAGTGAAACCTTGTCTCTACTAAAAATACAAAAAATTAGCCGGGCGTGGTGGCGGGCGCCTGTAGTCCCAGCTACTCGGGAGGCTGAGGCAGGAGAATGGTGTGAACCCGGAATGCGGAGCTTGCAGTGAGCGGAGATCGCGCCACTGCACTCCAGCCTGGGCAACAGAGAGAGACTCCATCTCAAAAATAAAATAAAATAAAATAAAATAAAATAATAATAAAGACCTTGAGTTCGTAGTGACATAAATAACTGAGTAAGTTAATGGAGGAGAAGGAATTCTCCTTAGGGCAGAATTCCAGTTTATCAATGACAGAGGAAGGAGGCAACTAGAAAACCATCAATAGGCAAACAGCACATTGCAGGCATAGCAGATGCTAAAATTACTGAGTGAAAGTATAATGAGAAATAGGATGTTAACATAATGCCCACATCTCTCCTCCTGAAATATTTCATAACGGCTCAGAGAAAGACTAACTTTACAGTGGAAAAGCCTGGCAGACACCACCTTAACCAAACAATCAGAGTTCACAGCAGCAGGAGTGAGAAAGACCAACATCACGTCCTCCTGCTGCGCTGCCCTGAGGAGGACACACTGCCTCCGGCAACCTCAGTCTCATCCAGAGAAAACATCTGACAAACCCAAATTGAGGGATATTCTACCACATAACTGGCCCATGCTCTTCAAGTGTCAAGCTCATGAGTGAAAGACACTGAGGGACCCCACTAATACGAGGAGACTAAGGAGACAGGAAGGCTAATGCAAAGTGGGACCCTGGATCCCATCAGATCCTAGATTAGGACCAGAGAAAAGAAATTAGTTGTAAAATTGGCAAAATTCTAATAAGGTTTGAAAATAGGTTTGCATCAATGTTAATTGCCTGGCTTTCAAAATTGTGCGCTGCGTATGTAAGACACTTACTTTGAGGGAGCCTGTATGGGAGAACGCTCTGTCGTACTTTAGCAACTTTTATTAAATACTACACAACAATTGCAAAATAAAAATGTTTTGAAGTGATGCAGAAATTCTAGAAAAGGCAAAACTACAGTGACAGAAAGACAGGCCAAATCAAGCTGGGGATTTTAAACATCAGCAAGAACTTTGGACTTCATCCTGTGAGCAAAAAGAATGCACAAGAGACTTTCAAAGTAAGCAGAGGACAGGGTCAGTCTTATATTTTGTAAAGTTCACTCTAGCTACAGGCAGAAAGGGAAAGCGGGAGCAAGGCGAGCAGACCACGGGCTCTTCAGGAATGAAGACAGAACTGGAGATCCCCTTAGTGGAGTGGAGTAGAAAGGAGGGAGCAGACAGGTCTTGGGAAGGGAGCCGCAGAAGTTGGCGACTAGCTGGATGAGGGTGGAAACTGGGTGAGAAAAGGCTGAGGAGTCCAAGACAACTTCTGAGTTTCTAACTTGGGCTATTGGTTAAATTGGTTAAATGTGTGGACACAAAACAGGAGGGACAAAGTTTAGAGGGAAAGATGAACTGAATTTTTGGCTTGATGAGTGACAAACAGGAGAGTGTATTTGCATGTTTTTCTTTTGCTAATGTTTTCTAATTTGGGATCTAGTTCTTAGGGTTTTCATATATATACATATATATGTATATATACATATACATATATATGTATATGTATATATACATATATATGTATATATATATATACATGTATATATATATATATGAACTACTCTGTATTGTGCATAGATAATTCCAATTTCTTGAGAATTTGGTTGACAACATTTGGGTAGAAAACCGAGGCACCAAAAACAGCCCATTCCTGTGCTGTCTGGAAAGCAACTCTCACCTGCATTTCACCCTCTCTCAGGTCAGAGCCAATACGGGGCAGCTCTGCCTTGGATTCTTTCCCTTTTGGAACAGAGGGCTGTCCTCTGCATAATTTAGAAACCTCTAATGTTGCCTGTTTGGCTGTTTTTGTAACCCAACAGATGCAGCTCGCTCAAACAACTGCACTCCCTGGAGTGTGTTAATCCACTTAGAAAAGGTATAATTGATTTTCCAGTGAAATATGTGAAAATGACTCGCTGCTTTCCAACCACAGGGTGGTCGGCCCATAACCACAGGTGTCTGACCTTATCTAGCCAGGAAGGTGATTCTTTCCCCCACATCGCACTCATAGGTCACTGAAAGGCAGCGTGGAAGTCCAATTCTGATTCATCCATTACACGAAGTTATTGAGTGTTTACCACCGAGCCACCAGTTATCCCAGAGGTCAGGGCACAATGAGGCTCTGGCTAAAATAATGGTTGGCCCTCTGTACAGAGCTCCCACACACTTCCTGGAGCAGCCAAGTGGGTTGTTCTGTGTAGATCTCTTCAAGACTTTGCCAAAATAATATTTTTTTGCTGAATGCAATGCTTTGACTTACATGTGGAAATTTTACTGAGAGTACAGATGCTGAGTCTGGAACACATTAGAGTGAGCACCATGCATGAAGCCTCTTGAAGATGACACGGCCTCCTCCCCCGTGTCACATCATTCCTGCAGCAGGCACAGATCTTCCTGCTCCTGACTCTTGCTGCCTCTACCGTCTGCAGCACAGCACCACAGCTTTCAGACTGCCTCCCACAGCTCCTGAGAACTTCTCTGTATGAAAGTCCTGTCTCCCCAGTAGGGCTGGAAATCATGTAATGAAGATCTAAGTACAGCTGAAAAATAGTTGCTGACAGTCAAAGACCTTCAGATTAAAATGCCACGTGACCCTTTGAATGCTCTGCAGTAGAAGACATTTGGAAGTCACAGACTCAAACTGCTCCCACAGCCTTAGCAAGGGATTCAGTGCACCAGAGTGGGGTGGGGGAGTCACCTCCCTATGAGAGAAGAGGAACTCAGCCTCAGATCTAATAAATTCACCTCTACAACCCAGGAGATGCTCAGAGCCACAGTACTTAGAGGCAGAGTGACATCAGGGAAGCCACCGAGACAGCTCTTACAATTGCCAGCCCCATGTCTTTAATAAGTCGTTTTATATTCCTGAACCTAGGTTTCCTCATCTGTACAGTGAAGAGGGTGATGCCTATCTCACAGGGAGGGGTTTTTACAAGAAGTAAGTGAAATGAAATCTTTGGAGTGCTTCGTTCAGTTTTTAGCACACAAGAAGAGGTATCCAAATGGTAATTCTCAGTTGCTGTCGTCTGCACATCTGTGTTTCCCCAGAATTCAGATGTGGAATTCTAATACCAAGTGTGATGGGATTAGGAGGCGGGGACCTTTGGGAGGTGATGAGATTATGAGGGCAGAGTCCCGGTGAATGGGATTAGTGCCCTGATAAGAGGCCCCTGAACACTGCCTTGCCTCTTCCATCATGTGAGGACACAGCCAGAAGGCAGAGTTAGGAGGAGCCGGCCCTCCCTGGAAACCAGATCTGCCAGCGCCTTGATCTTGGACCTCCAGCCGTGTGAGGAATACATTTCTGTTGTTAGTGAGCCACCCAGTCTTTGGTGTTTTGTTACGGCAGTCTGAGGGGACTGAGACGCTCCTGACTCGGATCCTCTGACTCTACAGCCAGTGTTCTCCCCACCCTGTCAGGAGAAAGGCACTCGTTTATTTCCACATGTTCGTTCATCCCAGGGTGCTGGCGCCTTGGAGAGACTCATATAGGAGAGCACAGCCCGTTCGGAAGGTGAGCACCTAAACGTGCTGGGTCAAGAATAAGGTAGGACTTTGGATTCTGAAAACACAGGCACGGACAAGCAGCCACGGACCTGCTCAGAGGGAATTCGCGGAGAGGAGGCCCTGGGAGAAGGACGCAGGACAGCTTCTCATTAGCGTTTCCTCTTGTCTAAGAGGGAAAAGGCCTTTTTCAAATGGCATTAGCCCTGCAGACAGCGGGGTGGTGGCTGGATCTGCGCGTCCGGAACGCCCCACGCCTTAGAAGAAGAAATGAGGGGAGACTCTGTGGGCACAGAATGAAACCCAGACCCCAGAACTTTGGTACCGGATTGGTGGTCTAAACCCTAGAGGAGCGTTTCTAAAGACCATGGGTGCTCTGCAGACAGGTTTGCCAGCCACATTGAATCCTTTAGTGCTCAACTGTTTGGAGAGCTTGTTATACAACAGAACATGCTGTGAATCAGAAACAATATCCTATGTCTCAAACTGACTTTATCACTGAATCTCTCCTTACATAACAGCCATTGCTGTCACGAGGAACACTGAGGAAAACACTGGCATATCATAGAGTATTCTGGAAGCAGGGTATTTAAACCATGGGGAGCAAGATACATCAAACAAGAGTATATATGTGTGTATGTGAGTGTGTGGGTGTTGTCCTGGACTGGAGAGAGCAATGGTGCATTCTGTTGTTACCTGCTCTTCACCTTTGAACTTCATGCTGGTGCTAAAACACCTGAATTGTCTCACAATCCGTGCTTTGGACAAAGCATCTAAATAAATGCTTCTATTTAATATATTCTTAATGGCTTCCCTAGAGCCTAGTACACTTTGAGACATGAGTCCCTCGCCAAATGTGTTTAACTGAAAGGATGTCTTTATACACAAGTGGTATAAAACACATAGACAAACACACATACACAGAGATGGAGAGACAGGTCCAACAGTCTAGAGATTCGATAAATGGAAGATGTTATCCAAAAACCAGGCAAAATGATTTGCATGGAACAGTTAAATTCTACCTCCATAGATCTTGAAATATTACTGACAGAGTTTATACCATTGCTGAC
Source organism: Homo sapiens (assembly GCF_000001405.40). Lineage (NCBI taxonomy): Eukaryota > Metazoa > Chordata > Mammalia > Primates > Hominidae > Homo > Homo sapiens. Next base: position 76,101,505 of record NC_000018.10, read on the forward strand.
ATATATGGATTTTCACAGTATTTTCTATTTCAAAAATTATGAACACCAATCAGAAACAAATAATCTGTTTTTGCTTCTGAACATCAGTGGTTATTCTACTACTGTTAAAGAACGTATTTTTGCCTTACCTTTCACTTTCCAAATCCACCTAATTTATCAAATATTTATTTCACCTGGCAAACACACAGACCACCCCCTTTTCTTGGTTTGGTTTTCTGCCTCCCTTACAGTTTTGTTCTGCTTTTTAATTAAAAGAAAAGTTTAAGATGTAACTCACTTTGTCAGTTAAAAAAAAAAAGGAGAAAGGATCCATGAGATGGAAAAAGAAGTCACCTATTTGCAGATTTTTAATGAAGAGGTTTTTAAAATATTTTCTTACATACACAAAGTTAATGCTGCGGTAGGTGAGTTGTAAATGCTTATTTTCGTTCCATAATTATAAGTGAAATGTTTTTTAATGTGCAATAATAATGTTCAAGCTGTGCTATTTTGCAGCTAATAATTATACACAACAGCGTGGGGCATGATGGCTAGCAGAAAGTTTTCCTTCTTAATGTATCACCCACCTCTCTCCTCTCCCTGCTACCTGCCTTATTTGCTGTGACTGTACTTTTCAATCCCCTCTTTATTCTAGGAATAGCAGCACTAGTTAGTTACTTTCTTAAGGAAAGAATGTGAGGCAAGATTGCTGACTGGCTAAAACTGCTCCCATACAAAGTGAAGTCTATAATAGGCTGGCTTTAAAAAAAAAAAAAAAAAGAAAGAAATACACTCTCAAACTACAGTGAAGCTTAAAATGTGCTCGCTGGAATCCTCAGTCTTGAAAGTTAGAAATTTGCTGTACAGTTTAACACAGTGTTCTTGAAACAAGGCTGGAAGTTGGCAATGAAAGCAGAGGTCAGCAAGCCTTGGCATCAGATATCAATTTCTTCGCAGATGGAGGAGTAAATTTATCACTGAACAGCCACATTTGTTATTATGGATATGGACCATTTCCGAAATATCTTGGGGTTAGCCAGCTGTGTGTCTGAGGCAGCTTCTCCATTAGCTTCTCAACCACAGTGTTCCCTTGAAATTGCTGAATATGTCATGTTTTTCTTTGAAGAAAGAAAGAAAGAAGATGCCACATGTATTAAGAAAAGCCATGCCAGGTAGATTAGGATTTGGTTAGAGACATTTGAGAAAACCAGCTTACCTCAAACTGAGTGTTCTAAATGGCTTAAATAAATTAACTTCTGCATAAATTTGAAGAACCATAAAAGGAATGTAACCCGGATACAGCAATTGATTCAGCAGAAAGGAGCCTCCCTGATTTTCCGTACACCTAATGCTCGTTTGGACATTTGCCTGGACTTCTTCAGCCCACATTTAGCTCATTCCCAGCTGCTCTAAACATACTTCTTTCTTAATGGCTCACAATAAACTGACCATATGGGTTAATATCAAGTCAATCCTTTATTTTCTCTTGCTATCACTGAACTACGAAAAAGTATTCTTTGGCGTAAAGCTTGTGGTATATGTTCAGCCAGATCTGAATAGAATATTGGGAAAAGCATGAATTTCATGTAGTTAAAAGGGAAGTTAGGAATGGAGGCCAGAGGGTCAACTGTGTTGCATAGTTCAGGACATGGGGTCATTTCAAATTTAGGTATAGCATTCTATTCCATACAGGAGAGACTGTAAACATGTGTACTATGCCACACTATGCAATCTAGAAGTTACTTGTATTTTTTATCTTTAGGATCTTCCTGAAGCTTCCATAGGTTTATAGCACAACTGAAATATTTTACAACTTAAAATAATAGAATAATATGAAGCTAGAACCCAATGGGACCTAGATATCATGTAGTATCTTCTTCATTTCACAGAGAGTTATGTTTCAGAGGGTGTATGCCCAAGGCTCATAGAAAGCCAATCCTCCTGTGACATCTGTCACCAAAATAGACTCAAATAGCTACACAAATGCTGCATTCTCAATTATTTATCTGTGTGCAGGCTTACCTTGGTGAATGCTTTATTGAAGAACAAGATTTGGACTTCCATTTTGGGTAGTGGAGGACTAGATTATTTGGATCAACCCTCAGAACACACAAAAAAGGAAAGACTATGTTTATAAGCAACAAAGAGCTAACGACACAATGAAGACAGACATCTTGGAATAACAGAAATGTGGGTCTACTTTTGCTCCAGGAGCATGTGCTAGCTGGAAGACACATCTGAGTCTGAGCTGAGTTTTTAATGCCTACACGGTACCCATGGAAGACAACTTAGAGCCTGAGTCATGCCATGGTAGAAACCCAGATGTACCACCCCCTACCTTGGTCTAGAACTCCAAAGAACTGCCTCCTGAGAGTTAGAATTCACCAGAAATAAACCATGTTATTCTTGGGCTGCAGGTCAAATTCTAATCATCCCAGTGGCCCAAAGTACTTAAAATAAGATGATTCCAGACAATTAGTGGCCCAAAGCACCTGGCAAGAGTAAAAAGAATTATCTCCAGAGGAAGATAAAGTTATCCTATGCCTCATACTATTTCTATAAATAATTTCTAAACACAAACTTGAAGCCTACAATCAAAGATAAGTGGCACATGAGAACATAAGCCCTCATGAGAAAGAGCCAAAAGAAACAACGGGCAACACAAACAGACCCACAAGGACCACAGATACTGGAATTATCAAAGATTCTATAATAACAACATTCACTCTGTTCAAGAAGATAAGATCTAAATTGTAAATTTGGGATGCAAAAGTAGAAAATAAAAAAATAACATCAGATTTTTTCCAAATACAAATTTTAGACATGAAAAATAAAATAATTGAAATGAAAAACTCAGTGGATGACTTCAATAGCTGATTAGACAGAATCAGAAAGATGGTAAAAAGCAAATTTCAATCCATCATAAAAGTGGAATTAAAAATATATTAAAAAGAGAAAAGGTTCAACCAGAAAAACAGAAATCACTCTTAAATATCTTTTAAAGAAATTTAAGGAGATAGTGAGATCCCTAGAAGTTAACAGTAGGAAGCCACCAGCTTTCCTCCAAGATGGGAGAGCAAAGGAAAGATGTGGGATTACTGGAGTCCATGGGCCATGAGGACTCAACAGAAAATGGAAGCACAGCATATTTTCCAGCAAGAGCTACAGGCAAAGGGCAAATGCAGTTGTTGCCAGAGTTGTGCCCTAAGGAAGGTGAATAGTCTGGCTTCCTTCATGCTTTCACCTTTCAACTTTCTGTCAGTGTCTCTCATTTGCCAAAGATAACCTATTTAGAAGTTAACTGTCACAGAAGTCTAGAATTTGCAGTCTGCAGTGGTCAGCAATTTTTTGAGATAGAGTATAGCAGAGAAACACTAAAGAATGAATCAGGTAGCAAATGGACCAAAAATTGGTAGGGAAAAAATTAGAGTCACAGGGGGTTACAAAATGTGACAATGTCTGAAATACTGAATTGGCCCACAGAAGACAAGGAGAAAGGAAATGTAGTAGAGGCAATACTTGAAGTGATAAGGACAGAAAAATATCAAGATCCCAATACAAGACATCAATCCACAGATTCAACAAACCAAATTAACCCCATACAGGATACATTAAAAAGAAATCCAGCCAGGCATGGTGGCTCACGCCTGTAATCCCAGCACTTTGGGAGGCCGAGGCAGGTGGATCACGAGGCCAAGTGATCAAGACCATCCTGGCCAACATGGTGAAAAACTGTCTCTACTAAAAATACAAAAATTAGCTGGGCATGGTGGTGCGCACCTGTAGTCCCAGCTACTCGGGAGGCTGAGGTAGGAGAATCCCTTGAACCCAGAAGGCAGAGGTTGCAGTGAGCTGAGGTCATGCAACTGCACTCCAGCTGGTGACAGAGCAAGACTCCATCTCAAAAAAAAAAGAAAGAAATCCACACCAAACACATCATAGACAACATGCAGAAAACCAAAGAGAAAGATTAAAGTCTTAAAAGAGGAAACAAGACAATACTTCAAAAGGAGTTACCATTAAATAACATCCGACACCCCACTAACCAAAATAAATAAAACTTTCCAAGATTCTTCTGCCTTTATGAGTATGAATGTAACACTCTGTTCAGTGCAGTGCTGGGGTTAGGGAGCTGTGGCCCTCAGCACTGGCTGCACCTGGAATCTACTGGGAAGCTTTAAAAAACCCTGTGTTAAGGCACACATCTGACCAATTAAACAGAACCTCCAGGGGAGATGCCTATGCATAAGTTTTGTTGATATTTGTTTATTTGTTTTAATTCTCTGCAGCTGATTACAGTGTGAACATTAAGTTTGGAACCACTGTTATAGAGGCATTCTCATGTAGTCCAAGAAAAGAATAAGCCCCAGCATGAACGAAGAGGCTGATGTGAAGAAATCAAGAGCACTATAGATTCTTTATTTCTGCACCAAAATCTTTAGTGTTCACTATGCTGAAATTACAATGGTGTACAGCAGTGGCACTCATTAAAATCACCTGATTTTAAACAATATTTTGTAGAATAACAGACTGTTTAAAAGATAGTTAAAGCAATCCCATGGCCCCTTCACCCTGATTCCCCAAAAGGTTACACCTTACAATACAATATCAAACTCAATAGACTGACTTTGGTGCAATGCATAGTAGTTCTATACTATAGCGTTTTATGTCATTCTATAACATGTACATTCGTAACCACTGCCAAAATCAAGATACAGAATTATTGTTTCACCACAGAAAGGTCTACCATGCTTCCCCTGTATAGTCACTCCCATCCCTAACCCTTACAGTCACTTAATTGTTACCTAGTTCTATAATTGTGTCACTTTTAGGTATAAAACAAATGGAATCATTCAGTATATCACCTTTTGAGGTTGACTTTTTTCATTCAGCATATTACCCTTACATATAGTTGGGTCAATTTTTTTAACCCACTCTTCCAATGTTTGTCTTTTAATGAGTGTAGGTAGACTATTAACAATTAATGTAATTGTTGATATGGTAGGGCTTAATTCTACCACTTTGGGTTTTTTTAAATTTTCTGCTTGTTTCTTCCATTTTGTGTGTGTGTGTGGGGGTTCTTTGTTTTATTCTTTCTGCCTTCTTGTGGATTACTTGAACATTTTTTAGAATTCCATATGTATTTATCTATAGAGTTTTGAGTGCATCTCTTTAATTAACTTTTTAATGGTTGGTTTAGGTGTTATATTATGCATACATGACTTATCACACTCTCCCAGTGTCATCAATTTACCAGTTTAAATGAAGTGTAGAAAATGTACTTCCTTGTAAGTTCCTTCATCCTCCTTCATTTATAATTTCCTTAAATATTTTCTCTACATAGACTGAGAACCACATCAGACAGTATTATAATTTTTGCTTCACCTACCAAACATAATTTGAAAATTCAAGAGAAGAGGAAAGTCCATTGTGTTTACCTATATTTTTGCTCATTTCATTGTTCTTTTTACCTTCCTGGCATTTCAGGATTCCTTCTTTTATTATTTCCTTTCCATTATGGGAAACTTATTTAGTGATTCTTTTAGGGTAGGTATACTACAACCAATTCTGTTACATTTCCTTTATCTTATGACATTTTGATTTCTTCATTCCAAAAGATATTTTTGCTGATGGTAGAATTCTGAGTTGATAGTTATTTTCTTCCAGCACTTAAACAAAGGTGTGCCATTAGCTTCTGGTCTTCATGGTTTTTGATAAGAAATCTGCTGTCATTGGAATAGCTTTCTCCTACAGAAAAGATGTATCTTGTTGCTTCAGGATTTTTTTATTTAGTTTTCAGTAGTTGCTCTTATACTGTGTCTTGGTATAGATTTCTTTGAGTTTATCCTGTTTAGGGTTAACTCAGCTTCTTGAACTTGGAGTTTTATGTCTCTGTCAAATTTGGAAACATTTTAGCCATTATTTCTTCAAATACTTTGTCAGGCCCCCTCTCTTTTCCTCTCCATCCAGGACTCTGGTGACAGAAATGTTAGAATTTTTGTAACAGCCCTACATGTTCCTGCGGCTCTGTTTATTTCTTCTCTCACCTGGCTTCAGTTACTGAGTTGGGGTTATATCTGTTTTATTTTCAGTTCTATGATTCTTTCCTTTATTTTCTCCCTTCTCCTATTGACCCCATCTATTATGATTTTTTTTTTTTTTTGGAGACAGAGTCTCGCACAGTCGCCCAGACTGGAGTGCAGTGGTGCAATCATGGCTCACTGCAACCTCCGCCTCCCGGATTCAAGCTATTCTTCTGCCTCAGCCTCCCAAGTAGCTGGGATTACAGACACTGGCTACCACACCTGGCTAAGTTTTTGTATTTTTAGTAGAGACAGGGTTTCACTATGTTGACCAGGCTGGTCTTGAACTCCTGACCTCATGATCCACCTGCCTTGGCCTCCCAAATTGCTGGGATTACAGGTGTGAGCCACTGTGCCTGGCCTATGATTTTTATTTCAGTAATTGTATTTAAAAATTTTTTTCCTCCCATCTCTTTCTGTTTCATTGCTGAGACTTGTGATTTTTTTTAATAGTCATGTGCCACACAACAATGTTTCTGTCAATGATGGATAGCATATACAATGGTAGTCTCATAAGACCATATACCATAGCTTTACTGTACTCGTTCTGTGTTTAGATATGTTTAGATACACAGATACTTACCGTTGTGTTACATGTGCCTACAATATTCAGTATAGCAGCCTGCTGTGCAGGTTTTTAGTGCAGGAGCAATGGACTCGGTTTGTGTAAGTGCACTCTATGATGTTCTTCTGACAACACATTTCTCAGAACATGTTCCTGTCAGTAAGCAATGCATGGCTGTACTTCAAGCACGCTCATAATTGTTCTCTGAAGCATTTCTCTTGATGTTTTTAAGCCCTTGTAAACCATCCTAACGTCTCAGCCATCTCAGGGTTAGCATCTGCCTTTTCTCATTCGGTGTGAGATTTCCTTGATTCTTGCTATGATGAGTGATTTTTGTATTGCAACCTGGACATGTAATGCAGGATAGCATGTTATGAGACTCTGGCTATTATTTAAATGTTCTGTCTTAGCAGGCCTACGCTGACACCCCTTCAATAGAGGAAGGGCCACCTCATTACTGCTAGGTGGGATGGAAATCCAGGTTTCCCATTGGCCTCTGTTGACACCAAAGGATGGGCTCTTACCACAAGGTGGAGATAGGAGTACTCCTTCCCACCAGGCCTTCACTCATGTCATCCAGGCTGTGAAGGCAGGAGTTACTTCCACCTATGGCCTTCCCTGGGGGTCTAGAGGGCTCGTTACAGCTGAGCAGTGGTGAAACCCTAACTCTCCACTAGGCATCCTCTTCTGACACCACCAAGCCAGCAGAGGAACTAGAGCCTCATTACAGCCTGACGAGGGTGGGAATCTGGGCTCCCCACTTGGCTTTGGTCAAAGGTAAGGGTAGGGATGGGGCTACAGGATTTTTCTGCTATATTTATGTGGAGCAGAGAAGTTACTGGCTGAAAGTGTTCTGTCTTGCTAGGCTGCCCCTAGCCTGGTGCTTTGGCTAGAGAGAGGCTTGAGTTCTCATTGAAGCTTCTTTTTTCTGTACCCATTGGTATTTCTGGGTTTCCATCTTTGCCAGCACCTAGGCTGGGATTTATGACCCTACACCCCCCAGAAAAAAAACAAAACTAAACTATCCTGCAGCTCCTTGGGCCCCAAGGTCTCTCATGCTACTCACTGCTATGTTTTCTTTTTCTTTTTCCTTTTTATTTTTTTTTTTTGATGGAGTCTCGCTCTGTCACCCAGGCTGGAGTACAGTGGTGGGATCTCGGCTCACTGTAAGCTCCGCCTCCTGGGTTCACACCATTTTCCTGCCTCAGCCTCCCGAGTAACTGGAACTACAGGGGCCCACCACCACTCCCAGCTAATTTTTTTTGTATTTTTAGTAGACACAGGGTTTCACCATGTTAGCCAGAATGGTCTTGATCTCCTGACCTTGTGATCCCACCTGCTTCAGCCTCCCAAAGTGCTGGGATTACAGGTGTGAGCCACCATGCCTGGCCCACTGCTATGTTTTCTATTCTCCGTATTTTAGAGTCTTCTCTTGGTTGTTGTATGTATACTGTCCCATTTTTAGCTGTATTTAGTGAGAGAAATAGGAAAAAGTATATCTACTCTATTTTTCTAGACCTAAAGAAATGCCAGAGTCTGTTTGATATGCTGTCACCAAATACCATGGACTGGGTGGCTTATAAACAACACAATGTATTTCTCACAGTTCTGGAGGCGGGGCATACAAGACGAAGGTGCTGGTAGAGTTGGCGTCTGAGGGGAGCCTGCCTCTGGGTCCGGATGGCCATTTTCCCACTGTGCCCTCACACGGTGGAAGGCACAGGAGAGTTCTCTGCAGTCTCTTCTATAAGAGCACTCATCCCATCCATGAAGCTTGACTTTCATGACCTAATCACCTCCCAAAGTTCTTGTCTCCTAATACCATCACCTTGAGAGTAAGGATTTTGATATATGAATTTGGGGGTACATAAATATTCAGAACATAGCAAGAACTTTCAATAAATTTCAAGATATTTCATTGAATTGATCTGGGTTGGGGCTCACAACAAGTGATTCTACTAATTTCTAGGGAAAGTTGTAAACCACTGATGTGTCTCAAAACCTTAATTAACTGAAGAGTTAAGAAAACAAACAATTATAGATATGTGAGTGCATCCATTAACCTGAATTTTACCCTGAAGGGCTTTTGTTATTTCAACCCATGTTGCTGAAAACCTTTCTAAAAGGCAAGTGTTCCTTTGAACCGTTTTAAGGAAGTGAGCACCACTGAATCATGTCAATTGCTAACTATTCTGCACTGCCAAGGTCCTTATACTTGAACAATTCTTTGGGGACAAAATTTAATATATGAGGCAGCTAAACGTAATTTTAAAACATCTCTGGAAGTTCGTACTGTTTTTCTACAAATATCAACATAGTCTCCTATCTTTTGTTACATTTTATCCTCTAATTCAGATATAAAATCCAGTTAACTCCAGACTTTGATTTGTTTTTTTAAATTGATTGAAGTATTAATCTTAGAATGATAGTATGGGGGTTTTTAATAATAAAAAATTAAATAGCATAGTTTATTTTCTAAAAGTTAGTAGAGTTGGGGGAATATTAATTATGTTATTCACTCTTGAATGAGGTAATAAAAGACACTATAAATGATTAGCACTAAGTATTTTTTTAAACTAATAGTCTCTCTGTGAGTAAGGAAAAAACTAATAGAGAACAGGAAGAGGGGTCTTTAAAATACGGCGGTTACGTGTAAGTGAATCAGTCAGCGAGAGCCAGGTAGTACAGAACAAGCAGCGCCTTGAAAAAGGTATGTAAACCAGAAAAGCTGTTACGAAGAAGTAGTCCCCTACTTTCCTAGTATTCTGTGATCAGAATTTTATGTGAAAAGTTGTCTGGAGGAAATAAAAGTTCAGCAACCAAATCCACTCAGTGGCTGAGAACTAGACAAGAGGGAAGAAGGTAACCTCAGTGTTGCGGGGCACACTGCAAAGAACTCGGAATTTTGATGGTCCAGGGAGTGACGGTAGAAATGTCAGTCAATAGAATACCCGGCCATCTGTCTGGAGGCCCTGAGACTTGACACCACTGACATTTCTTAAACAGATCACCGTTTCTTCTGGGTTAACAAAACAGCATATTTCATTCTGTATTTACTAAAACCCAAATACTAGATTCCAAAATGTTCCCTGGAATGTGGACTATGCTCTAGTACTAAATTGTTTATGTGGAAATCTCCAGAATGAAAATAAAATTCTATGTGTTCTTGGGCACATCTCTGTGACACTCACTTCCCATGTACATAAACAAGGAACGAAGACGTCCACCACACTCAGCTCTTCGGATGCTGTGAAGGACAGATTAGATCATGTTCATGAAAGTATCTCAATTTATCTATTGATGCTTCACAGACCCCCATAACTTAAAATGGTAATTTATTAGGATCAACACACTCAGATCCCTGTGTTGAATGGGCTCATCTGGGAAGTTCTCATTTGGGGTCTCTTATGTGGTTGCGTGGAGAGACTGACTTAGGATGGGTCATTTGAAGCCCCACTGGGTAAGACGTCCATCTGGATTCTTCACTCACATCCCTGGCATCTCATCTGGAGTGGCTGGAACAGCAGGGCCTGGCCAGACCTTTCTCTCTTTTGTTCTGTGCAGCCCCTCTATGTGGCTAGCTTGCACTTCCTCATAGCATGGCAGCCTAAGGGTAGTCAGACCCTTTGCATGGCAGCTAGCATCCCCCACATGCTATGAGAAACAGGTGGAAGCTTTGAGGCTCCTCATGATCTAGGATCATTTGTGCTGCATTTTATTGTTTACATAGGACAGGCCAGGTTGGGTGCATAAGAGAATTCAGAAGGGCCTGAGAGGTGTGGCTTGTTGTGTGACCCTCATTGCAGACTAGCTACCTCAGCACCGACCAACTTTTAAAGTGCTATGAAGAATGACATACTATTGCATAGAATTTCCTGACTTTTTATAGCATTTTACAATCTAGCACTTCTGAAGTCTTTTTGGACCTTCTTTACCCACCACAGTTTAGTCAAATTATCACATCCCTACTATCATTACTGAGAAATTTCATTCCATATTGTTCCTCTCCTTTCCATAATAGTAAACTACATTGCTAGTAGTTTTAATTGCCTTGCCCACGTATGTGACTTCCGCAGTGCTATACATTCCACCTGTCTCTGAACCGACTGTTCATGGAGATACTTCCTTCCTCTGTGCCAGAAAACCCCTGTGATGATCAGCTTTATGTGCCCGCATGGCTAAGCTGTAGCACTGCACACACACACCTCGTTATTCAATCAAACACTCATCTTGGTTTTGCTATGAAGATATCTGCAGAGGACATTAACACCTACACTCACTTGACTTTAAATAAAAGAAATTATCCTCCGTGGTCTGGGTGGGCCCCATCCAATCAGTTGAAGGCCTAAGAACAAAACTGAGATTTCCCTGGGGAAGAAGAAACTCCATGTGCGGACTGCAGCATCAGCTGCTGCCTGAGAGTGTCCAGCCTTCTGGCTCATTCTAGAAATTTCAGACTGACCTAGCCAGCCCCCATAATCACATAAATCAATTACTTGCAATAAATCTCTTTCTTTATGTCTCTCTCTGTCTCTCTCTCTGTCTCTCTGTCTCTGTGTGTGTGTGTGTGTGTGTGTGTGTGTGTGTGTGTGTGTGTATCTTACTGGTTCTATTTCTCTGATAGAACCCTACTGATAATATAGCCTCATCAATAGAATCAATAGGATAAAATGAATAGATCAACAGAATAGAATCACCTCTTTAAGTAAGACAGCAAAGGCAAACGTTTTTAAGAGTATGCTGGTAAAGTACTTATAGATAATCTGAAATGTTAAGTGTTATCTTTAGAAAATCTAGACCTCTCCTAAAAGGATTTAGATATTAGATTGTTAAAGTATAACCTATTTTGAGGGGGGATCCACATATTTTGGAAGAAAACATGGTGGGTCATGGCAGGAACAATCTATAGATGACACAACAGAACGCAGACGTTGGAGGTCAGACCTAAATGGAAATACCCCAACGTGGAGCCAAGCTGACGGGAGGCACCGAGGTCTGAATCCTAGGCAGTGAAGTGCCAAGGAGTGCCAGGTGGGGTGCTGCAGGAGAACGGGGAAGGGCAGTTCAAATCTGGGCCGTTTTGCTGGATCCTCTCTGCTCACAGTCCCCCATCCTCCCCCGCGTTTGGCATGCTGTCCCACCCAGTTGACTTTAGGTTTGGCAATGTAACCTGCTTTGAATTATGGAGCGTGAACAAATACTTCACGCTCCAAGGGTGAGCAAAGCCTAGCGTGATTGCATTCTGTGACTGCCACTCTCTTGTTCCTACACTCTGCCATGAGAGAAAAAAAAAATGAGATATGAGAGATCCAGGACACAATCCCTCCTGCTCTCTGGAATGAGACCAGGTGTGTCGTGTCCCCATGGCCAGGAGCGCAGCTACAGAGAACCACAGCGGCAGACTCAGAACAACCTCCCATCACATCAGGCTCACAGCATGAGCAACAAGCAAATCTTGCTGTTACAAGTTACTAAGATGTGGGGGGTTGTTTCTTAGGCAGCATCTCCACAGCAAAAAAAAGAAAAAAACTGACTGATACATATTTCATTTTTCTATAAGGACGCCCCATTCAAAATTTTACTTTTCACAACTGCTCAGGCTGAAGCTATTTCGAATGTTTCACGTGTATCCCTTGTACCTAATACTAAGATTTTCATTATCTTAGAGTTTTCAAGGAAAAAATAATCTTAAGTTTTAAGAAACAAGCGAGTTCTTCATTTAAAAACAGCTGTGTTAAACATATTGGCCAAATTCTTCTCAAGGAATAATGATGAATGCAGCATTAATATTTCAAATTGGTCCTGCTGAAAGGTTAGTCTTCTAACACCCTTCAAGCTTCCCAATATCCTGCAGGGAAATTAAAGGAAGGTTAGATGTAGCAGGACTTGGACAGAGTGAAATATCTTTAAAGTATTTTTAAGAGATATGACAGACAATATGCAGCTGAGCAGTTAAAACAATCATGCAGGATCTAATACAATAAAAGGGCTGGAAAATGAAACCGTTGCAAAAAGGCTTTGTGGCAATAACTTTATGATGAAGGAAGTTATTTGATCCTATCCTCATGGCTTTGAATAACCCCAGTTTGATTTTTGAAACTAGAAACTCAAATTCAACCCCACTGGTACTGTGGAGACCAGGGAACCAGAGAACAGATGTTTCTGGGGAAACAAAGTAAATGTGAGTGCTTGCTGCTGAAGCCAGTGGCAAGGAGTGAGAATGTGCATCAGAAGATGATTTTTTAAGGGAGTATTATAATTAACTGGGGATTTAATCTTGATTTTACACAAATTCAAATCTATAGAATAGTTTCAAGAATAATACAAGGAACTTTCACATATCCTTTAGCCCGATTGACCAATGATTTATTTATTTTTATATATGCATATTTTTTCTATATCAATTGAGAATAAATTGGTAATAATTTGCTTTTTACCCCTAAATACATCAGTGTATATTTCTTAAGAACAAATACCTTGTTTTTACAAAAACACACTACAATTATTAAAATTAGAAATTTCAAATGGATACAATACTATAACCCACAGTTCTTATTCAAATTTTTATTCTTACCCCAATTGTGTCTTTTGTCACAATTGTTTTCCCAGTCCAGGATCCAATTCAGGATAATGCTTTGCATTTTATTGCCGAATCTCTTTAGCCTCTATTACACTGAGTTTCTCAGCTTTTCTTTCTTTCATAACCTTAAACTTTTTGAAAATTACAGGCTGGTTACTTTGCATAAAGTCTCTCAATTTGGGTTTATCTGATGTTTCCTCATGATAAGATTCAGATTGTGCATTATTAATAGGAAGAATCCGAAAAAAAAAACATGTGTCTAAGTTTGGGAAGCCATGATCTTTGTTGCAGCATAAATGATGTCAGTTTGATCGTTTGGTTTTTGCCAGGTTTCAGCATTGTGATATTATTGTTTCTTTCTTTATAATTGATAAGTCATTTGTAGGGAGATAGTTACTATGTGCATATTCTGTGTCTCATCAAATTTTCACTCACTAGAATTAGCATCCACTGGTAATTTTCTAACTCACTATTCTTTCTAAATTTATAAGATGGCATTCCACTGTAGGGAAGAGACTTTTGCCTCCTCTCCTACTTATGTATGTAAATGTGAATGTATGATAGTGTGGTTGCATTGAAGATATATGCACGTGTACATGTATGTACATTAGTGTAGAGTTACAGAAACTTATTTGATCCACTGAGCTCATTACGACCTTTACATGCTTGATGGCCAAATTGCCTCAGATTTGGCCAGTAGGAGCTCCTCCAAGCTGACTCTATGATTCTGTTGAGATAAATATTCATATTAAAATCATTATTAATGGCTTCCTTTCTTTCTGGCACCATAGGATGTTCCAGACTCAATTTGTGTTACTCCATCCCAACCCTGGAGAAGACTTTTCTCAAAGATCTCTGGTTCATTTAAGTGGAGAGTGATCTTTAGAAACCAAAAACTAACACAGGAATGTCATTGCTTCCAGGCTTTTCTAGCAAACAGACCTAGGAAATGCAGAGGCACATGCATGCATACTACACACACACACACACACACGCACGCACACGCACATGCACACACAGATGCACATGCATACACATACACACGCACATGCACACACACGTGCACAGACAACCACACACACATGCATGCAAACACACGCGCACACACATGCGTGCACACACACGTGCACACGCACACATTCACCCGCATACACACACATTCACACATGCGCACACACACGTGCACACACACATGCACGCACACACACAAGATTTAGATATCTATTTAAAACTATGAGTTTATACTGATACCTCAGGTTCCAGTGAAGCACCACAAGCTATAGCCTAGTTTTACCCCTTTGCATATTTGTGACTGCCTTCTCCGACACTGAGAAATCTGGCTACCATTACCTTCAATATATTTACTTATTTGTACAAGGTGAAAATATAAAGGAAGTATTACAGAATAGTGAACTCATGCCACTGCAAAATACAAACCCAATAGCTAGAGTTAAATATTAGTTTACAGTTCTGTTGTGATTTTTTTCTAGGTAAAATTTACATACAGTGAAATACACGATCTTAAGCATATAGTTCAATGAATCTTAACAAATGCCTAAAGTCACTTAACCCCAGCTGTTGTCAAGATATACAACATTTTCTTCACCCCAGGACATTTCCTAGTCAATCTCTAACCTTTAGACACAACCACTCTTCTATCACTGCACATTAGTTTTGTCTGTTCTTGAAATTTATGTAAGTGAAATTTAAAGTATTTTCTCTTTTGTGTCTCACTTTCTCTCACTCATCACGTTTTTTCTCTTGATGTATTGGCTGTACTAGAAATTTACCAACTGTATTAATCTTTCAAATAATTAACTATAGATTTTGCTGACTTTCTGAAGAACTTGTGTTTTATATATTAGTTTATTGATTCTTGTTCTTTATTATTTTCTTTCTCCTACATACTTTGGATTTAATTTGCTCTTTTTTAACTTAAGCTGTAATCTTAGAAAATTGATTTTAAGGATGTTTCCTAATCAAGTATTAAAAAATATAAATTTTCCTCTAAGCACTGCTTTAACTGCATTCCTCAAATTTTGGTATGTTGCATTTTACTTACAACTCCATTTAAGTATGTTTTTATTTATTTGCTTGGATTTCTTCTTTGGTTATTTAGATAAGTTTTTCTTAATCTCTAATTTCGAGCATATTTAGATATTCTAATGTTACTGATTTCTAATTAAATCTATTGTGATCAGAAAATACCGACTATAAAACTCCAATAATTTTAAAAGTTTTGAGGTTTGCTTATGGCCAGGATAACCATATTTATCTTAGTGAACATTGCATGTGCTCATGAAAAGTGTGCCGTTGAATGTACTACTCTAACAATGTCACCCTAGTCAATTTGGTTGTTCATATTGTTCAAATCTTCATCATCCTTTCTAATTTTTTTGAATATTGTTCTTCCAGTAACTACTACTACTACTGCTACTACACACACACACACACACACACACACACACAGAGATCTGTTTAAAACTATGAGTTTATAGTAAGTAAGATTTCTAAAATCTTTCTGGTTGTAGATATATTTTCCTAGATTTTTAACATCTTAATTTGATAAATGTGTGTTGGGTGAATAATATGTCTGTCAGATGTCAAAATAATACAGCGAAGGAAGAACTGATCAAAGTATTACACCTTCTATACACCTTGTATACACTTTGTATACAAGATATACAAGTGGGGAAACACTATGTATTACCAGGAGTTCAAATGAACCAATTGTTTTTTTTTTCAATACCTCAGATTAAGTTTTAAACAAGATCAAAGCTCAAACCCAAAATGAATACACTTCAAAATGATTTTTAAATGTTGGATGGAGACTTCTGAGCCACAGAGAAATGAGAAATGGGAGCGCTGTTGGAGGGATACACAAAGGATGCATGGATACAAAAGGGGAACAGAGCTGATGACTCGAGCTGCATCGCTGATCAAGTTAACAAGTTGTTTATATGCATTTGGAGGGAAAAAACACAATCATTAGAATTACTAGACAGAAAGATTCATGAAGACCAACCATGCCAAGCTAATTTTCTTTTCCGATATGTCTACTAAACATGTAGAGCAATAGATCGCATCGGTACAGAGCACCTCCATCTCCACAATTATCACTCTACCATGATTCATGATAAACCTCAGGTTAACAATCTTGGGGTAATAATACATTGGTTTATGTATTCACTGCTGATTAAGCAAAAAATTAGTTATTCTATTTGTATAGACATGAGGAATCACTTACAACCCCAGTGCTCTAACCCCTGAGCTATGGATCCAGCATGGGGAATAGTTTATAGAGGAGCGTTGAGAGTTTTCAGCCATATTCCATTTTTTGGTATGCGTACTTCAAAATTGAAGGAACTCAAGTTTTTCTTAGTAATCTGGATAAAGATTTGGATCGTATATTTGCAGGAATCCAAATTTTGGCTGTACTTTTCACTGTAAAATGTTGAAACATGTAAATGTAATGGCAAAAAAAGACAAAAAAATTGCAATTTTATTAGTAGGCTAGAAACCTAGACTGAATTTCTGTAATAAATTAGGTTAACCATCAAACTTTCTATATGAAAGAACAGAAGAATCTGATTTTAACTTACCACAAATTTAACTTATTAGTCCGTTTTCACACTGCTGATAAATCCATACCCGAAGCTGGGTAATTTATAAAGAAAAAGAGGTTTAATGGACTCACAGTTCCTCATGGCTGGGGAGGCCTCACAATCATGGTGGAAGGTGAAATGCACACCTTACATGGCAGCAGACAAGAATGAGAACCACGCAAAGGCATTTTCCCCTTATAAAAACATCAGATCTCATGAGACTTATTCACTACCATGAGAACAGTATGGGGGAACCGCCCCATGATTCAATTATCTTCCACTGGGTCCCTCCCACAACATGTGGGTGTTATGGGAGCTACAATTCAAGATGAAATTTGGGTGAGGACACAGCCAAACTACATGAGGTATATTAGTTATCTATGACAATATGCTTATGAACAAGGCTCTGGATAATGGCAAGTAATAGCCCTGCCCTTCTCCTTCCTTCTGTTCTTGGAGTATTATATTTGATTCTGGGCCCATATATTATTTAATTTGTGTTACTGACTCCAAGAGTGTGTCTAGAGCTGAGTAAGAAGGTAGAGAGGACTCTGTCAGGGCTGTTCTGGGAAGAGCACTTTAAGTAATTTTAAGTATTTGTTGCAGAGAAGAGAGGGCTGGGGGGATCAATGATCATGGCTTCAAGTATTTGGAGAACTTTCTTTTACGAAAAGGAGAAGGCTCTTGTGCTACTCAGAAAGTTCTTGAGTTAATCATTTTTTTCTCTTTATTATTTGGGGAAACAATTTGTTTTACACACCAAGTCAAAATCCATCACTACCAACCAACCAGCATAAGACCTTTCTGAAGAAAACAGAGAGCTGTCTCAAGAGACTTTGGACCCTCATGGGGCACATTCAGGCTTGGTGGTCTCTTGTTGGGATGCTATGGAAGCCACTCTTGTTTTGGACGTCATAGGGTGAAATGACATGTATGAACTCTTCCAAACCTAATGTCTAATATGGTACAAATTTTAGAACATGAGATCTAGGAAGGACCTAAGAGATTATCTTATGCTCACTGCTGCAATTTATAGATGAGGAGACTGATAAGCCTCTGGCCCAAGGTCATGACCTGTGTTATTAACCATCTCTCTCTTTTATTTTTAATTATTGATATTAAAACATAGAAAGAATGAATAAGACCTATTTGATAGCACAAGAAGGTGACTATAGTCAGTAATAACTTAATTGTACATCTTAAAATAACTGAAAGAGTGCAATTGGATTCTTTGCAACTCAATGGATAAATGCTTGAGGGGGTGGGTACCTCATACTTTATGATGCGCTTATTTCACATTGTATGCCTGTATCAAAACTCTCATGTATCCTATAAATATATACACCTACTATGTACCCACAAAAATAAAAATTACAACCAATTAAAATAAATTACTGATATAAATGTAAGGGGTACAAGTGCAATTTTTTTTACGTGGATATATTGCATAGTGGTCAAATCCAGGCTGCCTTTAAAATTTTCTTACCATGGGTTAGACCAACAATTGAATTCAGAATTCCAAAGAGAATTTTAAAAGGGTTTGAAGCCATTCCACTTTTTGTAGTAATTACTAGCCTGTGATAGCCACACAACAACAGTGTCTCCCAATATGTGTCAAACAAGTAATTTTTGATTCAAAAATTGAGGACATTTTATTCCACATCACTATAGAAAACTGTAACCGTAACTATGAGTCTGAGTACATTCTTAAATGCCTGATATTGTAGGGAGTTCACCCCTATCTGTTTAAAATGATGATGTATCTGTTAAAATAGAAAAGATTATTTTGCAGTAACTAACTGCACCAAGGAAGTTTGTTGTTGTTGTTGGGTTTTTTGTTTTTTTTTTTTTTTTTTGAGATGGAGTCTCACTTCTGTTGCCCAGAGTGGAATGCAATGGCTCAATCTCGGCTCACTGCAACCTCTGCTTCCCGGGTTCAAGTGATCCTCCTGCCTCAGTTTCCCAAGTAGCTGGGACTACAGGTGCCCATCACCATGCCTAACTTTTTTTTTTTTTTTTTTTTTTTTTTGTATTTTTAGTAGAGACAGGGTTTCACCATATTGGGCAGGCTGGTCTTGAACTCCTAACCTCAAGTGATCCACCATCCTCAGCTTCCCAAAGTGCTGGGATTATAAGTGTGAGTCACCACGCGTGGCCCAAAGTTTTGTTTCGTATGCAATTTGCCCAAAGTAGGTGGGCTGTAACCCTGCCCTACTGCCTTCAAACTGGAGCCCAGCTGCCAGCAGCATCCCCTGGAACAGTAGAATGACAAAGGCAGACAGAAGGAGTGTGATATGGTTTGGCTTTGTATCCCCACCCAAATCTCATCTCAAATTGTAATCTTCACGTGTTGAAGGAGGGACCTGTAATCCCCACGTCGAGGGAGGGAGGTGATTGGATCATGAGGGCAGTTTCTCCCATGCTATTCTTGTGATAGAAAGAGAGTTCTCATGAGATCTGAAGCATCTGGCATTACCCCCGCTTGCTCTTCTCTCTCCTGCTGCCCAGTGAAGAAGCTACTTGCTTCTCCTTTGCCTTCCGCCATGATTGCAAGTTTCCTGAGGCTTCCCCAGCCATGTGGAACTGTGAGTCAATTAAACCTCTTTCCTTCACAAATTACCCAGTCTTGGGTATTTCTTTATAGCAGTGTGAAAATGGACTAATGCAGAGTGCATGAACAAGCACAAGCTGATGCTCAAAGCTGCTGCTGGAAGTGACATTTCCACTCACGTGTCATCGGCCACAGCAAAACACATGGCCACACCCCAGCATAATAGCACAGGGAAGGATCATCTCCCTTCACGAAGAAAGAGGCCTCAAATACTGTGAACAGCTATACACCATCTGCAGTGCACACCTGTCTCCAGAGGCTTTAATGCTACACCAGCCACTCACTGCCTCCACCACCCTCTTCTCTCATAGCGGGGTCAGATTTCACACAAATATAAGATGTGCTTGTCTGATGGATATTTTAAGGCACTGATGGAGTTCTTTGCCTGTCACCCAGAGATTACTGAGTCACGCAGGGATTGGAGTGGAAATAGAGCAGGGGTGAGAACAAAGTTATAAATTCTACTAGGTGACTTCAAAGAAAGCCCTGTGTGTTAGTCGTGGTTCTCCAGAAAAACTGAACTGATAGTAGTGTGTGTGTGTGTGTGTGTGTGTGTGTGTGTGTGTGTGTATAGGATAATACATTGATCCTAACAAGGATCAATATAGGATCCTATTATTGATCCTAAATAAGGAATTGCTTTATGCAATTATGGAGACTATTGAATTCCACATCTGAAGAGTGGGCCAGTGGGCAGAGACCCAGGAGTGCGACGGTGCAGGTGGACCCAGCCATCTGCTGGGGAGTCCCCCTTGCTCGGAGAGGCCAGTCTTTTTGTTCCATTTAGACCTTCAGCTGATTAGATGAGGCCCACCACCCTTTGAAGGGCAATCTGCTTGACCCACAGTTCACTGATTTGAAGGTTAATCTCATCTAAAGGCATGCTCTAAATTGATACAGGAAATGAACCACTACATCCTGGTACAGGCAGGAAATCTCTGTTGCTGGGCCGAGTGGCCCAAACTGTTCCAGTCAGCCTGACCACCAGGAGATATGGAAATAAAGCCTCTCTGCTTTGGGGAGGAGGAGCTAAAAAGGGAGACTTTTCCCTCCCCAATTTTTCTCCTTTAAAGAACTGGAGGGGGACACTCACTTGGATCGCCTCACCAAAAAGTGAAAGAGGGGACTTCAAAGAGTCTATGGTGAAGCCTAGGGGCACATGTAAGACGGGAGACTCACATTCCACCTCCCTGCGGGGACCACGTTTGGCCACAAAGCTCACCACTGGCATTCCCGCAGGGCACAGGAAGAGAGGGTGTGCGGGTGCTTCGCCGTGGACGGTGCAGTCCACCCTCGTGATCCTCATTTCTAAGATAGAGAAGGAGAATCCCAGGGCAGAGGCTGCAGAGGCCAGATCCAAGCTCACCAGAGATGCGCCACGAGGAAAAGAAGGCCGCCTGCTCAGAAGATGGGTGCAAGGCCATCCCAGCAGGGACACAGAGGCTCTAGCAGAGCCGCGGGGCAGACCACCTGTGACGACGGAGTGGCTTACGGTTGCATCCCTTGTAAGCTGATTCTTGAGGACTTTCCTCTCCTGTGTGAGCCATCAGTCATGATCTGGAAAAGTGAAGGTGACCTAAGAAAGATGAGCTTCTCACCATGGCTGTGTGCTCTGGGGAAACCTCTCTCCGCTCTGCTTGTGTTAGTTTCACAGGGCCGCCATAGCAAAGTATCACAAATTGGGTGGCTTAAAACAAAAGAAGGTGGTTCTCTCACAGTCTTGGAGGCCAGAAAATGAGATCAAGGATTCGGCAGGGCCCGGCTCCCTCGAAGGCTGGAGGAGAGAAGCTGCCCCCTGCCTTTCTCTGAACATCCAGTGTCGCCAGCAGTCTTTGCTGCTCCTTGGCTTTCAGGATGTAACTCCAATCCCTGCCTCCATCTCCACATGGCTGTCTCCTTCCTGTGTGTGTCTGTACCCAAATGTTCCTCTTCTACTGAGGACATGGGCTACATTGTGTTAGAGTCCACTCGAACGACCGACCGCATCTTCGCTTTATTACATCTACAAAGACTCTATTTCCAAATAAGGTCACATGCACAGGTACAGGGGTTAGGACATCAACTTCTCTCTTGGAAGAACAGAATTCAACTGATACAACACTGGAGGGGTGAAAACAAGACAGAGAGAGAGAGAGAGAGAGAGAGAGAGATGAGGGGCCCGCACATGCCCTGCTCATCTCAAAACTTCTCGAGAAGCAAATCTAACTTGCAGGAACTTTGAGAAAGGCAGGAGAAGCAAAAAAGCAAAATGAGATTGTTTTCATAACTTAAAGAGGCTGAAAATGATGAAACTGGGCTGAGATGTGTTACAGGAGCCTACACAGCTAGAAGGATAGATTCGAGGTCATGCTTTGAGCAAAAGCCATTAAAATACATAAATAACATTGTATCACACTTTTGCCTCTCAAGTTGAGACTGCCTCTAAATTGACTAGCGTTACAAATATCCTAACAGAAAACTATCCCTAAAACCTAGAAAGCCATATTATGCTTTGGCAATCATCTGACCATGTACAACAAATGTAATGAAAACGGTAAACCTGAACCAAGGCAAACCCAACAGTTTAATTTAAAAACTTGAAGATACTAAGTATTCCCTTCAACTGGACATTCAGAAACTTCACGTGGCTACATTGTATTTCCCCCCACGAGTTGCTTCAGGGTTGTGAAATTCACTGGACTGTGGAGGGAGCCTTAAACCTTTGTGGGTGATTGACGTCTAAAGTACCTGAGCTTTTCTGGTTCTGCTGACCCTCAGTCTCCTGGACCCTAGGTAAGTGCCTGGGGGACTATACCCCTGATCAGTTGAACTCACTGTGGAATTGTTGCTTCTGAAAGTCCAAGGGTCCAAATTCTATGTCTTTAGAGAAGAATATTTTCTTACTTTGAGTCAATGACTATTTAATGTGCTTTCTAAATATTTGAAGAGAAATGTGTTTTGTAATATTTTTGTGTATTTCTGCATAATGAATAATCTCTTCCATTCTATTCCTAACTCATCAACTTGAAAAACACAGAAGAAGAATCAGACCCATCCTTCAGTCTCATCTCTAGAAGCCCAGAATAAAATGAAAAAGGTATGAACGAGAAGAGAGAAATCACTGTTGACAACACATTTTACCTAGCAGTCCAACATTGTTTATCAGCATAATAAAATGTGCCAATACTCACCAGCACTCTAAAGTATGCACTAATAATAAATAGAGATATAGGGCATAATATGACCAATGATGAGATATAAATTTATAGCTCCTGGGGGAAAATGATGGGAGACCTCACAATGGGGAAAGTTGGCTTTGGATAAAACTAAGAACTTTTCTCCTTTGATAAGCATCTGATGAAAATAGCACTGATTTTTTTTTAGTTATAAAATCACAATCCCTATTTTGTATGATGAAGAAACAGAAAAAAATTTCCACAATATTACCTTTCAGCTCCTATATATTCCATTTTTATCTTTTGTGCATCCCCTTGATAGTTTAAAATTAACGGTTTTATAGGTAGGATAGAACTCAGTATCGTACATGCTAATCCTTGAACTGAAACATCATCAACCACAACAAATTCTTTCTTCCATTCCCTAAAGCAAAAAGCAATGAAAAACCTTCAAAGTAAGTTCGCCATTACAGCTCCCTGTAATACCTGCAGTCTCTGCATTTTCCCCAACTAAATGTTCACCCATATCCGAAGAGACAACGTAAAGTTGCTTATCAGCGACTGGGGACAAGATCATAGGTCCCAGTTTTCCTTTTTGTTTACGATGGCAAGTTAGAGCCCCTGTGTGATTGTAAGGAGATGATCTAACCATGCCTGACTTTTATATGAGCATTTAAGTTTGATGCTGAGTTTCTTTTATGGTCTCCATCAAAACTTAATATGTAAATATTAGTGTCACATCTTCCTTCCCTCTTAACAATCTTTAAAGTCAAATTTGAATTTTTAGAATACCGCAGCTATGAGTTATTTTTCCAAATCACATAAGCAGCATAATCATTTCACATTTTATGTTTTGTTTGTTTTCTTTGTACAGGTGAGCTAACTTGCACCTATATCCACTGAAATTAAGCTTGCTAAGTTTTCAGTTGGTTTTCCTTGAAAATGTCATTTGCTAATTCATTATTTATTTCATGTTCTCTCATCCTAATATGGTAAAAAAAAAAAAAAAAAGAAATATTCTAAGCAGATAGAGAAATCTATCAGCCCAGTCCAATTGGAATCTTTGTACTTTAATAGTTTCAACATTCAAATGTACAATTATTGGTAAAGAGATCAAATTGTTCCAAAACCACAACTAACCATGATAGAACTAACTCCTTCCTAATGTGAATGTATTAAATGCCTTATTTTATTTCTCCAAGAACTAAAATGTTGCCTTTTACAATAAAAATTAATAGCCAACAAGAATAATAGCTAATTTTTATTAAACGCTGAAAACATGTCAAGTACTCTGCTAAGAATTACATGCATTTTTCCTCTTTAATTCTCACAGTAAATGTAGGGCATAAATACTCAACAAATTCTCACTCAGACAGATGGCACAATGTCATTCTGTCGGTCACAAAGATGTTGGTTGCTGTGTGCTCACAGGACATGGGACTTCAGGATTTTTTTTTTTTTTGACAACGTCTGGCTATATCATCCAGGATGGAGTGTAGTGGTGTGATCATAGCCCACTGTAACCTCCACCTCCCAGGCTCAAGCCATCCCCCAACCTCAGCCTCCTAAGTAGCTGGGATTACAGGCAAGTGCCACCATGCTTAGCTAATTTTTGTATTTTTTTGTAGAGATGGGTTTTCGCCATGTTGCCCAGGCTGGTCTCAAACTTGTGAGCTCAAGAAATCCACCTGCCTTAGCCTCCCAAAGTGCTGGGATTACAGGATGAGCCACTGAGCCCAGCTGACTCCAAGCTTTTCTAATGAGGTTTCTGGGCCACAGAGTGGAGACAGTCCCTATCCTCAAAGGATGCTACAGTGCATTGTCAAAGACCAATGCGTCAAAATACTTATGGAAGAAGGTGCCCAAAAGTTCGAAGACAGTTATCTACACGGGAGGTGTAAGAAAATCACCTTGGAATACCCATCTCGGAAGAACAGGTGTGAATGCCCTTGAATCACTTGGAGAGCTTCTCTTCGATGTTAAATTATTGTAGTAACACCAAGCTCACCACCCAGAATGATGCAGTCAGCCTCCCCTGGAAGGAATGAAGGTCGTAGTCTCCTCTCCATAGATGTGTCTCATTTTCTATTTAAAAAAAAAAATGTGAATTCAGGCACTGCGTTTGAAAAGTTTGGCAGCAAAACAAATGTCCAGTCCATGTCCTGGGTCCTAGGGGAGGGCAAAAAATGGCCTCCTGGCCCATGGTGTGGCACACACATGCCCTCCTCTCCTGGCTGCCTTGTGCCCAGGCCCAGCCAGAGGCCTGAAATGTGGCCATGTATGGCAACACGGACCGTGAAGCCCGGAGATCTGCAGCATCAAGCCCCATGCATGAGCGAAGAGAGCACTGACAGCAGAGGATAGTCCTTCCTCTGAGAAACACGGTTCTTACAGGGTTGGGGACAAGAGGCATTCTGCAGCTGGGATCAGCCTCAGCTTGGCAGGAGAGGATCAAGCACCCTAGGGGACTCAGTGTGGCAGGAAGAACTCAGAGCTCCATCCTGTGGCTGCTCAGGGGCTGAAGCAGAGGCATTGCCTTTGGACTGTCCAATGCCCTGAGGATTTTGGATACGGTGAGTCTTTCTGCTAAAGAGGCATGTGAGGTCCTTGGGCAATTGTTTAAAATAAGAACAGGTGACCATATTTGCACCCCAATATGAGGAAGAGTTTACAAAGGCTTCCATTATTTCCACAAAACTACAGAAACAGGCCTCGTGATTCAGGAGACTGAAGGGACCTGGTGGACAAGAATAAGAGCCAAGTGAATCAAAGGTTTCTTTAAGGGAACAAACATCAGGACAGAATTTCATGAAGTGGTAACACAACTAGAAAGGAGCACAGAAAAACCAGTGCATCCCGCTTTTGTATAATGAAGACCCTGTAAGGGGTAACAAGACTCAGTCAAGGTCAAGTGAAGCAGATGGGTACAAACGCGAGTATTTTGACTTCTCCATTCTATCAGGGAAATTACCTCATTCTAAACCGTTAATGAAGGAAGCATAACATAACCTATTAACATCTAACTCTTCTTTCAGAAGTGCTAATCTCTTACTCCACAGAGAGAGATTCTAGAATTTCTAGAGATTTCTAGAATTTAGGAAAATTCTAATAGTCCAATTGTATTCAAGCTTCAGAAAACACATGCACTTTAAAATTTTTTATTTTAATCTTTGTGGGTACACAGTAGATGTATATATTTATGGGGTACATGAAATGTTTTGATTCAGGCTTGCAGTGCATAATAATCCCTTCATGGCCAATGAGGTATCTGTCCCCTCAAGCATTTATCCTTTGAGTTACAAACAATCCAATTACATTGTTTAAGTTATTTTAAAATGTACAATTAAGTTATTATTCACTATAGCCAGGCTGTTGTGCTATCAAATAGTAGGTTTT
Organism: Homo sapiens; assembly: GCF_000001405.40. Lineage (NCBI taxonomy): Eukaryota > Metazoa > Chordata > Mammalia > Primates > Hominidae > Homo > Homo sapiens. Next base: position 76,127,479 of record NC_000018.10, read on the forward strand.
ATTTATTCTTTATTTTTTTTGTACTCATTAACCATCCCCACCTCCCCCAACCATGCACCCACTACCCTTCCCAGCCTCTGGTAACCATCCTTCTATTCTCTATGTCCGTGAGTTCAATTGTTTTGATTTTTAGATCCCACAAACAAGTGAGAACATGTGATGTTTGTCTAAGGCATGCACTTTGTTTGGCCGACTTGAAGGTCTTCAGGAGGAACCTGAAGGAAATTCTTGGGCAATAGGACTTTCATCATGGCAACCTCCATTCGAATTAGCAGAGAAACATATTAGAGGATATCTGCCACTTATTTTGCCCTAAAACAATTGGACGTCACATCTATCATGATAGGAAGGAGTCATACTGCAAGGAAGATAACACAAGTCAGATTCCAGGAAGGCTTTCGATCCACCAAATTCAGCACAGAATTCAGGTGTGTTTGAACCTGCCCACTGTCTGAGGACAGGGTCTATGGCATCCATCCTTCTCCAGAGGGATTTGCAACCAAAAGAGGTCAGCAGAGGGCATGGACCAGAAGCATTTGTCTTATGACTCCCACTGTGCTTGCTTGTTTCTTTACAAATGGGATACAGGCTCTCCTTTTTAAATTCCCACTGTTTATTCTGTAATATTAATTTTTAAAAAATCAGAAACAACTAAAAATGTGGAAAAGACAATTTTAATATAAAAATTAAGGTTATTCCTAGGGCTATATAAGAAGGTGGCAGTTTAAAAAAAAAGATTAGGAAATAATAACTAAAGCTGTATGTCTTATCTCTTCAGGTAAAAATATCTTATGAATAATATAATCATTGTCTCTGGTTATTGGGTATGAAAAAGATAAGTGTACCCAGCACAGTGTGATGGAGGGAGACATTAACACTTTCACACGGCTGGATACGGACTTGAAAATGAGTTAGGAATCACCGGGTCATCTAAGTGGAGGATTATTCCATACATAGGCCCTAGGTCAATTTAAATTATTAAATTTATCTCAGTGGCCGCAGGGGCCAAGACGTGTTTGTGTTCGCTCTTTATCTTTCTGTCCTGTTAGCATGGGCTTAGCAAAAGGGGATCAGCAATGACAGAAGAAAAAAAAAGAAAAAGAAAAGAAAAGAAGGAAGATCCAAAATTCCTGCTTGGGCCTTTAGATGGTTAATGACTGAGTTGCAAGGGAATCAACCTACATCGTTTCAAGGGCATTTTCCTGCTGAATAGCTTTCCTTGTTGCTTTTTACTTCTGTTTTGACCTTCACATACCCACGGTGCCTTTGGTGCTCACAGGCTGTCCATAATTGAGGAGAAGGGATGACGTGGGTCATTCATGGGATGTCACTTAAAATCTGTGATTTCTTGGGATTGCCCCCACCTCATTTGTGAAGGTTAGTAGAGCCTATTTTAGGGCCATGCAGGCTGCTGTTCTGTGGTCTTGAGCCCCGTGACTGGCTGCTTTTCCATACAAGTTCCCGTGTACACAGCCCCTTGGGCTTCAGTATGTCTGCGGGGAGCACAGTGTGATAAGTCCTAACAATCCCCTCTGTATGTTGCTCCAGAGGAAATCCAAGCTGAGGCATCACATTTGCGACCTTGTGTCAGGGGAATTTTGAATAAAATAGGCCCATAATCCTAATGTATTTTAAAAGCTTAGAAATCATGATATTTAATTCTTCTCCTACAAAAGGACACATTTTCAACCCACAACTTTTCTCTGGAATCTGTCCACCCCTCTGTGGGCATGGCATGGCATGGCAATGAAGGAGGCACCTCCATGTGTCTCTGGCCCATCTCTTACCATGGAAATCTCATATCAACCAGCCCTTCCTCGTACCTAGTCAGATTGCCATGGCCTGCAAAAATATGAGGCTTTGTTCCTTCCATTTTAACAGAAAAGTGCAGTTTGACTGAAAAACATTTGGCCTCATGTTTTGCCTCTCACTTTCCTTATCAAGGCTTCTTAGTGGCTCCTTCTGTGCCCCGGACCTGTGATGAGGCCCTCAGATGTACTATCCCATTTATTCCTATAGCAAACCTGTGAGGCCAGGTGTGGGAGCTCATGCCTGTCATCCCAACACTTTGGGATGCCGAGAGGAGAGGATTGCTTGAGCGCAGGAGCTCGAAATCAGCCTGGGCAACATACTCTATCTCTACAAAAAATACAAACAATTAGCTGGGCATGGTGGTGCATGCCTGTAGACCCAGCTACTCAGGAGGCTGAGGCAGGAGGATCATTTGAGCCTGTGAGGTCGAGGCTGTGGTGAGCCGTCATCACGCCACTGCACTCCAGCCTGGGAGATGGAGTGAGAAGCTGTCTCTAAATAAATAAATAAAACAACCCCATGAATTAGGATTCACTGGTACCATTTCATCCCACAGATGAGGTCCCAAGGCTGGTAATGGTAAGTCAGTGGCCAAAATTCAGAAAACCTGAGCTGACCCATGACTGGGCCTCAGATTTTTAGGGCCCCAGCCAGGTCTGCTGCTCCTCTCCCTCTGCGTGGGCCCAGTTTACCACACGCTGGCTAGAGCCCAGCACCCTATAGAGAATTCCAAGCCCAGCCTACACCCTTAGGGCCCTAGACTGTGCCACCTTCCGGAACCCATGCAGGTTTGTATTTCTGATAAGCCAGGCACCTTGCAACAGAATCAGGAGTCACTGTGACCTCTCAGACCCCAAGGAAGTTTAGAAAGATAGTTCGCTTGAAAACTTGTATCGGCTTACCGACACTCAGGAAAGCGTGGGAACATGCTGGGCCGGGCTGTGATTCTCCTCCAAAGAGCAAACTTTCTTAAAGATGTTACAAATCCTGAGACTAGTGTATTTTCTTTCCTCAGTCAACTCATCCAGTCCTGTGGCTATCAAAACCGTCTTTATATCACCTCTCCAAAATTTCATTTTCAATCTGAACCTCTCGGATCGGCACATCCAACGGAAGCCTGGAAGCTCCTCTCAGATGCCTCCCAGTGCCTTTCACCTGACGTGACTAACTCAAAGCTCTCGACCTCTTGCCTCAGACCTGCTTCAGGTGTCTCCACTCTGATACTTCCAGGCACTGCCGTCTACACAGAAACCTGGTGGTTATCCCGGAAACTGCCCTCACCCTCTGTCCTGGGTTGAATAGGGCCCCTCAAAACGTACCTTCACCTAGAACCTCAGAACACGATCTTATCTGAAAATTGGATCCTTGCAGATGCGATTAGGATCAGGCCCTAAATTCAAGGACTGGTGTCCTTGTAAGAAGAGGAGAGGACATCCTGATCCACACGAGGAAGAACCATGGGACGATGGAGGCAGAGCGTGGAGGGACGCAGCCACCAGCCAGGAGCACCTGCAGCCACAGGGACCTGTGAGAGAGGCGGGGAAAGGAGAAGTCTCCGAGAGGCCTTGGAAGGAGCAGGCCCTGCCCACAACTTGACTTTGGACTTCTGGCCTCTGGAACTATGAGAAACTAGATTGCCCTTTCTCCATTGCCGTGGCCACCATCCAAGCCTCCGTGAATCTTGCCAGGACCTGTCCCACAGCTCGCCGAGGGATTCCCCACATTTATTCTTGCCTCCACCCAATCTGATCTCTGCAGAGCAGTGTGTTCTTGGGAAAACACAAATTGGATGACGCAGATCCCTCGTTTGAATCATTCGGCCGTTTTGCATTACTCTTAGGCTAAAATCCAAGATCCTCAGCACGGCCCCCAAGGCTCTGCTCGCTCCGGCCCCTGCCTGCCTCTCCAGCCTCATCTCACCACCCCCGCTTTACTTCTCTTTTGTGAAACTACAATCACGCTGACCTTCTTTCCATTTCCACACGGAGCCGGACTCCACCCTGCCCTGGAGTGTTTGTTTCCACTCTTCCCTCTGATGGAGACACTTGTCCCATTTCTCATCGGAGTGATCTCCCCACCCTTCAAGTCCAGGATAATTATCACTCCCTCACGGAGGTACTTCACCTCTCACATAGATAAAAATGACAATCTCTGTTACACTTTCTTAGTCCTCTGTATTTTTTATAGTTTATCAAAATTATGATGATATATTTATCTCTACAATTATTTGGCTGGTATCTCTATCCTCTACCATGCTGTACAACCCAAGATGGTGAAGGCTTCAGCATTGTATGTCCAGTACAAAACACAGTGCCTAGAAGGCACATAGTCACTGCTACAAAAAATGTTTGTTGAATGCACATTGGTTGAAAACTTGAGTCTTCTCTGAATTCCACACTTCTACCTTAATAATGTAACTCCTACCACAAGCAACAGAAGGGGAAATGTTTGCTACTTCATTCCAGAACCTTATTTTCTTTCTCATATCTAAAGTCTATGCCAACCAGATCTTTCACTTTCGGTTGCAGGGTTGTGCATGGAGCCCCTAGGTTTGGCATAGCTTGCACCCTGGGCCTGGACAAGGAGGACCTACCAGTGATGACATCATCAGCCCCACCCATACCAGACATCTGAGGCTCTTCCCCTTCATCTCTGCAAGTCATTGTGGTTGGAAAATCTTAAGTTGCCTAAATCAAACCTGGGAGATAGTGTTTCTCAAATGCCAGAAGAGACAAGTCAGAACATGTAGAAGTGGTTTTCTAAGGAATTAACTGCAATCAAATTGCTATTATGTAAATACTGGGCACTTCAGACTATGGCTTTTTTTTTTTTTTTTTTTTTTTTTTTTGAGACGGAGTCTTGCCCTGTCACCCAGGCTAGAGTGAAGTGGCATGATCTCAGCTCACTACAACCTCTGCTACCTGGGTTCAAGTGATTCTCCTGCCTCAGCTTCCTGAGTAGCTGGGACTACAGGCACAAACCACCATGCCCAGCTAATTTTTGTATTTTTAGTAGAGACGGGGTTTCACCATGTTGGTCAGGCTGGTCTTGAACTCCTGACCACGTGATCCACCCACCTTGGCCTCCCAAAGTGCTGAGATTACAGGCATGAGCCACCACGCCCAGCCAGCCTATTGCATTTTTAAAATTTTTAATTTTAAATTTTAAAATTATTGATTTGGATGTTTTACAAGTGGCAAAGGAGAGGCATTTTACAGTTTTCTGCCACTGAGCACCAATGAGCACCACAGGATGACTTCAAAGTCCTTGTAAATGACACTCCTAATAAAATTACGCACCTAGTATAACCATTAAGCTGTGTCAGCCTGTATTCATTTATTCAACTCATATTATTACCTACTCTAAACCAGGTATGTAACCGCAATGGGATAAGAGGCAACTTACCTCATCTCATTGAGCCTATATTCTAGAGAAGGGAAGGCATGAAACAAAAAATCAGAAAAGTCATTTTGAAAAGGTGATAATTGACCTGAGGCCTGAAGTCGCCAGGAAGCACAGGAGGCTGGTGTGCCCGAGGAGCAGTGAGGAAGCGGGAGAGTCATGGGATGGAGGTCAAGGAAGTGGCTGGGACCATATCATTAGGGGCACTTGTGCTCTGCTAAGAACTCCGGATTTTTAACAGGAGCGCAATGCAAGCAAATGAAAGTGATGCCGTGACCTGACTGCCGTGGTTAGAGGACTTCTTATGCTCAAGCACAAAGAACAGACCGTAAGGAGCAGCTGTGATCCAGGGAACCGGATAGGAAGATGTTGCCTGGGCCAGGTCAGATGATGCACTAGAGGAGGATCAGCAGAGATGATGGGAAGTGATTCGAGTTTCATTCTTTCAACATATGTGTGATCACTGATTTAAAGCCTGTGATAAGTCCAACATCTGGGCACCCTCAGGGATATTTTCTAGTGGTTGCTTTTTTTCCCCATATATGGGCCACACATTCCTGTTTCTTTGCGCATCCCATAGTATTTCTTTGAAAACTGGACATTTTAGATAATAGAATGAGGCAACTCTGGAGCTCTGATCCTGTCCCCTCCCCGGGGTTTTTTATTGTGGCTGTGTTTTGTTTTGTTTTGTTTTGTTTTGTTAATTCCATAAAGTCTGCATTCCCTGTTATATGGGACTACTGAAGTCTCTGCTTCATTAGCTTAGCATTCAGCTAATGACTGGTCAGAGTTTTCCTGAGATGTCTTAGCCAGCAAGTCTTCCAGGAGCCCTTTAATACCATTGTGTGTGTCAAGCACATCTTCAGTGCCCAGACCATTCCCAAGTCTCCCTTAGCCTTTATTTCCTGCTTGTGCACGGTCTCAAGGTCAGCCAAAGGTGAGTGGTTGTGGATTCCTTCAGGTCTGTCCCAGCCTGGCCATAGCCCTGCACATGCAAAAAGCCTGAAGACCTTCCGAAAGAAAAGCACAGCCCTTCAAAGCCCTCTGTGGACATCTTGATCCCCAGAATTTTTTTTAGTGCAGCTCGTTATTTTTAACAAATGCTCTGGAGATGGGACTTTTCTCACGGAACTCTGAGTCAGGTCAAATAACAACAATGCCCTGTGAATAGGGCTTTTCCCAGGGAGCTGTAAGATGGATCCAATGGGGACAGTGCCTTGGGGATGGACCTTTTTGAGGTGCTCCAAATCCACTCTGCCCTGCCCAGTAGCTGTGAGGCTGTTGGATTTTGTGATTGCTATGATTTTGAGATTCCTGGTTTTCAAGGATACTGTAGGACTGAGGACAGAAGGAGGGGAGTAGGCCAAGTTAAAACACAGCTCTGCTGTTCTTATCAATGTTCAGTCATTTTTCATGAGTAAATGCTTTTCAAGTTGTTGTAAACTTTGGTCAGTTTCCATAGTTCTGGATGTTGTTGAAAAGAGGCTGACGTTGATAATTTTGCCTGTATTGTCATTGCTTTTATGGAGAAATGGATTTATGGAAGTCCTTACTCCACCATTCTGAAGGTCCCTCCTCTAGGAAGTGATTAGATTGTAAAGATATATTTGAAGCAGAGTCCATAGGATTTCTCAAAGATTTGGATGTGAAGAATGAGATAAAGAAATGAACTGAGGGTAATTTTGAGGCTTGAGTCCTAAAAATTAGAAAAAATTTACTTCCTATTTATTGAGATGGGTAAAAATGGGAAGAAAGCAGATTTTTGCAGGATGATTTAGCTTTGGACACATTAAATTTGAAGTTCAAATTAAGCATTGAGGTGCACAGGCCAAGTAGGTCATTGGATAGACAAATCTGGACTAGATAGACTGGAAGATATCGTCTGTAAATTATAGTTACAGCAATAGAATACAGGCCTACATAAGAGGAATACATGTACACAGAGGTCCTACAACAAAGCCCTGGGGTGTTCCTACATCCTGGGGCAGGAAAATGAGGAGAATTCGGTAGAGGGAAGTGAAAATAATTGAGGTAGAAAGAGAACCAGGAGGAAGTGATGTCTCAGAAGTCAAGTGAAAAAGTTGGTACAAAGAGAAGGATGTCATCAACCACATCAAAGCAGCCAACAGTTGAGCAAGAGCAAGTCCAACAACCAACCACTGGATTTACCAACACCAAGGCCAGGAAGCACCTTTATAAAAGCAACCCCAGTGGAGCAGTGGGGTCAAATCTGTAAATGGATTCAAGGAAGTCATGTTGGGGAGGCCATGGGGACAGTGAGTGCAGAAAGCTTTTCTAGTTGTTCTGTCAAGGGAAGCAGAGAAATGGGGTCCCATCATAGTGGTCCTGCTGGGTGAGATAGTCAAAGCAGACCCTGGGCCCCGCTGCCCATGCAGAGTGTGAGGGTTTTACTCAGGAAGCCTTGGAGAATCATGTGGGACTTGATTTTCACTTATGCCCCAATCAGAAAGTGACTCTTCCACATATGGGAATAACACATAACATGGCTACCCACTTATTTTGGCAGCAAGTGTGTTAGTCCATTTTGCGTTGCTATAAAGGATTATCCAAGATTGGGTAATTTACAAAGAAAAGAGGTTTATTTGGATCACGGTTCTGTAGGCTGTACAAGCATGGCACCAGTGGTTTGTTCAGCTTCTGGTAAGGCCTCAGGAAGCTTTTACTCATGATGGAAGGTGAAAAGGGAACAGGTAGGTCATATGGCAAGAGAGGGAGCAAGAGACAGCAGGCTTTTTTAAACAACCAGCTGTCATGTGAACTAATAGAGTGAGAACTCACTCATTACCATGGGGAGGGCAACAAGCCATTCATGATGCAGACAGCTCCCACCAGGCCCCACCTTCAACACTGGGGATCACATTTCAACATGAGATTTGAAGGAGACAAACATCCAAACTATATCACCAAGCATCTGTGCAGCACAGCTCTTCAGTGAGAAGGAAGGATAGGCAAATGCAAATAATAAATAAATCCTGTAGACAGGGCTTTAGTCTATGGAAGGATAAAAGCCTTCATAGAAACCAATTGCTGTCACCTATACCTACAGTAATCTTCAGGTGATTTGTGTGATTAGAGACATGGAATAATCAGAAACCACAATTAGGGCTCTGACAGAAGAGGGCTCCAATACCAGAGAAGGTTTCCCAGGACAAGCCTAGTGAGAGACAAAGAAGAGGGGCAGCTTTCAACAATTCTTGCAAATCTCCCATGAAGGGTTTTGGGGTTTGGGGCAGGTTTTGTCTGCATTTGTTTGTCTGTGTGAATTCATATATTGGGGTGGGGGGTTCCAGTTGCTTAGTGAAGAAGAGCTGAAATTTATGTCAGATCTCATGGTTCCTTTTTTAGAGTTGCATGCATTTGTGATTACGTTCATAAATTATAATACAAAGATAGTCCGTGTTGGAGAAACATGCACCGTCCCTGTCCCCAAATACTGAGGTCATCCGAAAACACTTTGAAGCTGTAAGACCCTCCCCCAACTATTGGGCCTCATGATTACAGTCAATTCCTGGCTCCTAGATTATGCAAAGCAGGAATGTGGACACCCTAAGGACATTGTCTTACTACCTTTTTTTTCCATCTGGATATGCCACATGTTAGAATACCTCACGGTTCCCTGTTTGTATCAATCATCCTGAAAGCAAATTGCTAAGCCTCTTGCAATTTAGCACTCCCAAAATGTGTTTGATATAATGAACCTTACATTTTTTTACCTCAAATATTCTTAAAGATGTTTTCATTTATCTCATCTCTGAAAATTGCATATCTCTTGCCATGCTGTGAAAGTTTCAACTGTGTTTCCTCCTCTCTGCCATCAACAGACAAAATGGAAGCTAGTAAAAACTGATGCACTACCCTCAGTTTTTAACTCCCCAAACACACCTCATTTACTGCCCAATCAAACTCAGTAGTTGCAGCAGTTAGCCAGGCAGGCCTTACCCTGGAGTTTAAAATTCCCTTCCCACAATATATATAGTTAGTCTTAATAAATAAATGACTTGGACCATGCATTATATATCACTCAAATCCACGAGGACACAAATTATGTATAATACATTGGCTGTGTAATTTATTTATTAAGCAAAACGTGAATTTTCCATGCTTGTGTTTGGAGGCACAGTTTGTCACACGCAGCTAAATGATGTATTCTTATTAGTCCCACTCAATTACGAAGTCATCCCTCTGTGCACGGTGTATTTGTTAATGATAGTGCCACAACGCTGCGTCTACAATACCTGTGATTTTAGTGATTCATAACCGCTCACTAAAACTGTGAAAATGATAAATTGACTGCTGTTGATTAAATGCCGCCAACAGTATGTTTCATATGTGTTTGTCGCAGTTAGGAGTTAAAGAAACAGCATTGCTCAAAATCATTTAAATATCTAATTAAGCCAAGCCCTCACTAGATATAAAGAACTCATCAGGATATGAAAATAAAAAAATAAAAGAAAGCTCGGTGGGAGAGGAGGGAAGAAACGCCATCTGTAGACCCTCACCAACACAGCCTCATTGATGATAAAGACACCGTCATAATAACCATTTGAAAGGGGCAACACCCAAATTTTAAAAAGCGTGGGAGTTAGCCCCTTCTGCTCACCAGCACAGCTGCTGGGCTATCTGATGACCGGCCCTCATCTCTGGGATTAGTCTTGGGCAGTAGTGGATTTCAATCACGTATTTGGAAGCCCTGGGTGATGGCCTTTGAAACTGGAGCAAATTCATAGAGGCTTGGGAGGAGGGAGACGCGGAGGAAATAAAAAGAGAAGGAATATTTTCAAGCAGTTTCAAATCACATCCCTTGGCTTCCACTGCAGTGAAAGGGTTTGTTAATGCTTCCACATGACAAATGGCAGCAGAAAGGAAAATATCATTTCAAACAAAGATTAATTATCTTTATGGCTTTAGCTAATTTTTTTCTCCCCTTAGATTAATCCATATAGAGGTCTTGTTGGTAATATTCAAAGCAGTATAGAACAAGCCCAAGCCCAGAGAATGCTCCTGTGCTGGCACCTCAGCTCCTAATTTAGGCTGCTGGAGTAAGTATTCAGGGTAATAAAAATAGATACCTGGTGAAGCTTGGTAGTCTTATTAAGACAACCAGGAGGTGTTTATTTTCTTTCTTTGCAATTTTGAAATCAATTGAGAAATATAAGTGGAAAGTGCATGAATTCTTTTTGAAATCAGTCTTCTTAAATTATACCATGTCTCCAGACTGTTTGGAGCAGAGTAATAACAACAAAAGTGGACTATTTTTAATTTTAAAATTTTGTTCTTGCCTAACACACGTTTTAAATTTTCCTCATAAAGATAAAACTCAGGGCAATGTCCCCATGGCTTTAACATTGTTTTAAAATTAAGGTGGAACATTGATTATTGACCGCCCAGATCTATAACTGACCATGAAGAAAGAACCATGTCTTATATTGTCTTTGCAACAGCCAATTTCCTTTTAAAACTTAAAATTCAAGAGAGGGTGGTATGCTGAAATCTTAGATCTTTTGAGTGGCTCATAAGAACAGTCATGGTATGAACTTTTATAGGCGTGGCAGAGGTCATTTTCAAATTCTACAACAGAACTCAAACCCTAACACATATGTATCAATTTAAACATACTTAGTCTTGAAAGTTGGATGATTTCCTTCATGTCAGATATCCCTAGGGTACCTTTAATGACATATAAAAATTTTATTCTCACATCTGAAAGCAATTCCACAGCGTCCTGACAACCGGCATCTTAAGGACTCATTGAACCCTGACTGGTTGCTTAGATGCCTTGTATGGCAGTCACAGAGAGTCATTCCCTCATTTATAAGGGGTTTGTTTTGTTTCTTTCCTTTTGTTTCTACTGCATCAAGTACAGTTATTCATTTATTTCCCGACAGAACAAACTGACTTGATATGCAAGTTGGTACAGTGATGGCCAGAGGGCACCCAGATTCAGAATCTCTTCTTCTCAGGTTCACTGTAGTGGGAGTGGAAAGATCCTATGTCCTCACTTTTGTTCTTAATTAACTGCAAAATGTTGGGCAAGTAACTCACTCTCTGCATCTTAGATCCCACACTTCAAAAATGACAAATATTAAGATTGGTGACAATCTGTTTCCATCCATAAGGATGGAATCCTAGCCTTTGGATTGGACTCTCCTTCCTTCTCTGGTAGCACCAGGACCTCTGGTTTGCACGTGGCTCAGCATCTATCAGGCAGGTCCTGGGTGCAGCCCAGGCCTCCAGCACTCCCAGTGTGTCAGCCCGTGCTGGGGCACACGTAGGTGGCACCCCAAGGAAGCATCACTTGGGAATCTTCACCTACCAGATCACATAAATTAAATGGGACCTAGTGTCCATTTCATGTCTGCATGTTCTCTCCCACACCCTTTGCAGATTAAAAGGCCTAATCATTTTGCATAGCCCTGTAGCAGGTGCCCTCTGATTACTCCTTCTCAGGGCTCTTTGTGTAACCACCATACCCCGGCATTTACAGGGATGTTATTACGACCAAGAATAAAACAGACATGGCATGTTGAAGTCATCGTAGGGAAGGGACTAGGGAAACATGAAGCCTCACAGGGGCTGACAATCTTTCTCAGCCCCCTTGTGAGTTAGATCAAGACCTAGCCATATAGGCATCCTCTAGAAACTTCTGCTCCTTCATCAGTGATGTCATGAACCACTCTCCTTCTTAAGCCTCTTGCTTTCTTTACCAAATTTGTACAAAAACCTTTAAATGTAAAATACCTTAAGAAAAAACAAACCTGAATTATATTAAATGAAAACCCCAAAAGCACAAAGTGATGGCATACAAGAGTGCTGTCATTTTCCACAAATAAAGTTGTTCAGGAGCCCTCCTGTGAGACAATCGCACAGCAAAATGGAAATGGGAAATTTCTACAGGAGCTGTTCGCTGTAAAGAGTAAACCTGTGAACAATCTTTTTACCACCAAGGGTAGCTATACACTTAGAAGGGATCTGTTTTATTGAGCAGCTGTGCAGATGAGCAGACGTCATGCTCCTAGAATTACGTGGTGATTTTTCCAACAGTAATAATAATCAAAGTCCTTTGGAACAGTCCTTTTGTTAGTCCTGCACTGACGTCTTCAGGTATAACTTTTGAGATGAGCTTTCATGTAGAGACCTCCAGCTTCAGACATAAGGGCAGGAAGCCAGGATGGTTTATTATTTCTGCAGTGAACCAGGGTTGCAACAGAGGGGTGGGACTTCCCTCCTGAGGGTCCTCAGCACTCTGTCTGAAGGGGCTTTGATGCCACCTCTGATGTTTCATGGATAGGGTGGAGACCGAAGCTCAGGTTCTGGATGGCAGCATCCTGGGTACTGCTGGTCTAGGCATGTGACCTGCCCACATTGGAGCCAGCTCCCTCCCCCAGCACAGTGGGACTGACCATACCACCCACAGCTGGGACTGGGAACAGCTACACCCTGAGAAAGGACCCCTGATCAAAATGCCTTTTTTTTTTAATTCCATGATTGGAAATTAAGTAATTTCTGTTGGATTGTTTTCAAATGTCTATTTGAAAGTACAAATATTTCTAGGAATATTAGCCTGCATTGGTGGTCATGTATTTCTTAGGATGATTTAGTTTAGAACAAAATTTTCTCCCTAATAACCAGCTGATATGGTTTGGCTGTGTCCCTACCCAAATCTCATCTTGATTTGTAGCTCCCATAATTCCCATGTGTTGTGGGAGGGACCGAGTGGGAGATAATTGAATCATGGGGGTGGTTTCCCCCATACTGTTCTGGTGGTAGTGGATAATTCTCACGAGATCTGACGGTTTTTTAAGAGGTTTCCCCTTTTGCTTGGCTCTCATTCTTTCTTGTCTGCTGCCATGTAAGACGTGCCTTTCACCTTCCACCATGACTCTGAGGTCTCCCCAGCCACATAGAACTGTTGGGTCCATTAAACCTCTTTTTCTTTATATATTATCCAGTATCAGGTATGTGTTACTCAGCAGTGTGAAAATGGACTAATACACCAACTGAGATCTTTGTACTTGGAGAAAGAAAAAATGTTTGGAAGTATGAGGGGCAAGACAGGGTAATCTTGAGGGATGGGGCTCCTTCTAGGGAGGGGACAGAGAGAAGTGGGCAACTGTGCTCGATCCAATGTATCCTATAGACAGAGTTCTACTTATTACCTATAAAGAGGTATAGTATCACCATTTAATAATTTTAAAAGGCAAATCAAAAATAGAAAAACATTGAGATAGAAAAAAAGTCAATCAAAGTCAGAGGCAGAGGTAATACCAAATTTCAGGCTTCCTGATTTGAAGGACAATGGTTTTAATGATAGGTAGAGACCTACAACCATGTAATTGTACATGTGCTAGGCCTTTTACAATTGGCAAAAATGGTATCCTTGAATTCCTTGTCAATTTTATGCTAATAGTAATGTACATGATACACAATGCTCTGTATTTTTTTAAAAAATGAGAAACAAAATTCAAAGCTGTACTACAAGACCAAGCAATGTGAGCAGTTGGAAAACATCCCATCCATTGAGATAGGCGAAGGATGGGGGAGGCACCTTGGAAAAGCTATCACGATTCTTCTTTATTGCTGGGCAAAAATAACACAGCATTCTGCATCTGAAATGTGAGAAAGCGAAGAAAGATAGCAGAGATTAAAAGGAAGCAGATCTAGGCATAAGGACAGGACCCTTTTAAGTAAGCACCAGCCAATGTAATAAGATTGTTTTTCACTTCTTTGTGAGTTAATCTTTAAAGATATGGTGTTTGCAGGGCCCTTGGAGGTCAACTGTACTGATGGTAAAAATATTTTCTAGATGAAGCAATGCAGCCCAGGATGTATAATGGGGTCAATGAAACTTAGAATTAAAGGGACACTGTAAGAAAATCTGAGTTATATGATCACTGCCAATATTACTTGTGTGTTTTCTTCTTATGAGGATTTATCATACCACATATAACCAGCTGAGTGAGGAATAATAGAAATATTAAAATTATGATAAAGAGAAACTATAAGAGACTGTTTTAAATTCAGAGGAAGAAGAAAGAATGAGAAGGGGAAGAATGAGGGAAAAGAGAAAGAGAAGAAAAAAGAAGCGTTTTTGACAGCTTGCTTGTACAGCCATCAGCGGGCCAGATGGGATATGGCTCGTGGTGAGGAAAAGGGGCAGAGACCAAGAAAAGGTGACGCGATTCTGAGGATGGGGACGAGAAGACAACCTTGGGTTTGAAACATGCCAGGCAGGAAGATCTGAAAAATTAACTGAAAGCCAGGGAAGTCCTTGGTATCAAGGCATTTAGGAATAACTGCACATCCCAGCTTTGCTTCCAAGCCCAGCGACATCTGCTCAGTGTGGAAACAAAACTGCTGGTGGTCAAATAAGCAAGGAGCACAAGTTCACTAATTCGAGGAGCGGAAGATCATTTTTAAAGGGCATTTAGAGCTGGAAGTGCCTCACAACATGTCAGGCCTGCAGGCATTTTTAGCCTGAGAATGCAAAGGGGAGCCTACTCCCTGGTCTCTGGGGCCCAAACGAAGGTGACTTGAAGCTCTTGTGTTATCGAGTAGAGTTCGAAGAACATGAAACAGCCATCCTACAGAAAAGGTTCCTCGAGGACTGTGGGGTCGAGAAGAGATCAGAGGACCAGATCCCCATTAGGGGATCAAAGGGTAAAAAGGAAGGATCCAGGAGGAAGGGTAATAACTTTAGACTTCCACGAGAAAGACTAGAATATTAAGGTGCTAATGGCATACAGCCGGCAAACAAGACTGCAAATAACTGAATGGAGAGAGAATCATCAGGGTGATATTTACAGTGAGAGAGAGAAGGAAACTAGTGAGCTAGTAAAGAAGTAGATAGTAATGAGAGGGGAGGCTTGGGCTGGAAGGAGCCTTCAAGGGACACCTTCCCTGGAAACTGAAGTTTTCTATACATAGTAACCTTGGGAAAGGCTAGGAGTTTGTGGTGGAATCCAGCAGGAATGAAGGAAGGACTAGAAGTGAAAAATAGCAAGACAGTTTCTTCTAGTAAGTCAGCCTAGCCTGTAAGCTTGATTGGCAACAGAAACCAAGATTCCTGTCCTCACTCCTCACTATTTTTTGGCAAGGTTGACTCTCATTTGCTCCGACAGGCCAATAGAGAGTCAGGTCCACCTCACTTCAGAGTATACTCCACTGCTTCTGCCATTTCTGCATGGATGATGCCAGAATTGAAAGTTCTCTTCCAGATTCTTTCAGCCTCTGCTCTCTGGAAGTACTCTTTTATAACCCTCTTATCCGTAGATGTGGAGAAGGCCAAAGGAAACTAAATGTGTTACAAGAAAAGAGAAATGCAAAATAATGACTGCTCTGGTGCACCCTTGACTTAGTGGCTGTAGCTCCTGCTCTCTGGAAAATGTTTAGCAGCCTGGAAAAACATCCTTGCTCCCTAAGGCAGCCGCAAAGCATGAAGTCTGGCAGTGCCAGTCCAGAAAACGGTGCCTTGGGTGCGGTCTTACCTGTCACCTACAGTGCAGCTGAGTCCTCTGTAATGGTATTCAAGCTCCAGGAAGATTTTTTAAAAGTTCTTTCATCCCAACATCCCCACACTGCATTCATAGATCCTTTAATATTCGGAAAGAGGAATGGCAAAACGCCTCACCTACCTCTTAGGTGAGTGGAGGGAGACGGCAGATGGAGGAAGAGGTCCTTGTTGGCACTGGCCAGGGACACCCGACAAAGCGACAGCCAAGAAACTGTGCAGTGGAGGAGGCAGTGCTCTGGCCAGTGTGGTCTGCAGGGCCAATGTGGCAGAAGGGAGTTGAAAGCTCAGTGGAAGAATACCTTAGCCCTGAACATGCTCATGCCCCCCCAAGACCTTTACAGGAATAACCAGCTGAAGATGGCAGTGGCTGCCTTCCTTGAAGCCTCAATGCAGCGGTCAAATGGAGTGAGAGATAGAAAAACACCTTGGAAACAGGTTAGTGCAGTGCAGCTGGGTGTGCGAGCACGACAGTGATGACCCCAACCACCACCACGAGAGGCATCAGAATGGACCCTTCTCACCTTGCACAGTTGTCTGAGACATGTACTGAACAAATCCAGCACTCTGATGCCCCTCATCAGCCAGCAGGGACCCTCCATGGTTCTCTCCGTCAATGTGTGTCCACTTCTCTGGTGGTGATTTTGGTGATTTCGGTGCTTATCAGACTGAGGAATTATTACAAAACTAATCAACATCAAAATTTCTTTTAACCCCTTTTTAAGAAAAGGGTTAAAAAATAAGGTCACCAAGCCAGTAGGGAATGTTAGAAAGACAGCCAGCTTCCCAGATAGTGTTAGACCAAGCTCCGGGTGCACCTCAAGCCAGGACCGTCAAGGACGAGGACTGGTCTTAACATATCCTAGAAGAGGCATTTTGTCGGGGGCTTCCAAAGACGAGCTAAGTGCCCAATAAGACTCTTAAACCATCCTGGGAATGTGACCTGATTTAACGTACTACAGTGTCAGACTGTATCACAGCGGCAAATATATACTACATATGATTTTACTATGCACACCTACACGTAACATTCTAATAAAGCTAAAAGCATTAACATTACAGATATCACCATATCATAGAACAGAACAGGTAAAACCTACAACAGAATTCTTGGAGATTTAAAGAACTTAACTAATACATCAATGTGTTTTATTGCCATCATCCATCACTAGAGAAAAAGAACGGCAGTAGCCATGCTAATATTTACCTGACATTTACTGTATTTTGGTGAGGGTGCTAAATCCTTTACATGTATACCTAATTTAATCCTCAGAATGACCCTACGAACAGAAAAACTGAGATCTACAGAAGTTTATGGAAAAGTACCCATGATCACACTGCTGATATGTGGCAAACCTGAGGTATTCACCGAGCTCTGTCTGACTCCAGTGCCCAAGCTTCCAATCACGGTTTTAAACTGCCTCATACTCAAACCATTGATTTGTTAAAACAAAGTCTATGCAAAGTCATCTGTGAAACCAGGTCTTGTTTGGAATCATAAACCCGATTATGTTTTCTTATCCTCTACCCATCCAGCTATAGATACCAGGCTTTACAGAAGCAGAATCAGGTTGTGGTTGCAGAAAAAATAAGAACAGCGAAAGACGCGTGGGGCATCACATCTCCATCTTGCAGGAACTGGCAGCGATGGTCCAGGCCAACGCCTCTCGAGGTGGCCTCCTCCTCCCATGTGAGGGAAGGACTCACCAGGGGCTTCCCTGCTGGTAGGGCTCAGAGACGTTACTGTTATTTAACTCCAAACCCATCACCGGCGCCTGAGATGCAGGCTTGTGTGCGGGGCAGATGGCCAGCTGTCAGGGAGGACGTGAGCACTTCACTTTCAAGGACCGGTTCTGACCCTGGAGCACGCAGGGTGCGGCCTGGCGCTGAGTCCCGTGTTACTCACCTCAACGTGTTTTAACGCTGTTTCCTCCTTCCCATTTGATAACCCACCTCTTCGACAAACGACCTTCAATATTTGAGTGGTAACAGAAACGGAGCCACTGTGGCAATAAATTGCTCATAAGCTTGGACAGAAACATCTGCCGACCGAGTTAGAGCCTTGACTTTCCCCACGTCAGGGAGGGGAGATTCCGCTTCCCATACAATCACCAGTTGCCGTTCTCAGCACAAACCTGGGAGACTTATTTACAAGACCGTTATTTCTTTTTCCTATATATTCTGCAAAATGGCTCAACATAAACCGAGTGTGCTGCACCCAGTGGAGTTTTAAGAAAGACAAGCCCCAGTCTGGATTCCAGGGTGCAGTCCTCCAAGAGGCCCCGGTGACAAGGGGCCCACCCTGCACCTTCCCACGAGGGTGGTCCTGTTGCAGAACCAGCTACAGGTCATGCCTTCTTTATTTTCTCTTTCTTGCACTGCTCCTTGCCTTTGAAGAAGGGGCTAAAAAGAAAAGAGAAAAGAAGAAGCTGCAGTGGCAACGAGAAGCGCTTCCCCGCGCCTGGGGCGCCGCGGTGGCCCGTCCTCCCGTGTCCTCCGCGTCCTTCCCAGGCCCGGAGTCACGCATCACTCATCTTGTCACATTGAACTCCGGATGCTCCTGCCCTAGAGAATGCTCTGACTCCGGCAATTTTTCTTCATTCTCACTAACAATTTGGTAATGAAATATTGATTTTTAGTTAGATTCATATTGATGCTATTAGGTTTGCATTGATAAATCATGCTGGCCTCCTGTCTGGAAGGCTAGAGAGTGCCACACTGAGCCCTGGAGATTACAATCAACTCATTGATGTGTTAATTTGATGGATTTTTTCGTTCTGTTAGAAGGAGTGGGAGGGTAAAGGAAGATTTTTCAGTGCGGCCTTGTAAAGTTTTCACAGTGAAATCAGGGACAGTAATTGCAGGCTTCACGGGATACATTCGCCTCTGAAGAATCCTTGGGCTGATTTGGTCAGGATGTTAAAAGCAGGACAGGTGTGGGGCTGGAGGGGGAGCACGGGGAGATGTGGGTGAGGGCTGGGAGGATATGACACACCTTGTAAACACTGTTCTAGATCCCACACAGGGAGGGGAAATCGCTCGGTTAAATCCTAATTAAGCCATTTACAGGAGTCATGAAGAAGCATTTCCTATCTCCAGGACCACTTTGCACATGAAGACTGCCCCAGTGCCAGGCAGGTGTGCCCTGGGCTCTGCCGCCACCCTCCACGCTTGCTGGCAACACTGGTATGGTTCTGGGGGCATGTCCCTCTGCTTTCTCCTTTGCAAAGTGCCCCTTAGGAAGTCGATGTCCTCTGCATCTGCAGCCTATTTTAAACGGCCTCTAGATGTGATTTATGTTTCTGTGCAAATGTAATGCCTGTCATTAGGGGACAACACTTGCCCACACCCAAGGATCTTGCTGTGATTCCCTTCAAAGGCCCAGCACTGGGGGGGTGCTGCAAGCAGCCCAGGAAAGAAGGGGCTTTCAAAATGCTTAGGTAGGAATGCATTTGCCTTGGTTTGGTTGTTTTTTTTTTAAGCAAACCTGTTTCGTGACCAAACATGTGTGCTTCACCTCTGTGAGCTTTACATCCCCTTTCTTCTGATGAGCACAAAATGACAACTTCACAGAACCAAGTCCATTCAATTAAATTCACCTATGAGAGTGTGTGCATGTGTGTGCGCATGTGTGTGCACATGTAAAACTGCATGGCCTGCTTTCTAAAATAGATACAATGCACACAGACACACACACGCATGCACACACGCACACACACGCGCACACACGCATGCCATGTGTGCTGAAGGGAGCCTCTGGTGGAGGGTAATGGGATGAGGAAGGGATGTTTGCGTCAGCTTCTTTCCTCTTAGCAATTTGAAGAGCTCGGATCACGAGCCAGCCACGCTGATGGGTCGCATCTTAGCACACAAGCTTCCTGAGCGGCAATCCGGCCTCTGCAGCCTGCCAGCAGGTACTCCCGGATGATGGCACGGAGGGGAGCCTATTGTTAAACCACAGGGCACGGAGCTCCCATGGATGGAAGGTCATCGTTCACCTCTTGGCCACCCTCGTAGGAGTTGGTATTGTCCCTTCTCAAGGTTGAAACATTCTATATACTTGGTGTGTCTGGCTGTCTGTCCCTGCAGGGGGAGGGCAGGGAGAGAGAAAGAGGTGACTAATTGTAGCCTCCTCATTATCACTCCAAAGATAATTTTGGCAGCAATCAGTAAGGCTTGGGAAAGCAAGAACTTCATATAACACAAAGCTTTTCAAGAGCACATAAGAAATCACCGTGATAAGTTTTCTAACTGTGGTCATCTACTCCTAAGCCCTCAAGGGCTCACATTGCCAATGCTCTCCTTTCTTTCTGAAGATTCATCCCATGTCACCCCTGGAAGGAACCAACTCCCTCTGGGACAATTCCTGTGCCCAAGCCCCATGATACCAGGTTCAAAACTTTGATTCCAGCCCCCAGGTTGAGTATGGAGGAGGGAAATGAAGTCTCCTGTGTGGAAAGCATTTGGTCCTCTCTAAAACCTTAGGCAAGCTGGAAGCCGAGTCCTAATCAGGGAAACCCAGACGCTGGTGAGGTGGAAGCCTTTATGAAGCACGAGCTCCAGCAGAACACACAGTTTTCGGTACCAGGCAGTTGGACATCACGTCACGGGCCGGGCCCTGTAGGATTCAGCAGCTTATGTCTCAGGTGGACCACAGGGTGCATTTACCCCAGGGAGGACCCTGAGTCACCCATGCTCAGGACAGTGCTTGGACCACGGCTGTGGGCATCCAGGTACTGGGGCCACTTCCCATCCAGTAATTTTCCATCTAGGTTGTAGCCCTTCCCAATCTCAACAGATCTTCCCTTGAATCTATGAGTAGCTCTCCTTAGACATCACCCCCACCTTCACAACTACAACCCAGGCCTACTCCAATCCCAGCCAGTCCAGCCCCACAGGGTGGCCCAGGAGAGCAGGGCTCGCCATGTAGGAGCTGCCACTCAGGTCTGCTGACTTCTGGCTGCCCAAGTCCAGCTGACTTGAAACCACAGAGGCCCCAGCAAGGAAAGACATTCAGGTTAATCTCCACGAACCTCGCAGTCAAAGAGAACTCTCTAGTCAGCCTTATGAAAGGCTCCTTCATTGACTTTTCTGTCACGTCTTAACAGTGATGCTAAACACACACACACAGACATAACCCTGACCTCCAAATTTACAATCACTGGGGAGATGCACCATCTACATCAATAACCCCAACTCAGTCTGCCCTCCCCCAGGTGAGTGCCCATGCGCGAATTGCAGCTGCACGCCTGCGCTCCTCCAGTCTCTCTATGTCCCCTACCTGCTCTTTGTGTTGAAACTGAGCTTGCCTGTTAAGAGAGCATCTGCTAGCCCCCGACCCAGGAGTCTTCCCCAGCCTTCTCAGGAGGGTTATCCCCATCTGCCTGGGCCCTGCAAAATCAGTGCGGTGCTTGCTGCAATTCCCCAAAGCTGCAGGGACGCCTCATGTGACATCTCCACTCCTGGACTTCCAGTGTCCCAGAGCGGGAAGCATGGGGGACCCACTCCGCATCCCCAGGGCTCAGCACACCGCAGGGCCTAATCGCGCTGGTTGAGCTGACGAGTGATCCAAAGTGTGGCGCCCCTTCAACGTGGAGGGGTGACCACACCCAGAGAGGCGGTCTGAGGTCTACATAACAGACAGGCTCCAAGCCTGGGGAGTAGAAAGAGACGAAGGTGAGTGGGGCAAGCAGAGGGGCTGTGGAGCCTATGCCCAGGGAGGAAGATGCACACTGTGTTTTGGGGCCATCAGTCCCCGTGGGGCTGGAGCACAGGAACTACAGGAACTCAGGGAAAGAAAGCATGACTGAAAATGTGGCCTGCTGGTGTGTGGTGGCGGGCCACCCGTGGCAGAGCTGAAGTGTGGGTGCAAAGCAGTAGTAGTGGGAAATTAGTGGAGGGCTTGGAGTAGAAGTGGTTTGCTTAGAATATTGTTTTAAGAACAACTAACTTAGTATTGGTTGTAAATGGATTTAAGGGCAGAGGAGAGAAAAAAGACAGGCAGACCATTGAAAGACGACAGGATCCTCCTGACAGGAAACATTGAAGGCCTGAGTTTTTAAAAATTAAGTTAAATTAGAAATCGAGGCTTTTACACATATTTCTTATGTCCCTTTCCTCATAGCCCGGGATAAAGCGTTCCATAATCCTTATTGAGACTTTGTTGTTTCTATGCTTCTTATGAGTGTACGGATTTGCAAGAACCCAATCTAAGAGAGAAGAGTTCCTGGGAAGACATATGCAAATCCATGTTCAGGGAGGAAAGAGGAAGTGGGTTTTAAATTTACCAGAGGTGTTTCCTGCTTAAAAGAAGGTGGTAATGCTTTTCTATTCATCATGGGTTTCCTTCCCTTTCCCTTCCATCCTCTGCTGAGCCAATGCAGGAGTCAGGGGGAGAAGATATTTTCTATCTAGAAGGTATTTCCCATCTAGAAATGACCCAACTTGGAGGTCTCCAATGCACTCATAAAGCAAGTGTTCATTCAGAAACTGACATCCTGCGTATACACGGGCACCCACAACGTCAATGATTTTACTTAAAATTTCCACGTTCATCACACCACGTTCAAAACACACTCTGTTTTGACTTAGTAACCAAAAGCTGAAAGGGTCCTTCCTTTCATGTATACTAATGATCTTTGGTGTGATCAGGAGCACAAACAGAACGTGTCAGCCGGGACTCTAAGCCCTTCGATACGCAGGATGAGTCTGATAAAAAAGCCTTGTCAGCACTTTTTGACCACTATTCAATTATTTCATATTTTGGTTTAGAGAAAATAACAGACTCATATCTATGGAGCAAAAGACATGTGTAGTTTAAGGCTGTCTGTGTTATAACAGACATCTTAAACACACATCATTATTGCTAAAAGAAATCCCCAGCCAAATTTTAAGTCAATTTAACTTCTCTTGTGTCTAATTGAATCTGACTTTGAAGTTATGAAATCTCCAGATTCTGACTAGGAGCTTCAAAAGTACTAATAAACTAACTCCACGCTTCTCCCAGAACATTGACGAGCAGAAAACATTCCAATAAAAGAAGCGGAGAAGAGAAAATAATCCAGCATGAACTCACACTTCCCACATTGGTTAATCCCTTTCCCTCTCTAAAGACACTACCTTTTAAAGGGAGGCAGACAACACCATCAACTTCATACAGCACACATACTGGTCTATAAACATCATGTAACCAGAGGCATAAAATAGGGGTGCTACAGAAGGGTCTCTAAACGCCATGCTCCTTGGTTTCCTCCTTCCTACCAGGGTTAGACACACACTGGAACTCAAACATTAAAGTCCTACATTGCTTGTCTCTGAAGGCATTGCACTATACAAAAGCCAAGGTGAATGAATATTTTTTTTGATATTGGAAGCAGTTTAAAAGAAAAACATTATGTCACTTACTTAAAAAAAATATCTAAATTCCCTTGGATAACAACTCTAAGCATAAGACCACCATGTCTTCAGGAAATACCTTCTCTCGGAGACTCCTGCATTGGCTCAGCAGAGGACGGAAGGGAAAGGGAAGGAAATCCACGGTGAATAGAAAATCATTACCACCTTCTTTAAAGCAGGAAATGCCTCTGGTAAATTTAAAACATGCTTCTCTTTCCTCTCCGAACACAGATTTGCATATGTCTTCCCAGGAGCTCTTCTCTCTAAGACTGGGTTCTTTCAAATTCAGACTCTCAGACAGGACTTAGGATCCCAGGAAGCAAGGGAGGGAGGAGAGGAGTGAGTGGGGGAGAGGAAGGCAGCCAGTGGCACGTGAACAAGGAGGTGACCCCTCCCGGGGCCCCTCTGAGTTGACCATGGAGGGAAGGCCTACACACTTCGGCTGGTATCTAACAACTCCCACCCTCGGGTTGAGGGCTGCTCCTAGAGCCTTACTCCTTTGCATCTCCAACCTCTCCATGCTAGGCCAGAGAATCCCCTAGAGGAGAGATCCTGTGCAGTGGGTGGGGTCTGGCTGTGGGTACCCCAGGGGTGGGCCAGGTGGTGGGGAGCAGGCACACAGCGTCTGCAGTGCCCACTTCCCCAACAAGTGGACTCCCCAACCCTGCTGAGTTGTCCAAGGAATCACCCTTCACACTCCTCCCTCAGTGAGTCCCTACACCCAGCATGTTGCCAGCTTCTGTCTTCCGGCTGCTTCTCCTTTTCCATCACCATCACAGGCCCAAAGCATCTCCTCATCTATATCACAATAATTTCCTCCTCTCTGTCTTCCAAACCTCACACCTTCCCTTTCCCCATCACGTTTATACCATGGGTGCATCTTTCTTACACATGTTTCATATCTGTTTTCTCAAAAGTACACATCCAAACCCCTCCACCTGCCTTTAAGACCCTCCTGGAGTTGGATCCACATCAACAGCCAGCTTTCCCCCACTCCTTCTGCTCAGCACCCACATTCGCCAGGCCAGGCGCCTCCTGCAAGGGCCAGACACACGTGGATGTCTTGGCTCATTCTCGACCCCACTGTGGGAACCATGACTCTGCTCTTTCTTCTTCGTATGGTCTTTCTTCTTCTATATGGCCTTGGGTAAATTAACTGGAGAAACTAAGTTGCAGAGAATTGTATCTGCAAAATAGGCAAGCTCTGCAGGGTGACGAAAACACTGAAACAAGGTTCTATGCAAGCAGTGCAGGACTACCCAAGGGGCAGCAGGGCTCTGGAAGCCCTGGTCCCTTCTCTGAACTTGGCCACCCCACAGCCACAGAAATAGCCTTTTCCTCTCAACTTGTAAAAATCCCACCAATCTTATTCCTCCAAGAAGCCGTTCCTCCCTCACACTAAATCAAGCTCACACTGACCTCAGACTTCTCTAAGTTCTTGTTTTAGTCATGGTCAGTAAGGCATTTAACTTTCCTTTGGCAATTTCATGGGTGTTGACTTGTTCTTTGTTCATCAACTCACTCCCCATAGAGCCTGTGTCTGATATGTGGTGTGTCTCCCTGCAGACTCCAGTGGAGTGCCCTATGGAGGGGCCTCAGTCAAGCTGGGCTGAGGGGCTGGTTGAAGTGGGCCCGCTCTTGCATTGCTCTTTGGCTTTGTTTTTTTAAAGGGCCTAAGAAGTGTCTGCTAACCTCCAATAATTAACCTTCTGAAGTAAGAGAACTGGGGCTTATCCTAATATTCCTATGACTGGGGAAATCTATGATGATAACAGCTACTTCTTGACTCACTGCTCTTTTGCAAATTATAGGGAAATCACTTTCTAAGACACTTTAAAAAGAAACAAGAAAAATAAGTTCTGCTAGGTGGAATGTGCACTTTGACACCACAATTCAGCACCCAAAAGTAGACATGTAAGAGATGTTGATGTCTGCAGGTCTTGGCGGAGGATGTCAGAGGATAAATCATGAGCAAATAGGAGCTTTCTTGGAACTCTGTTGGATCAGCAGTTCACAGAGAGGGGGTTGCCCAGGGCTTCTACAGACTCTCCACAGACACCACATGAAGACCAGCCTCAGAGGGGCTGCCCGTGCCGGTGCCTAACAGGAGAAGAGTTAGGGAGGTAGAGGCAAGTGCAGAGTCCTCCTCTGCACCACACGTGTGAGGCTGAAGACTGGAAGTTGCACTGATTCTCTTGTGGACTGACCCTCATGGTTTAGGACACAGGTGGCAACCCAGGGCCCATGGACCGAGTGTGGTCAGCCATGCTTTGTTTCATCTTTTAGTTCAAATGTGTAGACATTGTTCAAACATTGCTAGATTTCTCATAAATACTCATACTTGACTTCTCTCAAAAGCTCGGCAGAGGTTAGGGCTTGGAAACACACTCAGGAGCCAGACGGCCTGGGGTGACATTCCAGGGCGACCAAACCCCAGATGTGCAATTTCAGGTGACTTCCTCAGGCTGTCTATGCTTGCCTTACAGACAGCATGAAGATCATAAAAATACTTACCTTACAGTGTCGCCGTGTCCAGCCAATGAATTCATATGCATAAAGGACGTAGAACAGGGCCTACGACATAAAAAGCCTCATCTATGTGTGAGCTACGATTTATTATATTTTTTTCTGACAAGGTAGATCAACATTCCTACTTGGGAAACATTTTTAAAGCCCCAGATTCTGCCTCCTTTAGATGAACCGTGTTCTTCCCTCCCCAACACGGTGTCTACCACTCCTGCCATACCCAGCCAGGGCCACCTATCAGCGTTTCTCTCCCAACCATTGTAGGCTATGGAATACGCTACCCCAAACGTTACAGGTAAGGCTGAAGGTGGCACCGTACAATGTGACTCTGGTGGGAATATCACACCAGGTATTGGTCAGCAACCCAGTGGGTTAAAGAACAAGGCGTGGTGGAAATGGAGGTGACAGGGGCAGTGACATGAACTAGTGCAGACACAGGCAGGGAGGAGGCAGAGCCTGGCAGAGAGAGAGGCAGGTGGTAGCAGAGGTCAGGGAGAAAGGCAACCTGAGCCTTTGCGATATCATCCCAGGCTGGGTAGAGAAGGCAGCAGGCGGTGGAAACGTAGGGGGCCAGTTCAGAGATCTGAGAATCAGGAAGAGGAGGCACCAAGAGAGAGAAGGGCCAGCCCACGGGCAACCCGGCACCAGGGAATGACGCACAAGGCCCACAACTCAGCCCCGAAGACACGTAGGAATAAATCAACAGGAGAAGGTCAGGCCCCAGTGTTTTGACCACTGATCACAGAGCAGGGACAGCCTGCCATCCCCCTGGTTTTATGGTCCCTCCTCCCGGGATAAGCTGGCCGAGAGCGAAGGCCAGAGGAGGCCACCACGCCGATACGGGCTGTGCGCTGGGGCCGCAGACTCAGGACTAAGGTTTATGAAGATTTATAAAAGCGTGCCTACCTAGCAGACACCACACAGATTAATTCAGGCATCTAAGCGATTTCTTAATCAGCCACAAGCAATTCCCAGGTCTGAAGCACTTATTTCTTCTGAAACACAGCAACAATTCCAGCCAATGCTTTTTTTTTTCTAAATGGAACAACGAGCAAATACAATTGCTATTCAAGTCCTGGGGCTAAATAGTGGTTACCAAAATAATTGACCCTACTTAGAGCACATAAGAAAGTCATAGAAATTGCAGGCGATTTTGTGTTCAGTGGAAAAGCAGGATTCCTATTCCCCCTGACTTTTGGTTTCACCCACACTCCATGAAGTTTCTAACTAGGTGAAGGAGGATAGTCTCTCCAATAAACCTTTTCTAATTGAAAATCATTACCAACCTGCTTTCTTCTAAGACAAACGGCTCTGGTGCTAAGATCTCCTGCCCCTTCTTCAATCATGTCTTTCTGCAGCGTCGCTGCCAGGGCCAGGTCAAAGGAGAACAACAATGGTGGATTTGACTTCAAGGACCCACTTACAATTCCCTCTCTGACAAAAATAACTTCTTTCATGGGGAATTTGAGAATCTGAAAATTGGCGAACCTTCTCTGTGGGAGACCAGCACAAAGCGAGGGCATCTCATGAAGGCCCTTTCTTCTAAGGGCCATAAAACCCAAGAAACACCTTTGGATGTTTCTGCCCCCACCTTAGAGCTGTTCTTTAGGCAATCACAAGAAAAGGACTTTGTCTCCGAGAACAAGGCATCTCTCCTTCCGTATCTATTGTATTTGGCCCCTGCACACACCTGTCAGGATGTTGACAATATTTCCAGTGAGGTGTTTTCCTAATGCATTCCCTCCCCTGGAAGGAACCCTCTCCTTGACATCTGTGACAGCCCCATAGGTGAATCATTTCGTGAAACAGGGCCTTCAACGTGAAGCTTTCACTCTGATCCTGACCTCACTTAATTGTCTATGTCTTCAAACGTCCAGGTTGCACTGGGGCCACAGTGGCACGTGAAGGCCCCCCGTGGGCAGCTGGGGCAGCAGGTTATTCTGCAAGCTGTGTACTTTCCACAAGTTCCTTTGCCTCCTGGGAACTAAATTCAAGATGGTGGTGAGCAATTCAAACCCCCAGACAATTTGGATCTTGGCAGCCTCAGCAGTGAGTTCTTTACCTGGTAATTTAATGGCAATTTTCTATCCCCTAGAGAAGCCTGGCTGTGGATGGAGGCACAAGTCTGTACCTAGCCCATGGCCAACCTGACTTGAGAGAAAATAGGCACTTCTGGTCACCTGCTGTCATCACCTTCTAGTCCACTGACTGTGTTGACTTCCCCCGGCCCCTGTGCCAGCTCACCTGTGTCCCCTGGAATTCCTAATGCTGAAATTCACCAGAGCCCTGTCCTTAGTGCTCTGGTGTCTACGCTCTTGGCCTTCTAATCCCATTTCAATGGGTTTAAATGCCATCTAAAGGCCAGTGACTTCCAAATCTCTCTCTCTAGCCCAGACATTTCTCCTGAATTCTAGGTTAATTTAGCCCATTGCCTACCCTCCATGGCCATTGGAATATCTAATTGATTTGCAAACTGAAGGTGTCCAACCTGAACCTGCTCCTCACACA
This sequence comes from Homo sapiens, assembly GCF_000001405.40. Taxonomy (NCBI): domain Eukaryota; kingdom Metazoa; phylum Chordata; class Mammalia; order Primates; family Hominidae; genus Homo; species Homo sapiens. The sequence continues at coordinate 76,155,650 of NC_000018.10, forward strand.
GACTTTCCTAAGTTGAAAGAAATTCAATTATTTAAGTTGCACAGGGAAAAAAATAATAACCTGTGCATAATCTTTGGCTCCTGTCTTTCTCTTGCCCTTCCTTAAATCCACAAACAAATCAGGTTGACTCTGTTTCAATGTGTATCCAAGGATCCAATCCCATCTCACCATCTACCCTTCCAACACCCTGGGTGCATCTCCAGCCCTCTCTCTGGGCTTGCTGCTGTTGCCTTCTCACTGCCTTCCCTGCTTGCATGTTCATCCCCATCCCCAGTCTAGATTCAGCACAATAGGTGGTTAAAGCGACCCTTTTAATACCTATTTCGCTCCACAGCTCTACTCCACTCAAAACCTTCCAATGGCTTCCCATTTCATTCAGGAAAAAAAAAAACAAATAATCCAAAATCTTCACAATGACAAAAAAAAAAAGAAAAGAAAAAGAAAAACCCTGCTTGCTATGAACTCCCATCACTTTCTAGGCCATCTTCCGTCCCTCTGCCCTCTCTCCCCGAGCTCCCTCCACACCAGGATCCTTGGGTCCTAGGACACATCAAGGACACTCCTGCTGGGGCGTCTGGGCTGGCTCTTTCTGCTGCCTGGAAGGCCCCTCCTTTCTCTATCCCCAGCTAGATACTCATGTGCTCACCTCCCTTTCCTCCGTCAAGTTTCTCTGCATCAGTTAGCACCTCACAGAGACCTCTACGACCATCCTACTGTCAACGTGCTGTCACACTCCTCAGCCCCTTTCCTGACTCAATTTCCTATCTCCATTGACCCAACACCTTCTGGCACTCTACAGCATATGTATTTATGGCCTTTATTATTCACCAACTGTCTCCCTTAGCGAGAATCCAAGTGCCCCATGTCCTTCTCATGTGGGATACATCCCAAGCACCCAGAAGATGTGATACCAAGTGGGTGGTTACCAGAGGTTTGTTAACTGAGTTAACATTTTTCATTCTTTTTTCACTTGTAAGTTCAGGTAAACTTGTGTTCTAGGGGTTTGTTGCACAGATTATTTGGTCACCCAGATGTTAAGCCTAGAACCCATTCATTACTTTCCTAATTTCTTAATTTCTTGCTTATGCCTACCACACTGCTAAAAATGAACTCGATGGTTTGTGTCCAAAGCCTCACTTCAATATTTTCAAAAGTATGACTTCTGTTGTTTATTTTGTAACAAGAGGATGGGAGGCAGTTTATTCGTGTCAGAGAGGATAGGCCCCAGTGTGTGTTGTTCCCCTCTTTGTGTCCATGTGTTTTCATCATTGAGCTCCCACTTATAGGTAAGAACATGCAGTATTTGGTTTTCTGTTCCTGCATTAGTTTGCTAAGGATAATAGCTTCTAGCTCCATTCATGTCCATGCAAAGGACATGATCTTGTTCTTCTTTATGGCTGCATAGTATTCCATGGTATATATATACCACATTTTCTTTATCATTCTTTACAAGTTCACTTCTCCTTCCACCTTGGTCTGTGAGTCCTGTGAGGAAAGAAAGGGGTCTTAAACTGTGTCTCTGCCTTTAGTAAAGGGTGTAGTTCAGAGCAGGCAGTCAGAGTTTGATAAACAAGTGAACAAATAAACAAAGAAACTAACATGCATATGCTATCTCCAGCACTGATATCATCCTCTTCTTCTCTTGCATAAACTATTCTGCCCCTCATCCTCTCATTTCAAAAGAACAACAGAAGTCATACATTTTTCAAATATTGAACTGAGGTTTTGGACACAAACATTGAATCCGTTTTTAGTACAGTGATAAGTACGAGCAGGGAATGAAAAATAGACCACTACACTGGAGTTCTACCATAGGGTCTTACTTTTTGGTGGTTTGCTATTTTGCAATGTGTTATGTGTTTTGGGCTGAACTGTGTCTCCCTCAAAATTCATATGTTGATGTCCTAATTCCTGCTACCTCAGAACACAATTGTATTCGGAGATAGGGCCTTCAAAGATATAAGTTAAAATGGGCCCACTTCAAGAGAAACCAACACTACTGACGCCTTGACCTCAGACTTCCAGCCTCTTAAACTGAGAGAGAATAAATTTCTGTTGTATAGGCCACCTAGTCTATGGTATTTGGTTATGACAGCCCTGGCAAATGATACACAGTGGTGATCCCAGCAGAGCATGAGATTTCAAAAATCACACCTTCAATTATTGATTGTTCAGAAATCAGAAGGGTTCCCTTTTGCCTTTCTGGTGATACCGTCATGAAGAAGACAGATTCATGCTAATAAAGGACATCCCATCATGCCAAACCCTGGTAAAAGTTCCAAACACAGAGGCTATTTCCATTCTATAGCAGATCATTTGTTTCAGTCACCATTTCTACCATAAAATGGTTTTATCATAAATGGCCATTTCTCCTCATAATTAATCATTAGATAATATTTTGTACTGTACTGAGTTCTAAATTTTATTTATTTATTCTTTCATTCATTACTTATTTACTTTTCATAGAGAAGCCTAGCACACTTTTTGAGTTAAATTCCTGACCTTTATATGACCCTTGCCAACTATTCAAACACAAGAGGCAATTTTAAAAAAATTGTTATGAATCAATTTAACAGAAATCCAAAAATTCTCTTCTTTCTTCGTCCTAGCCACTGAAGAAATACCAGAATGACATATAAATTGAAAATCATTTCCCACTTGCAAGCATATCTTAAATTGATATGGCCAAGAATATTCCTTGTAATTGTTAAATTAGTTTAGATATTCTTGATGTATTGTTCTTTGCATGAAAATCACCCATCATTCTTCTTTGGCTATTTGCCTTTTTTGCAGGAAGAGAGAAAGTTCCACAGGACACTCCAAAGAACGTCTTCAGCAGATGCGGTCTAAAGCATCTCACCACTTTCTGGCTGGTCTCACAACTCAGGTTTCCTCTTACTGCAGCAAACACTTCACACCCAAAGCACAACATTAAGATTTGCTACTGGAGTCTTAAAGTACCGGAGAGAGAATGAATTTTCCTTAAAGGAAAATCAAGATAAATAATTATGCTTTTTGTGGGTAGACCTCCTACAAAACCTCCTCAAAGGCCCAATATCTGCAGCTTCCCCCACTGGCAGGCACGCAGGTATATGAAGCAGCGTTGACTAAATGTCAAGGCAACCCGCAAACATTGTAAAAACCTAATAAATCATCTCCTGATTAATTTTAGCTGAGAGCACTGAATCATATTAGGCTCAACTTAAATGTTAGAAGGAAACTAGAATCATTCGAAAGAAACCCAGCTCTACAGATTGTTTCCCATTTAAAAACTATGTTATCAAAGACTGCATTCTAAATACCTTTTTTCATGGCTGCATCAGTTCAATAAATGCTAACCAATCTCAAGTGGTCTGCTGCCATACTCCGTGACATAAGGGTTAAAACAGAAAAGTCACATTTCCAAAATTCTCTGTTTGTTAAGCTTATCTAAAGAGTATCTATTATTTTTTGAAATAGGCCATGGGTTTATATTTTTTAAGCAATTTGATTCTGAGAGATTTTTATTTATTGAATTAAATGAAGTTTACATCAAATGTTTCATGCAAGTCATAATTAAATTTGTTTCCTCTTTTGTACTCCAAAGCACTTTTGCATGAGCTATTAGTATCTTAGTCGTGTATCTTTATGGGGGATGTTTGGTTATCAAACCCCAGTGGGACCAGAGCAGTGTTTTACAAGCCAACAATGCCTCTGATTGGCACCTCTACCACACCATTGTCAAATGTTTAGAATTTCATCCCTGTATATACACACACAATACATATAATATAATTACTTCTTTCTTACAAGGAATTTTATTTATTGAATTGCAATTTCATTGTCTACCTCAAAGAGCATATTTGTGTTTGTTGGATTCATTTACTCATAGAACTAGACTTCTCATGGATGGTCTGGCAGCCAGCAGTAGTTTTCTGGCTACAATGCTAGACATGTCACATCTCCAGATGAGGGGTATAAGAATTATGCCAAAGGGTACCATCTCCACACTCTGTACTGAGATAGATTATGCTCTAGGCCATTAGGTAATGGTATGGCAGAGTTCTTTTGTGAACTGGGAACCCTAGTGAAAGCAGAGTTATCAAGTATATCAAATTAAAAAGTAGTATTTTTACTCAAACCAGGTGAGTTTGGGCAGAAAGGCCTTGATAGCAAGTGGACCAAGCTTCATTATGGAATTAAAGATGAGCAAAGAATCTACGATGTTTTCACATCCTCTTGGCCTTCTAACACTCAAGAGTAATTTAACCAAAGGAGTTTCCAAATCCTGAGGGATATTCTTGCAATTAAGGAGGTAGGGGAGGAATGGACACCTAATTTTGACATCTAATTACTTGGGGCATGAGGACACACTGTGAAACCCATACTGTATGCCTCTGGGGAAAGGGGGTTATTTCACTGTAAATAATAAGTTTATGGTTTCCTGCAAAGCAACCCTGAAAGTGCCAACTAACTAAATTTTCATGCTTACTTCAAAAACTAATGCTGCCCCATTTCTTTTCTTTTTCATAGACTTTTTTCTATTACCCTGATTCTTCATAATATAATATAAGTATGGATATATATTTACATGTAGTTCAAGAAGAATTGTAAACATCCTTTGTATTAATTACATATTTAATGGTATTCTTAGAGTCTGTGAATCCCTGCCTAGATTCTTAGTTTTTTTTTAATTGGATTTCACTGGCAATCTACCCGTTCTTTAATTCAAATCCCATCTCTTCTCCACACCCAACCACATAGGCTCTAGCATTATCGTGTAAATGTTAGACATTTTTCTTAAGCACAGTTCTAAAGGGCTTCAGTAGAATCACACTGTCCAGATTGCATAGTTCTGGTAAGCAATGTTCACCTTCAAACAGGAAGAAGTCCCCGAAGTTTAAAGTTTATCAAGTCAGGGTAGAAGTTATTGCTTCATAAAAGCAGAATAGAACTGTCATTATCAATGGAGCATTTCACTCAGGTTTAATTATAGAGCAATAATTCAAATGTTTATTTGAAGAAAAAGATGGATAATAGTAAACTTTATAATCCACTAGCTGTTAAAATCTAATTGTCATTTGACTGTCTTGCCTTATAGTACCTATTGTGATGGAATTTTTATGAATATTGCCAAAATAGTTCAAAATAAAATGTAGAACTCCATTAGATTATCCAAGTGATCTTTTATTGGAAATTGTGAGCAGAGCAAAAGTGACTTGTTATTATAGTGTTTACGAAAGAGGAAAAATAGTTATTAACAATTGATGTTCATTCAGCCCTTATACTGTGCCTAGCACTGTTCTAAAACACTTGAAATTTATTATTTCGTTAAACCCTCTTAAGAATCATATAAGGTGGGTGTTCTTTTTATTCCCTTTTCATAGTTAATGAGAAAAGGAACAGAACAGATATAACTTGCCCAAGCTCACATAGCAGGAAAGTGATGGGAAAATGACTTAGACTCAGGCTGTTTAATCCCATATCCTGCATTCCAACCACTGCATGACATTTCATCAGAAACCACCTGAGCACAGGAGGCACTGCCTGTGAGCCTGTGCTGAGATCTGGAAGCCAGCAATCCTCGTTTTCCTTTCTCTGACTCCAAATCAGGTACTTCAGGATAGGTTCTTCCAACCAGTAGTGGAAGGGAGAAAAAAACTTTCTCCTTGGTAAAACAATATACAATATGTTTTATCTCTCAAAAATATTGCTCTCTAACAGCAAAGTAGATTCAAAAATAAGAGTTTGCATAAGTAGTATATAAAACAATGAGGATTCTACATCATGTCATTTCTTTTTATTAATTTATTAATTATATGTTTTGTTTTTATGAGAATGTTTTAATGAGAACTCTGGACATGGTAGAAACAGAGGCTACTTTTTTGAGTAGCAGTGACTTGATCAATTAGTTTGTGATATTGACAAAGAAATAAGATGACATTATTAAATATACGTTGGCCAATGAAAGTGTAGTCATAATATAGAAATTGGGGGAGCAAGGCTTTAACCATACAATTTATAGGAGCACCTTGATAGCATTGATCTTTTATACTTATACTGAATTAATATTATTCTAGTCTCAGACAATAAGCCAGAGTGCTCAAAGTTTCTCAGAACAGTTTAGAAGCATGCTTTAGTTAACCTGCATTGGCCATTGGTTATGGTTATCAGCAAATGGACAGAGAATGACTAAGTCATAGATTACCTTTCAAAGAGTCAAATCTGCGAGTTCCACCCTAAATCAGCACCAAGGGATGCCAGAACAAAAGCATTAATATCGATACTTTGTGCCCACAAACATCAAGTATTCATTGACGATACACACTGCATGCCAATAACCTCTACAAGTATTTACTGATTTAATGTTCACATCAGTCCTGCAAGGAAGATACCACTACCCCCCACTGTGCAGATTTATACATGCCTTTATTCAACAACTTTTCCTTCCTTCACAAGCGTCATGCAGTTATGTCACTTGTGCAGGGTCACACAGTTCTGTAGGCAGCATACTTCTTTAAACCCAGTCATTGTGACTCTCCAACTAGCACTATTTCTGGTACATGTGTGGTTTCTAGATTTTGCATAGCCCAGACCCCATGGTCTCAGTTACAGAAACAAAGAACTTCCTTCTATTGGCTCCTTAACTCCAATAGAAGGAGGTGTATTTGTTCATTCCCATACTACTATAAAGAACTACCTGAGACTGGGTAATTTATTAAGAAAAGAGGTTTAATGGACTCACAGTTCAGCAGGCTGTACAGGAAACATGGCTGGGAGGCCTCAGGAAACTTACAATCGTGGCAGAAGGATGAATAGGAATAAGTCACCTTCTTCACATGGTGGCAGGAGAGAGAAAGAGAGCAAAAGTAGAGGTGCCACACTCTTTTAAACAACCAGATCTCGTGAGAACTCACCTGCTATAACCAGAACAGCAAGAAAGAAATCCATCCCCATGATCTGATCACCTCCCACTAGGTCCCTCCTCAACACTGGGGATTACAATTCAACATGAAATGTGGGGGGGACACAGAGCCAAACCATGTCAGGAGGCATAGATGAATAATTAGCAGACAGGAAGTGTGTACAATGTCCTTCAGCACACAAGCCATGACACAGTAGGATGGCTTGTCCATACTTCTCCATCCGTAACTTCTAGGTGTCCCTTGGTGACTTCCCTGCATTCACCTGCTCCTTGCTTGAAGGAAGTACCCCAGGCTCACGGACAGAAGTGCATCACACTCAGGGAGGGTCCAGCAGACCACTGAGAGCAACGGTGCTGAGCAGCCACTCATTCTTTCATTGAACAGATTTCACTGAGTCCTGTATGGGTTGGGATGAGCAAGACTCTGCTGTCAAAACTAAGCCCTTACAAACCTTCAGGGGTTTAAATAAAGTGGAGGTTTGTTTTTTGCTTGTGTCACAGTCCAGCACGACTCAGGCAGCTCCCATTGCAATCTCCTTCCATCCTCTCCACTTGCGGTCCTGCCGCCTCACCTACCTGGCCTCCGTGATCGCAGTGGAAAGGTGGACAGAGGAGGAGAGTGGAGCAGAGGTTTCTCTGGCCAAGCTAGAAGTAGTGTGTGTAACTTCTACCCACACTCCATTGACTAAAGCTGATAACCTAGTCCCAACCTAACTACAAATGCACCGAGAAAATGTATTCCTCCTATGTTCTCTAAATGGGAAACCTATCTGATGAGCGTGTGGTCCATCCCTGTGATACATGTCTACCGCCTGACTGCAGTGTAACTGGGAATATTATAGCCCCTACATCCAGGCCCCTATAGCCTACAGGGAAGTCAAGCAGTGACAGGCAGTGACAGCTCAGTACAATAAATGCTCTTATGAGAAAGGTGTTTTAGGGGCAACTCCACCAGACCTTGAGGGTCCAGGAAGGCTTTCTGGAGGAAGAGATATTTATCTAGAGACCCAAAACATAAAGAGGAGTTAGCAAGGCCAGCGAGAAGGAAAGATTTTCCAAGGAGAAGAAAGCGCCTGTAGCCAAGGTCGGAAATGAGAACACCTGGGTGGTGCTCACAACCAAGAAAATGTCAGTGTGGCTTGAGCACAGCCCCGGGGAGAGTTTTACAAGATACTGGCAGAGCCGTGATTGATGTGAGATGCTAGTGGAAGCATTTAAAATTATTTACATGGGCCTGCAAAGTGTTAGTCTTCAGTACCAGAACTGTAGACACTGCATATGTACAATTGGATCAAGGGTCCTTTGTTTAATTAGATCTGAAGCTCCTCATATATTTTTCCTTTGAATAAAAGTCCATTTTTAGCTTCAAGTGCAATGGTTCCTTCCATGCAATTTCAAACTTCCTTGTAAAATACTTTGGAAAAATGTGTTGACAATTTCCTCTTCTGATGATATGACCGTCTGGGACTCTGATCTCAAGTGTGACAAATCGGCCCACTCTGATGAGACTTGAGCATGGTTTCCTGATGGTTATGGATGAAGGAGCTGTAGCTCACACGCAAAGCAGTTTCCAGCCACAGCTCTGCACTTTGTTCTCTGAAGGAACAAAGGATGGCCCCAACAGCTTTGGATCAACTCTGCAAAGCTACTGGTAAAGGCTTCAGCAATGTAATAATTTTACTTGTGAAATCAATATATATGAATATTTGATTTGCTTTGCTTCTGCAAATGTACCGTCAAGAACTTCATGTTCTCCAGTTGGGTGGGCCACAGTGAAGCACGTCTTTGAGCCCCACAATCAGTCAGTGGCTCAATGTATTTGTCAATGCCCTCAATGTTGTTTCTCTCAAGATATGACAAAGGCCCCTGAGCACACATCCATCAGGAAACAGGTTGACCAACATCAAACTCTTCAATATAACCCCAACAGCCAAGTTAAAGGTAGCATTTACTCCCACTCCTAAGTGAAGCTGCCTTTACATGGGTACCAGAAGCATCTGAAGGCGGGGCTTCACTGCTCACTGGCTGCTGTTTTCCGAGTGAAAGGACCCATCCTCACCAATAAAAGTGAGCTGGCAATGAGCACAATTTCAAACTGGCCTTAATTGTCCCTGTATTCACTTCTATGAGGGTCAGTGGAAACCCCAAGACAAGCTGGAAAGGGCCCTCCCAGAAGGTTACCTGCTTCCAGAGGCACACACCTCCTGGGATGTTTCTAAGCTGATCATTTCTTCCTAAGCCATGTCATCCTAGGGTCAAATATGGGCACTTAGTAGGACTAAGAGGAAAGAATTCCTCAAGGTTTCTCATAATTCATCTATGGGAGGATCCCAGGCTGTGCTCAAGAACAAATGTTTTCTACATTTTAAAATAAAGACTGTAATTGGATTGTCTGTAACTCAGAGGATAAATGCTGGAGGGGATAGATACCCCACTATCCATGATGCGCTTATTTCACTTTGCATGCCTGTATCAAAATATCTCATGTACTGGCCAGGCACAATGGCTCACACCTGTAATCCCAGCACTTCGGGAGGCTGAGGCAGGCAGATTACTTGAGGTCAGGAGTTCAAGACCAGCCTGGCCAACATGGTGAAACCCCAACTCTACTAAAAATACATAAATTAGCCAGGTGTGGTGGCCAGTGCCTGTAATCTCAGCTACTCGGGAGGCTGAGGCAGGAGAATCGCTTGAACCCCAGAGGCGGAGGTTGCAGTGAGCCGACATGGCATTCCAGCCTGGGTGACAGAGGGACACTTGGTTTAAAAAAAAAAAAAGACAAGAAAAAGAAAAACAAACAACAAAAAAATCTCGTGTACCCCATAAATATATACACATACTATGTATGCACAGAAATTTTAAAAATAATAATAATAAATAATAACTGTTTTCAAGATTCATCCATTTCCAAGAATTCTGCAGCTTTGAAATCTGTGGAGGTGTCTTGCAGTGCTCTCAATAGCCACCGTGAACCTGTCTTCCTCTGGGCATCATAATTTCCCCCAGGACTCAGCCCTGCCCTCCTCAGCTCTGTGTCACGGAGCCCCACTGCTGGTGGCTGGGCTGTCACCACAGGAGCTGTGGGGAAGGCTCATCCCTTGTCCCTTGGATCTAAGTGGCTAAGAAACACTGGTTCCCTGACTCTCAATGGGTTGGAGCCATGCTGTGTTCCAAGTGGGAGCTGGGAGAATGCCTCTGCCTCATTTGTAACATGGTGTGATATGATTAGGCTGTGTCCCCACCTAAATCTCATCTTGAATTGTAGCTCCCATCACGCCCACATGTCATGGGAGGGACTTGGCGGGAGGTAATTGAATCATGGGGGGCGGGTCTTTCCCATGTTGTTCTCGTGATAGTGAATAAGTCTTATGAGATCTGATGGTCTTATAAAGAGCAGTTCCCCTGCACATGCTCTCTTGCCTGCCGCCCTGTAAGACACGCCTTTGCTTCTCCTTCACCTTCTGCCATGATTGTAAGGCCTCCTCAGCCATGTGCAGCTGTGAGTCCATTAAACCTCTTTTTTCCTTATAAATTACCCAGTCTTGGGTATGTCTTTATTAGCAGTGTGAGAATAGACTAATACATGGTGTCAAAAAATTCTTCCCCTCAGGTAAATTATTACATCTTACACATTCTTGCACTTAAAAGCATTTTAATGTAAGTAACTTTCTTGAATTTTATTAGAAGGATCCTACCCTACTTCAAGCTCAGAAACAAGTGCATGGAAGATGGCAGATAAACCCGAGTCACAGACACACATCTGTGTTCAAATGCTATCTTGCGTCTGATGACACCAATCCAATGTATGTACCTGACTCCTCCTTCGGAAAGCGTTGGGATGGACCATAAGCCAGCCATCCTGCTGTGTAGTTATATTGAAATCCAACGTGGAAAACTGCGCAGATTCCCTCACATAAAAACATGTCAGTTTCCTGAATCTTAGGTCTACACTGGCACTCTATCTCCTTAGGCAATCAGAAACTTAGGACTGAAGCTGGATTTCTCAGATCCAGCTTTAAAGCATATTCCACCATCTAGAAAGGGTAATTACTTCACAGCAGTCGATGGTAACACCATAAGAGCAAAAGGAAAATGCAGAAAGCAAACTCAGTATCCAGCTTCACTGATAAGTCTTATGGGAAAGAGTCTTCCAGACTGAAGATGATAGCTCATATGCAAGTTATCGCAAGGTACAACTCTTCGCAGCAATTAGCAGGACAGTGGGTGACTCCAAGTTCAGCCTCTCTTGGCCAGAGCCCACAGAGGAAGTCTGTGTTTCAGCATCTGTTTCCTTTGCCTTTTTTCCCCCTCTTCATCTGAGCCTCCTTCCTTCCCCACAGATGTCCACCCTCAGTAGGAATCAGCAAACAACCTGTAGTAGGTATTTGTCTCTAGGGGCGCTGACACTTTTTGCTGAATTCAATTTTACTTTAACTTACTGCCTTAACTTAATGTGTATTTTAATTTTTTCTTTTTATTTCTGTGGAATGAAACAAATTTCTTTTTCTGCTATCAGTAAAAGAAATGCTAGGAATCTGTAAATAAGTAGATAAATATTTGTTGGGAAATGAATTCCTGCAGTAAGTTTGGATTTCTTTTGAGGGAAGCTAATGGTCTTGCATTTCAGGACCAGCAGACATGGGTTCAGGTCTCAGCTCTCATTAGCTGTGTGCCCTAAACCTCTTGCGTCTGTCCCCCTACATAGAACACTGTGGCTCACACTGAAATTATGTGATTGTTGAGACAATGCAATGAGATAATGTGTTTGATGCTTACAAAGTACTTAAATGTTATTTGCCTCTCTGGAGGACTCAAAAGGACACCAGTCCTGAAGTGAATATTTGAAAGCGATTTTGGGGGGAGTTGTAAAATGAACCAGCTCTGCACAACCTCACCCCAGGTCAGATGAGCAGGAAGAAGGCTACGTCCAGGGCTCCAGGAAGGCGACGTCCAGGGCTTGCTGAGGGTGGCAGAATTGATGAGCTTCTCATTGGCTTTTCTCCAGTTTCAACAGTGTGCTCATGTCTAAGCACAGCTCCAGGGCAGGACAGTTCCAGTGACGGCCTCTCTGTGACCCCTCTCCATACCTGAGCACAGGTTAGAGCTTCCAGCCACAGGCGCCCTCCCGTGCACACATCTGGACCTGACAGCAGGCTGGCCCTCTGTTAGTGGTTTCCTCATGAGTTTTCAAGTCTCTGTCCTTGGCTCCAACCCTTAATTAATAGGTTTGACTGTGTCTCTCTGCTTTCTATGTTATTTTTACTTCTGTAATAACGACTTCAAAAAAGTCATGACTCATTAGAATGCGGTGGTTTCATTAAAAGAAGCATTGCTATATTTTCAATGTGCATTTACACCAACTGATCTAAATGGAGTTTAGTGTTAGATGAAAGGGAGGAAGCCATGGCTGGAAAACAACCAAAGAGGAAAAATGACTGCCAGATTGGGTTTCTTTCACTAGCGAGGGAGGAGAGTTGCACATGACTGGAGTTGCCTTTTACATTTCTTTTCTTAGATTTATATGGTGCTTCTACTTCAAAGAGCTCCATTCAAGTGCCCACGTCCTAAACATCTTTTAAAACAGAACAGACATAAGTGAGCTGAGGTGTAGCCCTGCGGAAAGGAAAGAAAATGGTCTAAATTGGCTGTGCAAGTTGGCCTGGGTCTGTGTGCCTGCTTCTAAGGGAAGCCATCAGCAGATGCAGGAGACGAACCTTCCAGAGTATTTGTTTAAGTTTCTTTACCTTATCTATTTGGGGAGTGGAAAAAGAAGCCATGTTTGAGGCCGGGGAGAACGGCAGTTTGACCAACGAGCTGATAAACAGCTGAGAGCTGTTTAAAGATGGCCGACTGCCCCAAAGTGCTGTGGAGCCCGGGACCGTGGCAAGGACTGCCTGCTCTTCTCTGCTGTGACTTTTGCGACAAGCAAAGATATGAACTCACTAAGAAAAACTTGACTGAAGGCCAAGTATGACCCAGGAACTAGAATAAGAGACATGCAAGTGGCAAAGATTCTCTTTCAAGAAGTCAAATGGGAAGGTCCCTCTTTAAAAATCAAGCAGCTTAGTGCCTCCCCCACACCCTACTCCAAACCCCTCAGCGGAATGCAAGTAAAACCCCTTAGAATGGAGTGTGGTTTGAATGTGTAACATCGCAGCATTAGACCCATCTCAGCGAATCTGAGTGTGACAAGGTAAACAGTAAATGCTTATTCATTTGACAAACACTTATTAGTTGTCACCTTCTATGTACCAGGGATTAAAAAAAGGTCCCTTCCCTGAAAACAAAACAAAACAAAAAACAACCAACCAACAAACAAAAGCAGCCAAACAGCAATAACAACTCACAGTTTCTGGCCTTAGTCGCAGCAAATTAGAACCCATTATGATGGGTGCCACGCTGGTTTTCTGCACGAGCAGCAACAGGAAAAGTGGAGAGACGAACAGGCAGCGCATCTTTCCTGTGGACGTCGTGCTGGGGAGGCGAGCAGGGGCCCGTCCATCAGAGTCAGATGCACTGGGACATATGTATGATGACGGATTTATTCTAGGGCTGCGACCTTATGCAGTTGTGAGCACTGCTTATGCTGTGTATGAAGCTGTGGCTCCTCATGCGCCTGAGGTCACAGGAAAGACAGCCAGAGGTGGGAGAGCAAGGACAAGGTGGGGCCGCAGGGACGGGAGAACCTGCAGCAGTGGACTGGGGCCTTCGTGGTCTTTCATGCCTCCTGGCCCCTGACCACATGGGATATGTGATCTGAAGGGGATGTTGGCCTCCTTTCCCCCACGCATGCACCTAGCTGAGCAGTGGGATCCGAAGGGGACGCTGGCCTCCTTTCCCCCAAGCATGCACCTAGCTAAGCAGCAGGAAAAGCTGCAGAGGAGCGTGTCAGGGAAGAGGGACTGGGACGCCTGCTGCCGACACAGGAGCATGGTGAGCAGCAGGTCTGCTGTACCGCAGACACAGCAACCGCGCCACTGCCACTCTCCAAACACCGCACACACGCCTCTTTGGGCCCTGCTTTCTTGGAAAGATGCAGCCAAGGGGATTCCAGGAAGAGTCCTCCCAGCTTATCTGAGGTGACCCAGTCCAAATGGACCACATCAAGCACAAGGGCCCAATATGCTGACCTGCTCACAGCACAGGGTGTGGGATCCCCAGGTGGGTGGGACCAGGTCCAGCCTCCTGCGGGCACAAAGCCTGCACTCTGGAGCTGTGCTGCATGTGCCCAGGTGGAGGGAGGCCTGTTTCCAGGGCACTCACAGGCCCTTCAGGGGCTAAATGCATGCTACAGGCAGAGATGGCTACCCTGAAGAATTTGTGGGATCATTGCTTCAAAGCAGAGGGAGCACGTGCTGGAAGACACCCCTTCAGGGTAAGGCCAATGAAAAAGGAAGTCCTTTGGACACTGTCCAGTAGGCGTCGCTAGTTTGCGCACACCTGCATTATAGAAAAGTGACTTTAAAATGTTTCTGTAACTTGGTTTCGTTTATTTCCACAAGATTTTTAATACCTAACTGCCCTAAAATCAATTGCAGAAACACTCTTCCAGATATCCAGTGGGCAATTTATATGAGCAGAAATAATTTACATTAAAAAAAACCATTTCTGTTTTCAGAAAATGAGACTGGATACTTTTCAAAGAAAGGGCACTGCAATTACAAGCTCCTTAAAGGCAGGACTCTGTTTCTGACACTAGGATTTCTCCTGCTTATTAGAATCACCTGAGGAGACCAATTAAAGCAGAATATCTGGGGGTGGAGGGAGGGGTGGAGCCTCTGGGGTGGAACCTGGGCATCTGCATTTTCTAAGGTCTTCCTGCTGATTCCAAAGTGCAGCCACCAGACAGCACATTTTAGTTGAATCAAATCGAGGCGTCAGAATGTCTTAGACAAACTGAAAATGCCAACTGAAGATTTAGTTATTGCACAGTTTTGCCCTTTTGTTCCAGCACTACTAGCCTACAGTTCTGCCAGTCAAAGGTCCAGATCGTAAAGATTTACTTACAAAGGGTAATCATAACAGTAATAAAAACAACAAGATAAGGCCAGGTATGGTGGCTCACACCTGTAACGTCGGCACTTTAGGAAGTCAAGGTGGGAGGATCACTTGAGGCCAGGAGTTCAAGACCAACCTGGGCAGCATAGCTAGATCCTAAAAAAATAAAAAATAAAAAATAAAGAAAAATTAAGGCAAGTTGGATTAAGCCCTATTTAAACCCACATGACCTCAGTGTTTCAAAGTAATCAGAAGTATGTAATTTACTCCCTCTCATCTGTGCCCTTTAACCTAACCTGTTAAATTCCTGCCTCCTAAAAAGATAGTCAAGGACCATAACGGATTGCAGGAAATCTCACTGTAGGTGAACGAAGTCTATTTCCTTCATCCTTCACTGTGAACCTCTCACTCTTAAAACCAACAAAATGCCCAGGCTCTGAGGAGACCAGCTTCAGTACGAGTGAAGAACAAAAGCTATGAATTTCAAATCCTAGCTTCTTCAATAACTTAACTCAGCCAATAAGCATCATGTAAAATTGATTCCTAATAAGGAAATGAATAAACACTACTTATTAGCTTTGGTACATATATAGATGTGGAGAAATTATGGCCTAATCATGACTTCTGTGCCTTCTCCTCCATATTCTTCACTGCAGAGAACGCTACCCACATGGCAGTTGAACAGCCTGCCTCTAACAGAGCCCACCAGTGACCCGCCTCTGCCTCCTCTCCCACAGCAGCAAAGGGACAGCTCCACTAGGCACCAGCTCTGTGATCTTTACAGATAGGTTTCCATGTCCTGTCTGTAAAATGGGACTAAAACTAGTGCTTCCATCACTGTATTGTGAAAATTAAATGAGATCATCCCTGTTGAGTCCTAACACACAGCATTAAAATGGCAGCTGACACTTTTATTTGCAATGTTGTCTATGAATTTCATGTTGCTCCAGCACACACTTGCAGGCAGACGCTATTTCACACTTCTTATTTTTTGCATCCTCCCTGCAGCTACCAAAGAGCTGTTTGGTAAATCTTCATTGCACTGAATTGGCACTGAATTTTTAACTAACTAGAGATTATTGTTTTAAATAATATATCATTTTATTTTCTAAGGGATTCAAACATTCTCCTTTCAAATAGTTTAATCAAGTGTCAGAATTTTTTGTTATTTTTATAAGTTACTTTGTAGAATTATTAATAATACAGTACAGAAAGAATTAGTACATATCATCCCTGTTGCTTAACCTTCAGTTAAAACATTTTTGGTTTAATAAAGACTGGGAATAGTAAAGAAAGCCTGCAGTTTAATGGGGATTCTGGTCTAATGAGAGTCCTGAGCATGCATCTGTTGACCTCAGTGCTCAGACACAGCAGAAAATGGATGAATCCCCAAAGTCAAGATGTTAAGGCAAAGTCGGGAAGAGTAAAGAGAAAAGAGAGAGAGGTTTCTACTGCTTATGGAAATAAACAATGCCTAAAAAGTGAATTAAAGCTTGTTGTCAATGGCTTCTTCTCCCCAGGGATGGATATGTGTATAATAAAGATTTCCAGAAACATCAACCCATACGGCTTGGTAAGCATGTTCTGAATAGTCTACTTTAAATTCTAGTAGGAATAGACAAAAGTGATTTAAACTTTTACGCTCCTGTTGTAAATGGGTGTTTCATTTTCTGTGTAAGGTCATATGATTTTTCTAGATTTACAGGTGTATCAAAAGGCAACAGTAAAAATTTATTAGTAAGATGTCTGGGCTGAGGTTTAAAATGTTAAGAAAGTTAAAAATGTTGAAGTGTCAGCCTTCTGCCTTTGCCTGAATATAGTCATTTCTCTTACAACATACGCTTTCATCAGGCAAATTGGATATAATTGATCTAATAATTAGGGAACACAATTTGAATTATTGCAGCCCTTTATCGATTATGAAGAACCCGTACCTAGTGCCCGGCTGAGGGAAAAGACATTCCAGGCTGACGGAAGCTTTGTTGGAATGGCCAGTGCTTTGTTTGAGGCAGGCAAAAAGCTGTGAAAAGCACTGGGTTCACGAGAGTTAGGAAAAGCCTCAGGTCTTGAGTTATGAACTAAAATGAGAGCTGGGAAAAAGATGTAAAAAGCATTGTTCCTAAGAGTTAGGGGGAAAAAGTACATTCATTGTGTGCAATGATTTTATTTAAAATCTACTCTAAATATTTAGAGATATTTATGTTTTACAGAGTCACACTTATAGCTTTCGAAGGGACAAAAAAACCTTTTTTATTGAAATTCCTGTAGAATAAACCAATTTGTTGTATAGAGTTTGAAATTCATTGTGGCAAAACCTCTTTCCAATAGGAATACATTTCATGTAGGAATTGTACAGGGTTTTCCAAAGAAAGGCAACTAACCAGCTACAAAAGCAAAAATTTTTGAAATAACAGATTTTACTGTTCTTTATTGAGTTTGATTCAACAGGCCAAACATTTCCCACAGAAACAGGAGTTTGTGGTTTTTCAAAGCATTTGGCCTTAGCATCTATTTCCTTGACTTGGCCAATATCGGGCAAAAATCTTAATCTGCAGAATGTAATGCCCCAGACCCTCCAAAAACTAGCCATTTTGTCTCATAGACAACCGAGTTTAAACATCCTTCTGAGTTTAAACATCAAGACACGCGCATGAGTCGGAAGGAGACAAGGATCGCCCCTTCATGTGCCTGGTGTGCACCAGCTTCTCTGGGTGACCGCAGTATCCAATCCACACACAGAAGAGAATGAGCAGTGATAGGAAAGGCCTCGTTGGAGGCTAGGAGGCAACTTCCTGAGAGAACAACCTCTTCCTCCTATGCTTCCCCCACCTGGAGATGTCACGATTGCTTCTCCCATTTGTCATTCTGGAAATGTGCCCACCATTTTTCCTGCCACCGACAGTTCACCTGTCCTTCTGAGGGTCCCTTCCTCTGCACGAGCTCCAGCAGCCACTGCGTCTTCTTCCATGGACTTCAGACCTCCCCTCAACACAAGGACGTCCCCGCAGAATGGTGTGGTCATGTGAGCGGTTCAAAAGTGTGTCCTCTTTTTTTACTTCTAGGTAAGGAGTGAATTCTAGAGAGATTTTAGCCAAATAAATAAATAAATAAATAAGTGTATCTCTAGTTGGCCAATGACCACTTAAGCTCCATGGCATAAATTAATACAGAATATCATATTTGATTATCTTCAAGAGGAATGATGCAATGAAACCACTTTGGTAAATAGGACAACTTAGTGCAATCCAGAGACATTATAAAATCTCAGTAACTTTTGTCTCCGTTGCCTGAATTTGGTTATTTTCTGTAATTGCAAGAGGTAGACGTAAACTATTTGAAATACGATGAGTTTGGAACTTAGCATGCCTTTACCCAGATTTCTTTGGAGGAAACGTGTTGGCCGTCACTTCTTCAGAGTACTTGCAGTATATAAAAAATCAAAATGAATGATTAACAGCTAAGGCTTAAAGTCGTACAGACCTGGCCTTTCTGTTGCTTATTCTTCCTTCAGAAATAATGATTGAATTATTGAATAGCGATTGAACATGCCACCTATCCCAGTTCTGACACTCAGTAGATCTTTGATTTGGGGAAAGCCATTTAACATTTTTGAACTTCACCTTTATCGATTACAAAACTGAGAAAATAACACGATCTCCCTAGATTGTGGTAAGGATGCAGTGAGATAATGAATGTAAGCATTTGCCATAGAGCAGCACTCAATACATAGTAACTATTGTTGTAGCTGTGACTAACGAGCGTTTCATGAAGAAAATATATTCTGTGCTCACATTGGCCTAAGTGTGACTTCCTAGTAAATGTTCTAAGGACTTGATCAGCCACCCTCCTCTCTAAGCCCTGCGTCTTGCAGGCTTAAATAAATCACTCATACATCCAGACTGAGCTGACAGATAGACTTTAAATTCAAGCCAAAGAATTGAGTGCATAATTTTACAAAACTATTCCTCTGTGGTCTGGGTTTGGTGTTAGAAACATTTGCAAATGCATGTTTGGCCTTTTTGTAGTATCCTTGGAGAAGGAATGGACAAATGAAGGGGTGTTGGCAGTGGCTTAAGTCATTAGCTCTGTAGTGTACTCTGGTGCAAACGCATGGGGTGACGATGGGAAATCCAGGCAGAGAGAGCATGATTTTATCCCACACATCAGCTTATCAGATTACAGGGGATGGGGGCAGCAAAAAAAAAGGCAGTGGGAAATAATTTAACATTTTTCCTCTTATCCTGTCCTGTATACAGAAAGATACAACATTATAAGCTAAATTGGTTGGCTAAAGTGTTTCTGAAACTGCTGACATAAAATTGGAAGTTTTTGAAGGCCAAGGATTGCATTTCCTTCAGTCTATGTTAATCCATGCCGCATTACACACACAGTAATAAACTCACTGATGAGGAGAATGGCATGAATTTCACACACCGTTTCACAGACCCACAGATGTGGAGTTGCAAGGGTGTTACATGCCATCAGCCCAGCACACCCTCCTTCCCTCTACCCTCCATCCCTCTACCCTCCACTATTCTACTGGACCTCCTCACAATAGAAGAACAATTATTGCTCCTGAGAACGTGCATTGAATCCCACTGGATGCCAGGCACTGTCTGATCTGTCTTCAGGGATGAACTTATCTATTCCTCCCAAACTCTTATAAGGTAGCTACTCTGACCCCCTTTTTAGATATGAGTAAACCAAAGCAATAGGAAGTAATTTATCTCAGGTCATTCAGCCTCTACAGAGCAGACAGGTACTCTGCACCCTGGCAGCCAGGCTCTGGAGCCTGTGCTACAGTTGCTATTTGAGGCTGTGATACCGCCATGAAGGACCCGGTCAATCAATTATTAGAGCATTTCCTTCAAAACTTAGTGAAGATTGTTCTACGAGTCAGAGGCTCTTCAGTGTCCAACAAATGGGTGCAAACTGGCCCTTTTCCTCTGAGTCACTACTTTTCCGGGCAAAGTTTCTGTAGTTGCTTCCATTGGTCTATATTCACGCCCACACCCAGACTCCCCTAAGCTCATTTGTAAGCTGATAAAGTCAGTTTCAGGATCCTCATCTAAACAGCCACTTTTCCCTGTGAGTGTTTAATGATGAAAAAGAGAATGGGTAGTGGTGTTTCACTGTGACCAGTCATCTGGGAAAGATATCTGGAGGTTCCATTAAAAAGGATGAAGGTATTAAAACTGAGGAAGAAACTGAAGTGAAAACAGATTTTGAGAAAGAATCTGAAGTGAAAACAGATGGAACATATAAATTTTCTGCAGATGATGTGTTAATAGTGCTGAGGAAAAAAAGGGGGCTCTGATCTAAGGGGAGTAGTCACATATGCACTGCCCAGGACCAAGCACATAGCTCAGCATGTGCTGGAAATCACAACTGGTGTGGGAGGTACAACAAGAACATTAGGGCTTAGCAACTAATGCACCTCCACCTTCGCTCAGATTGAAAAGTAGTTTTGCATAATGAGAAGACTGGGGACTTGAGGCAAACAGACCTCAGTTTGAATCCCTGGTGTAGCACCTCATAGCTGTGTGGTCACCAGCAAAGGCCCTTCTTCCCGCGTTTCAGGTCCTCCTCTGCACATTACGGAGCTGGTGTGATGCCTTCCGGGCAACATCTCCTAGTTACCATGAGCTCCATTAAGAAGAGACCAAGTCAGTCTTGTTCCCTCATTAACCATCCATTGGCACGGTCCCACGTCCTGCGCTCAAATATGTGCAGCTGAAGGACGTTAAGGCTCCTAGAATAGAGCCCAGGGTTAGGGCTCCGTGAATAGTAGCTGTTACCATCATAAGAATAGTGGGTTTTATTCAAACTCATTTCGTGTGTGCATGGCATAGTTTTCTGCATCTATTATAAGAAGTAGTACGGATCGGGATTGAAAATTAAAGTCAAATCCTTCTTATAACACAGGCTGCTTCTTTTTTCAAAAGATCTTGTCATCTGAATTAATGTGCTTGTGCATGCATACATGCACATATGTGTGCATGGAACACCATGCATGTGTGTTTCCATGATGTGTGTCTGTGTGTGTGCATGTGTGCATTCATGTGTGTGTATGCATGTGTATGTCTCTGCGTGCATGTATGTAATACTGTCAATCTAAATAACAATAGACAAAGGATCTCTAAAAATCCACATTTACTTGAAATTAGGGCATTGTAATGGAAATACAAGTGCCATAGTAAGCTGTGTGTATATTCAGGGAGGTAAAGGAAGACAAAGGTTTCTAAAGGAAAAATGAGGAGGATTATATGTGTTGAGATAATTATCCTCAGCTATGAGGATCAATAACAAGGACAGAACCTTTCTGGGATTGGACAGGAAGCTGCTGGGCCAATGTCCTCACAGAAGTATTTTTTGTATGATTTTGGGGACGGCCTTTGAGCAAGGATGTGGTTTTTGCAGAGTCTTTGGTGATAGTTTTGTTATCAGGCATTTATGCATGAGAATCCTCCCTTCATGGCCTTCCCCAGCTCCACTGGTCAGGGATTTTTTCAACACAAGTGATCTCTTTCAATTCTGGCAACTTTCACATTTCCTCCTTTCGATCATGATCTCTCTCCAGAAGCACCGATGATCAATCAGTGATAGGCTTTGAATGTCCCTTGTCCTGGTTGCTGGTCTGGTCTTGTGTTGGGAGTAAGTGGTGGCTAAGAGTCAGTGTCAAAGCTGTTTGAGCTGCATTCAAGCAACAAAGGATCTTTAAAGGGAAGGGCTCTCGGGACAAGTCTACCTGGAATCCATTATTAGTTCACTTTTGTCTATTCTATAGTCTTTTGCTATCATCTCAAAGTACCAGGTCAGCATTATTCTGTTAGGAGTTGTACTTCTACAAAAAATAAAAATGTAACAAGTAACAGATACAAAGTTTAAAAGGGGAAAACACAAAATACAATTAATAGCAATATGATAATTCCAGTTTGCCTAATGGTTTTGAGCCATTGAACCTAGTCTTAAAGGCAAACAATTGAACAAATCAGAAAACCATTATTCTTTCCAGTGAAAAGAGTAGAAATTAAGAGGGGTGAGTACCTTATTATGATTTGGAACCTTGTTCTGACATCTTGGAAAGTGTATGAAAGCATCGACTTCTTGTGCTGGCTTGCAGTTCAGATGCCTATGGCAATGGCTTTGGGTGGTTTGGTGAACTTTCTGTGCAGCTCATACATCAGGCACTTGCTCATAAAAACTTCATCTAGTTTCAGCTTATAGTGCTTTAGGAACACAGAAGTTCCTTTTTTTAGTAATTCCATGGAAGGAAGTTGGAGGAATCTAGAACTCAGAGATCTAAGTTAGTCTGTAAGTAGATAACCAGAACTCAAAAACAGTGCACAGAGCTACAATCTGATAATGGGTGTACTAGAGCATTTTTTTAGAAATGTAACTTTTTCTTTCCACATTAATCACATAGGAGTCTCAGATTTTAAGACCTGGTGAAGCCAAATCGAGGCCGACTTTAGATTTCATCTACAGTTTTAAGATTTCTGGTGCTGCCGAGAATTGACAATTTTACTCACCACTCTAAGACTGGGAGAACTTGAAACCAGGCATTCTATGCACATTCTCAAATATGTCATTCCAGTCAAAGCATTGATAATATAATCAATGTTTTTAATTGTATCCTGCTATAAATAGAGGACTTTTTATAGAACTTATGCAAATAACTATAGTGTTATAAAAAATACAAATAGTTTTTGAATTTTGAGAAATGATGTAGGGAGAAATAGCAAATGCTTTCCACCTTTGTTAACAAAAGTATTTTTTACCAAATTATTGTTAGCTATAGATTAGCTTAAGAAAAAACATTTTCTTACATCTGAAAAATAAAACATTTAAGTAAAGAACCAATAATGCATCAAATAAAATTCATAAAAACAATAATCTTCATCAGTTATTTAATCTCATACGATACATTTTTGTTCCACTTGATTTTCATTAGCAGTTTTATGAATTTATTAGTTTATTCATTAGCATATTTAAAATGTTTAATTTAGCCCATTGATCTTTAAATTATTAGAGACTTGTATTTAAAAGTGCTTGTTGGTGTCTTTTCCATGAAACCGATCGCAGATGCCTTTAGAGAAAATCAAAACTGTGGAAGACAGAGTCTTACAGTAACCATGGTTAGGAATCTGATGGAAGTTCATTATCATCACTAATTAACAATAAAATATGGTTATTTTGTGGCATATAAGATAGTCAGAATTATGACTGATGATATATGAGATTTATATGAATTATATACAATTTCAAACATTCATATCAATAACATATGATAAATGTAACTGAAAGAAGACATAGTATCACTTATCATTTGACAATATTTTTCTATACAATTTACCAGATAAGCCTTATCATTTCATATCTCTATAAGATGAGAGCTATATTCTTTGAGACCACCCAGGGATCCAGTAGGAAAACCTCAAAGTTAATTTTAGGTCACAAAGACTTAATTTAGAATTTTGATATTGGAGAAGCCTGTCAAAGATGAAAAAAGGTTAAAACACTTGATCAAAATAGGATCACAAATCACTGTGAAATCACAGTCATTCATTTAGCCAGAGTGATAAGAGACTTCAAAAAGTAATACAGAAGGTTAAATGGATGTAAAAACCTTAGCCTTTTAAAGCTCAATGTTCCTAAGTAATCGAATACCTAATAAAAACAACACAGAAAATTATCTTGCTAAAACATAAAATATTTGTTTCTTAGGCCAGTTTCCAAAAAGGGAGAGAGAAGCCTTCATAATGTGATTGCTTTTCCATATGGGAAGCCTCTTTCAATAAGCTGAAAGTTGAACCTGATGAAAACACTACTTGGATTTAATCAGACACAGGAAGAGAGCATCCAAGGTTATGAGTGTGCCCCATTCTAGAGGAAAACTAGTACTCTGAGCAGGAGAATGCATGGCTTTTAGTAACAGCATGGGACGTTTCCCGGTTACATGGAACAATTCAGAGGCAATGAGAAAAGCCAAGTACACACTCAAGTTATACTGGATAAAAAGATTGCTTTTCTAGGCCTTCAGTGTAAACATTGTAGCATCAGACCATCACAGCAGAGTTAGAAGAGAAAAAAGTTAAAGGAGAGAGTTATCATTCCAGTCCTTCTCAAGAGGAAATACAGGAAGAGCAGAAGGCAATGAATGATGTTCTATTAGTCAGAGTTCTCTGAAGGAACAGAACTAATAGGATGTATGTACATAGGACAGAGAGTTTATTAGGAGAATTGACTCACATGATCACTAGGTGAAGTCCCACAATAGGCCATCTGCAAGCTGAGGAGCAAGGAACCCAGTCTGAGTCCCCAAACCTCAAAAGTAGAAAAGCTAATAGTGCAGCCTTCAGTCTGTGGCCCAAGGTCTAAGAGCCCCTGGCAAATCACCAGTGTAAGTCCAAGTGTCCAAAAGCTGAAGAACTTGGAGTCTCATGTTTGAGGGCAGGAAGCATCCAGCACAGGAGAAAGATGAAGGCCAGAACACTCAGCAAGTCTCCTCATTCCACACTGCCAGCTGATTAGATGGGGCCCACCCAGATTGAGAGTGGGTCCACCTCTCTCAGCCCACTTACTCAAATGCTAATCTTTGGCAACGCCATCTACACCATACAGACACACCCAGGAACAATACCTTGCATCCTTCAATCCAATCAAGTAGACACTCATTATTAACCACTACAGTTGTATAACCTGCAAATTACAGGTGATGAGATACAGCAAACATTGAACTTCTGAAATACGAATCTGAGAAGTTTTAAGAGGAAAACTCTACCTTGAGAAATGAAATTACAAGTTTAAATGAAAAAGACAGCATTTCTAATCTGAAACTAAGGAAATTAGTGACTATAAAACAGAAACACAGCTGCAGAGAATTAAAAATCAAAACCTCTTTAGACTAAAGAACTTTTGACTTTTAATTGTACTGAAACCAATATTTTAAGAAAATCTTGTTGTTCTTATTGAGGGAGCCAAATTTTTAGTTTTGTATTACTATATTTTCAATATCAAAGATCAATGTTTAGAAAGATTTATAAATAATTCCCTTCTAAATATAGCAACTTGAGGACATAACTTTTTTTATCAATTCATCCTTCACAAACCTTTTGTGACCTGCACAAAGCCTTGACATGATGCTTAGGCTTTCTGCTTTGTTTTGTCTTCCTCTTTCTCAAAAAATAACCAGTCATTTTACTTTAGGACAAACATTTACTACACAAGATTATTTTCCAGACAAAATTTTCTCTTTTCTCTTTAAACTTTCTTAACAAATATATATCTTTATAATAACCATGACTTTCTTATAACCCCCTCCTTCACTCATTCCTTTTTATATTGTTTCTATTTTCTAATTTTAATTTTTGAAACAACCTTTAAATAACCTCCAAATTAGAAAAAAAAAAATTCTCAATAAGGAACACATTTTTGGCTGGGCACGGTGGCACGCCTGTAATCTCAGCACTTTGGGAGGCTGAGGCAGGCAGATCATGAGGTCAGGAGTTCGAGACCAGCCTGGCCAATATGGTGAAACCTCGTCTCTACTAAGAATACAAAAATTAGTTGGGCATGGTGGTGCACACCTGTAGTCCCAGCTACTTGGGAGGCTGAGGCAGAAGAATCGCTGGAACCTGGGAGGCAGAGGTTGCAGTGAGCCAAGATCGCAACATTGCACTGCAGCCTGGGTGACAGAGGGACATTCCATCTCAAAAAAAAAAAAAAACAAAAAACAAAAAACACATTTTTATGTCTTTTTAAAATTTTTCTCATCAAAACACATCTTACTTTTTTGGCACACTTTGTATACATAATTACATATATTAACAAGAATTTTAACTCTTAGTAATCTTGATTTTTAGTGAAAATCTAGGAAGCAAGAAATTTTGAACTGTCTGTCACATACTAGTGTTTTATAGATGAGAATCTGTTAATAATTTTGAGAAACATCATCTTCCATAACATAATTTTTACATGTATTAATAGACCCAAATATATATATCTATAAATTTTTAGAAGCAAAGAACATTTATGTTCAGTAATTTCAGTTTTTATCTTATTTCAAAATGACCCAGACATTTAATAAGTTATCATTTTAACACAGCATAACCTTAGTATTTAAAATTACATAAAAATTTTATCTGTATTTATTCCATTTATATTTACCTAATTTATTTTTAACAATTTACCCAGATTACTTATAAAAACTGAGCTATTAGATAAAGCTAACCATTATTTCAAATTATTTCCCTGTTAAGCATTTTTATAGCCTGTGAATATTAGGTGTTCATGTAAGCAGAAGACTTAAATATAAGAATATGTTGTTAATAACTCAGCAGATACAGCTGTTTTTATTAAACTACAATATTAAATTAAGTTTACATATCAAAGAGTTACACAAACAAAGATTATTCTGCTTTTTAGGCTGGGTTTATCATTTTCTGACCTTGAAACATCTTGAAGATACAAATATAAAACTGTCCAACCAGTAAACGCAGGCAAAAATGTATGCTGACAACTTTATTTTACTAATTTAAAAAACAGCTTCTTTATTATTATATATTTTATATGAGTGCTCATTTATCTTTGCCAATTTGAATAAAATTAAGGGATTTCTGGCTAACTACATCAGATTTTATAATATAGACACAATATATAACAAAATTCGATGTACATATGTGTAAATAGACCTAAACATATATCCACACACAAATGCAATCTTATAAATTTCATTTTAGAATTTTGGTCATGAGATAGTAATACAAACTCACCAGTTTATAAAAGACTGCTGGATCAAAATTGTATTTTGGAAAAAATAAGCCTTGTTCAAATAGCTCCCTTGTTCAAATGGTTATTTGCCCCAATACGTATCCTAATGAAGGCTGTGGACCAATGTTTTGGGGAAAGTAAGTTGGTTTACAAAAACTTCTTTTGCCCCGTTTTGTTTGTTTTCTTTTTTTAGCTTTAAATGGGTTTAACGTTAAATTCTAAGTTTACATTTTAGCCAGGATCGGCTGAATTGTATAAGAAAAAACAAAATCTCTAAGCAGCCTTGAATTAGTAATGAATCCACAATTTGTCTGCTGGTCTGATTACCAATTGAGAGTAATCAATGTAGGTGGAGAGGCATGTTGGCAGGGGTTTTTTGTTTGTTTGTTTGTTGTTTTGTTTTGTTTTGTTTTTTGAAGTGGAGTCTCGCTCTGTCACCCAGGCTGGAA
Organism: Homo sapiens; assembly: GCF_000001405.40. Lineage (NCBI taxonomy): Eukaryota > Metazoa > Chordata > Mammalia > Primates > Hominidae > Homo > Homo sapiens. Next base: position 76,182,773 of record NC_000018.10, read on the forward strand.
TGCAGTGGCACGAACTCGGCCCACTGCAACCTCAGCCTCTCCAGTTCAAGCAATTCTCCTGTCTCAGCCTCCCAAGTAGCTGGGACTACAGGCACACACCACCACGCCCAGCTAATTTTTGTATTTTTAGTAGAGATGGGGTTTCACCATATTGGTCATTTTTTCTGGCCCCCACATGGCAAACAAAGCAATTTTTATGCATGAGAGAGCTACCTTTTATTATTGTGCTTAGCTCAAAATTTTGACCTGTTTGATCTGAGAGCCCCATTTCTATAAACATTTACCTAGTTTAAGACTAGTAATACTTGAATTAACTATTCCATAAGCTTAAGCAATTGTTAGTCAGGCAAACCTAAATTTGCATTTCTAAAAGACGTTTAGATGGTTGGTTGCCATGAGGCTGTTGTAATTTGTAAAAGCATTAATTTTAAAGTCTTTAAGACTTTTTTTTTAATCTTACCTGGAATGCCATAACAGAGAGTTTTATGGCGACATCAGCAGAAAAGTCAACAGGTTCAAAGTAGGTAGGAAAAGAAGCAGAGTGCTAGAGGATTTAGAAGCCTCTATGTGTTGACTCTACCATTGTATTCTCTTAATTTGGTGCAAAGAAGAAAACAAGCTTGGGAAGTTCAAATGATCCCAATGATTGCCATTGATCAAAAAACATGCATGAGGAAAAGCCATGTAGCTGGCTGGAGACTCAGAAAATCTGATATGTCTAAATGTTTGAAATTCCCATTTTATTTCTTTTTAATCTCTTCAAAGCAAAGAAAATTCTATCACTCCTATGAAAGAATGTCGGGAGTTTGGATGAGTGTTTTAGATGCTGGGGACTGCTCGAATGGATTTTAATTAACCATCTTGCAGCCATCATTTAGAATGTTTATTTTTTTCTCTAAGAAGATTTTCAGAAATCAGCATGGGAAGAGACCCAAATCACTTGCAGACACGCAGAACCAAACCAAAATGAAACCAAGATAAGAGTGATCACAAAAATGTTAACCCAGGCATGCAGATCAAACAAAATACTAAATTAGGCACACAGAAACAAAAGTGAATTCACCAGAAAAGACATTCTTCACAAACAGAACATAAATTCTGTAAAAAGCAGGGTACTCAGATGAACAGACACTTGTCCTTATACAGTAAGGGCTTTCCAGAAAAAAAAAAAAAAAAAAGGCTTTCATCATCCCAAGAGGAATGCAAGGTCCTTGACTCAGTTGGCCTTATAACAAAACAAAAAGTGAAGCTAATCAGCCTCTACCAAAAATAGGGAGGCCTAACCTGAGAAAAGACTCACCAGGACAGAGAAGGTGAGGCCATGGAAGCAGAGAGCTCTAAGGACCGAAGTGAGTACTGTACACCAGGTCCCAGAACTGCCAATTTCTTTCACAAGTGATCTTTCTTCAGGTCTGACTTCTGGACACAATTTTTATCAATGTAAATAATAAACAGAGAGGGGGGTCTCTAAAAGACAATGACAGTTATTTGGGAATGAGGCATTTCAATGGAAATATGTGTGCCATAGTAAGCTAAGTGCATATTCAGGGAAGTAAAGGAAAATGACAGTTTTTAAGGGAAACAGGAAAGAGGCTATATAACTGCTTCTGAGTGATATGGTTTGGCTGTGGCCCCACCCAAGTCTCATCTTGAATTTTAACTCCCACAATCCCCACATCTCGTGAGAGGAACCTGGTGGGAGGTGATTGAATTATGTGGGGAGGTCTTTCTTGCAATGTTCTCATGATAGTGAATGGGTGTCATGAGATGTGATGGTTTTAAAAACAGAAGTTTCTCTGCACAAGCTCTCTTTGCCTGTCACCATCCATGTAAGATGTGACTTGCTCCTCCTTGCCTTCAGCTATGATTGTGAGGCCTCCCCAGCTACGTGGAACTGTGAGTCCAATTAAACTTCTTCCTTTTGTAAATTACCCAGTCTTGGGTATATGTTTATCAGCAGTATGAAAATGGACTAATACACTGAGATTATTATCGTTAGCTACAAGGATGAATAACAAGAGTGACACCAGTCTAGGGTTGGAGAGGAAATCGCTGGGAAGATACCCAAACAGAACTATTTTTTGTGTAAAGTTGAGATGGCCTTTGTGCAAAGTTGTGGTTTCTGCAGAGTCTTTTGTGATAGTTTTTATCAGGCATTAATGCATGAGAACCCCTCTTTATGGCCTTTCTCACCTCTGTTCATCAGGGTTTTTTTTTTTTAACACAAGTGACTTCATTCTAATTGTAACAACTTCTGCAACACCAAGACCATTTTTAGAAAGGGAAGAGGAACATTTGTCTGTGCTGGCCAAGGCTTCAATACATGCAAAGCTTTCAAACCCCAGGCAAGGACTGGATCTGGAGGCAGAACAAAAAAGCGAAGGAACAAATTTCTAATTTAAATGAGAATAATGGCTGCTTTTTCTCAGAGCTTCTCAACATTTCTGTGTCTCAAAATAGGTTTCTTCCTGGTATTTAATGTAGTTATGATATGAGAGTTTAACTTCATATTTTGAGGATCATTAGAAATCTTCCAAATGAATTGACGTTTTCATTGGCTTTACATTTTTATTAATTATTTTCCAAAATTGGTATGACCAATGAGCCAGTTCCCAAAAGATCTATGTGTGTGCATACAATTCCATATTTATATTTCTAAAAATGTATTTCACATATATTTATCATGTGGAGTATCATAAGGAGTACTCACAATTTAGAGAACCTAAAATTTCGTGGTGGGAATAAGACATAATGTGAAGGTCTTTTGATTCTGTAACGCAAAATTGCTTATAAATGTGAAGAAAATGTTAAACAACCATAGCAGAGAGAATATGATTAGCAGTGGGGAGACAATGTGGCAGGTACTGCAAAGCTTAGGAAGAGCAGCTTCATGGGCAGGTGCCCCTCAGATAGGGCTGTGTTTTCATGAAGTCGGTGCCCGAGGGAGGTCAGAGTCTGAGGGACAGCCCCAGCGGACCAGCCAGGAGCCAAACAGCCCCGCAGGAAGAGTTCATCTCTAATGGGGGGAGTGTGGAAGGCAGGACTAGATGAGAAAAATTCCAGCAGGCAGGCAACACAAGTCCCAGAAGAAAAGGTGTTGACAAAGTAGACTGCTTGTTGGTCAGAAGTGACAATTCAGAGGTGCCCAGATTCAAAATCAGTGCCCTGAGGCCTCCAAAAATAGAGCTGAGAAGAGCAAGTTACTGCAGAACGAAGGCATGGGGCATGTTTCCAAGAGGGATCTGCACAGGTACATTCAACTGGAGCACAGCTGCTGAAAGAGATGGTACATTTTAAGAACATGTGGCCCAAATACTACAATAAGGGCTCAAGATAAGAGCAGAAACTGCCTTCGGTGTAGACCTGACATTAGATCCCTAACCCAAGGCCCCTAATCTCCTCTTAAATCCTTCTGGAAGGACAAAGAAGAGATGTCAGACCCAGAGATGGGTCAGGGAGCTGAGGAGGTAGCCAAGTCCATGGTGCTGGTAGATGGTCAGGACCCAGGTACATCAAGAACATGGTAGATGACACCCCAAACACTCAGCCCATGGGCTGAGCACTTTAAACTCTCATTTAAAATGTTTTTTCTTTATTTTTTAGGTTTAAAAATTATGTGGAAATATTGCTTACCCTAATTTCCTAAAGCGTTAATAAGGAAAATTATTAATCACATTTATTGTTCGTTCTGATAGGGTTTCAAAGTTTGTATGATACACATATGCAGACTATGAAAGGGTTAGTGAGAAAGTCCTGCAGGCACTTTTGTGTTTCATGTCATGCAGTTATTCTAAATCTCTCTTCATCCACTACACCTGGCAATCCTGCAGAGCACAGTTTTAAAGTGAGCAGTATTCTAATCTACCTCACTTCACTAGCTTCGTTAACATGCTCACCTGATCCACAGCAGGCGCTAGGATTGTTGTTGGATATGCTCACTCACATCAGCTTTAAACGATTCATCTCGAGTATGCAAAGCAGTTATCATAAGTAAAAGGACAACAAATTAGAAAATTAGAATTTGTACCACATGTAATCAGGGTGTTGTTCAATTACTCTTATTGCATGATGCAACGCTAAGTTTGTCCTCTCACAGGAATACCGTGTGTCAGGTTCTCCTTCTGTCATATGTATGTGTGTGTATATGTGTGTGCATGAGTGTGTATGTGTATGTATATGTGTATGTGCACATGTGTACGTGCCTTGAATGTGCACATGTGAATATGTGTATATGCACATGTGTCTTTGTGTTTATACATAACTCCCAAATTGGTCCTGTGAGGTTGGCATTTTTTATCCACGCTATTGTGATTTTGAAATGTTAGGTGAATATCCTGCCATTGGTAACTGACAGAGGCAATTTGAACCCACACCTGCTTGACCTCAAATCCCATGTTCTAATTCCAGAAAGTGGCTGGGACTAACATGTTTCTGAGTATGGTGAAGAAGACAGTGTAGGTCAGACACACACTCAGGATAAAACAGGGAAACCTTCAGGAAGAGTTAGCAGTCACCCTGCATCAAGAATCCCTGACATCCTGGAAAGACATAAAAAGGCAGTTAGCCCAAGATCCAGAATGTGCTCACACCTCTTCAGCACTTCTAAGCCTGTGTGTATGTGTGTGTGTGTGTGTGGTGTGTGTGTCTGTGTGTATATACTTGTTATGGTTAATGAATCACACACAATTTATTCCTGTTTGTAGATTTAGCTCTTTCAAACCCATGCTTTCATTCTTTTAATAAGTCTAAAATAAAATAACCCTTTTAGGGAAAAAAAGAAGTCTCTATGTTTGTGTGTGTGCACACATATGCAACATGCATGGTGAAGCAACAGAATTTTTTTTCTGGCTTTATCAAGGTGTAATTGATAAAAATTGTACATATTTATGGAATAAGATGTGATGATTTGATATACATGTACATTGTGAAATAATTAGTACAATCAAGTTCATTACCATGATCACCTCACATAGTTGCCTTTTGTTTTTGCAGTAAGAATCCTTAAGAGCTAGTCTGTAAGCAAATTTCAAGTATACAGTTGAGCATTATTACTCAAGTTGCCACAAAATTGTACCTGAGATCTCCGGAATTTACTCATTTTGTAACTGACCATTTGTACCTTTGACCAGCATTTCTCCATTTCCCTCCCCCACCACCTCAGCTCCTGGTGACCACTGTTCCACTCTGCTTCTGTGAGTTCAACTTTTCTAGGTTCCACATATAAGTGAGATCATAGGGTATTTGTCTTTCTGTGTCTGGGTTATTTCACTTAGTATAATGTCCTCCAGGTTCATCCATGCTGTTGAAAAAGGCAGAATTCCCTTCTTTTAATGGCCAAGTAATATTCAATTGTGTATATGTCTATACCACATTTTGATTACCCATTCAGCTATCAATAGAAATTTAGGTTGCTTTCATATATTGGATATTGTGAATAATGCTGCCTTGAACAAGTGGATGCAGATATCTCTTCAAAGTGCTGATGTCATTGCCATATTGGGTATACGCCCAGAAGTGAGATTGCTGGGTCACCTGACAGTTCTATTTTCAGTTTTTTTGAGGAACCACCATGCTATCTATTCTCTAAGAGCTGTACCAATTTACATTCCCATCAACAGTGCACAAGAGTTCCTTTTTCTCCACACCCTTTCTAACACTTGTTATGTCTTCAATTTTTGATAATAGCTTTCTTAACAGGGGTGAAGTGATATATGATTGTGGGTTTTTTTACTTGCATCTCACTGACGATTAGTGACGTTGAGCCCCTTTTCATATACCCATTGTTCATTTATATGTCTCTTGAAAAATGTCTATTCAGGTCCTTTATCTATTCCTTTTACTATTGAGTTGCATAGTTACTTATGTATTTTGGACATTAACCTCTTATCAGATATATGGATTACAAATAGTTTCTCTCATTCTATAAATTGCCTTTTCATTTTATTGAATGTTTCCTTTGCTGTGCAGAAGTTTTTAGTTTGATGTAATCCCATTTGTTTATTTTTGCTTTTGTTACCTATGCTTTTGAGGTCTTATACAAAAAAATTCCTGCCCAGGCCAATGTCATGAAGCATATCCTCATATTCTCTGTATTTTCTTTTAGTAGTTTTGTAGTTTCAGGTCTTACATTTATCTTTAATTCATTTTTAGTTGATTTTCGCATATAGTGAAATAGGAATCCAGTTTCATTCTTCTGCATATGGATATCTAAATTTCCCAGCACCACCATGTACTGAAGACATTCTCCTTTCTCCAACTGTGTTCTTGTAGCCTTTGTCAAAAATCAATTGGCTATAGATGCATGGATTTATTTCTGGGCTCTCTATTTATTTTCATTGGTCTATGTGTCTGTTTTTATGACAAAACCATGCAGTTTTGGTTACCATAACTTTGTATTATGTTTTGAAATCAGGTAGTGTGAAGCCTCTAGTTTTTTTGGGGGGGTTTGCTTTTTGTTTTGTATTTTTCCTCAAGGTTGCTTTTGATACAGAGAAGAGGCAGGGAAATACTAGGTAGAAAAGGGTGGGGTCCCTGGCAAAGGTTCCACCCTCAGGCCTGGACCCATGGCCCTAAATGAGAACTTCACCTCCCTGTTTTCCTGCCTGAATGTTGCCTTTTGGCCCACCACGCCCCCTATCCTGTGCCCATAAGAACCCCAGACTCCAGACTCAGGACACACACACACAGAAGACAGAAGTGTCAGAACGTTGAGAGAAGAAGCAGCTGGACATCAGAAACTGCTCAAAGAGGAGCTTGCCCAGGGATGGTCCGAGAGGAGATCGGCCCAGGACAGCCGAACTCCAGGGGAAGACTGCCTTCCCACCCCATCCACTTTCCATCTCCCCATCCTGCTGAAAGCCACTTCCACCATTCAATAAAATCTCCACATTAATTGTCCTTCAAGTCCATGTGACCTCATTCCTCTTGGGCACTGAACAAGAATTAGGGATGCACTGGGTGCAGGAACCCAAAAAGGCTGTCACACTGGCCTTTTGCCCTCGCTGGTGGAGGGCAGCCACTCCACACCACAAGGCAAAAGGCCCACTGAGCTGGTAGCACGTCCTCTGGGGCTCCAGGTGTTTCCAGCACCCACTCCCAGAGAGCAGAGCTAAAAAAAGCATTGTAACGTGCTTGGATGCTGCCATGGGTCCACACAGGGCCTGCTCCTACCAGAGAGGAGCAACTGACTAGTTCCAGCATTCATTCACTTTGGTTCCCACACTTGCCCACTCATGTGCTCCCTCCTGTAAGGGATTGAGCACGGCAGCTTAGTAAAGGAATCACTCCCTTTGTGAGTCCCAGGAAGGGGTCAAGGGAACTCTCCCATCTCACTTTGGCTATTTAGGTCTTTTGTGGATTCATATAAATTTTATATTTTTATTTTCTATTTCTCTGACTCTGTAGATTACCTTGGATAGTATGGACATTTTAACAATATTAATTCTTCTAGTTGATAAACTTGGAATACCTTTCCATTTTTTATGTCCTCTTCCATTTCTTGAATCAGAATTGTACGGTTTTCAGTGAATAAATCATTCACTTCCTTTGTTAAATTTATTCCTAGGTATATTATTTTTGTAGCTATTAAAAGTATGATTGTTTCCTTGATCTTCTTGAGAATTTCACTATTAACATATATAAATATATATATATGCTACTAATTTTTATAAGTTAATTTTGTGTTCCACAACTATACTAAATTTGTATATTAGCTCTAATAGTATTTTGTTGGATTCATAAGGTTTTCTATATACAAGATCATATCATCTAGATAGACAACTTAACTTGGTCCTTTCTGATTTGGATGCCTGTTATTTCCGTGCATCACACCTAATTGCTCTGTGGGACAAAAATGTTGAGAGTGAACACCCTTTTGTTGTTCCTGATCGTAGAGGAAAAGATTTCAGCATTTAATCAATCATTCAGTATGATGCTAAATGTGTACAGTCTCTCTACACCTAATTTGTTGAGAGTTTTTATCATAAAAGGTGTTGAATTCTGTCGAATGCTTTTTCTGCACCTATGAAGATGATTATGTGATTTCTTCTTCACACTCTTATTGATTTGTGTATGTTGAACCATCCTTGCAACCCAGCAATAAATCTCATTTGATCATGACATATAATATTTTTAATGTTCTGTTACATTTGATTTGCTAATATTTTATCAAGGACTTTTTCATCTGTGTTTATCAGAGTTATTGGCCTATCATTTTCTATTCTTGTAGTGTAATGTCTCTATCTGTTTTTGGTATGAGGCTAATGTTGGCCTCATAAAGTGAGTTTGAGAGCTTTCCTTCCTCTTCAATTTTTTGAACAGTTTGAGGAGGATTGGAATTAATGCCTGAGAGTTCACCCATGAATCCATCTTGTCCTGTACTTCTCTTTGTTGGGAGGTCATTTCTTTAATTCAATCCCCTTATTCATTATTGGCCTGTTCAGGTTTTCTATTTCTTCATGATTGAGTCTTGATAGATTGTGTATTTCTGGGAATTTATTCATTTCTTCTACGTTATCCCCTCTGTTGGCATATAATTGTTCATAGTAATCTGTTTTGGTCCTTTGTATTTCTGTGGTATCAGTGGCAGTGCCTCTTATTTCATTTATAATTTTATTTATTTGAGTTTTCTCTGTTTTTTCATAGTTAATCTAGCTAAAGCCTTGTCAATTTTTATTTATCTTTTCAAAAAACCAAGTTTGAGTTTCATTCGTGCTTTCTATTGTCTTTCTAGTCTCTATTTCATTTCTTTCTACTTTCATCTTTATAATTGCCGTCACTCTGCTGACATTGGGCTTAGTTTATTCTTTTTCTAGTTTCTTGAGGTGTAAAATTGTTTATATGAGATCTTCATTTGTTATTAATGTTGGCATTTATCACTTTAAACTTCCTTCTTAGAAAAGCTTTGGTTGTATCTTGTAAGTTTTGGTATGTTGTCTTTCCACTTTTGTTTATCTCAAGATACTTTTTACTTACCTTTTCATTTCTTCCGATTATTCAGCAGCATATTGCTTAATTTCCATATAGCTGTGAATTTTTAGTCTCCTTCTGTTATTGATTTCTAGTTTCATAACATTGTTGTCTGAAAAGATACTTGACATGATTTTAATATTTTAAATTTGTTAAGACATTTTTGTCACCCAACACATGATCTATTCTGAGGATATTATGTGTGTACCTGAAAATAATGCATATTCTGCTGCTGTTGGATGGAATGTTCTGTGTATTCTGTTATGTCCTTTTGGACTATAATATTATTCAATTCTTCAATTTCCTTATTGATTTTCTGTCTTGATAATCTCTCCATTGCTAAAAGTGGGTAGGTATTGAAGTCCCTTATTATTATTGCATTACTATCTATTTTCTCATCAATTTTCCTAATTTTGCTTTTTCTTTAGATGCTTCCACGTTGAGTGCATATATATTTACAATTGTTACATTCTTTCGAAAAATTGACCCCTTTATCATTATACAGTGACCTTCTTTTTATCTTGTAACAGATTTTTGACTTAAAGTCTACTTTGTTTGATAAAGTATAATCATCTATGCTCTCTTTTGTTTCCCATTTGTATGAAATATATTTTTTCATCTCTTCATTTTCAGCCATTATGTGTTTTTAAAATCAGAGTCAGCACCCTGTAGGCAAGCTGTTGTTGGATTCTTTTTCCATTCAGCTACTCTGTGTTTTTTGATTGGATAGTTTAACCAATTTACATTTACAGTAATTATTGAGAAGTGAGGACTTACTATTGCCATTTTATTGCTTGTTTTTTCACTGTTTTGTAGTTCCTGTGTTTCTTTCTTTCTCTCTATCTTATTTTATGACAGGTTGATTTTTTGTAGCGGAATGAGTTGATTCCTTTCTCTTTATCTTTTGTGTATCTACTAAATATTTTGCTTTGTGGTTACCATTAGGCTTACATAAAACATCTTAGAGTTGTAACAGTATATTTTAAGCTAATAACAACTTAATTTAAATCACATACAAAAACTGTAGTTTTTCTCTCTCTCCCACCACATTTGTGCTATTTATGTTACTCTTTATATCTTTTTATATTGTATATTCATTAACAAGTTATTGTGGCTATAGCTTCTTAAATATTTGTGTTTTAACTGTTATACTAAAGTTAAAATTTACATACTACTATGACAGTATTACAGTATTCTAAATTTGGCTATATATTTACCTTTACCAGTGAGTTTTATACTGTCCTATGTTTTCATATTTTCATTAGTGTCCTTTTGTTTCTACTTGAAGCACTTTCTTTGGCATTTCTTGTAAGACACATCTAGAAGTGATGAACTTCAGCTTTTGTTTGTCTAAATATCTCCTTAGCTCTTCTTCATTTCTAAAGGACAGCTTTATGGGTGTAGTATTCTTGGCTGCCAGTTGTTCTATTAATTTTGTAACTTTGAATGTATTATCTTACACCTTCCTGGCCTGCAGAGAAATCCACTGACAGACTTATGGCCACTGCCTCGTATGTAACAACTAGCTCTTTTCTTGCTGCTTTCAAAATTCTCTTTGTCTTTCACTTTTGACAATTTGATTATAGTGTGTTCCAGGGCCATCTTCTCTGCATTGATCTTGTTTGGGGTCCTGGGAGCTTCATAAATCTGGGTATTCATATACCTCCCAATATTTGGGAAGTTTTCAGCCATTATTTGTTTAAATAAGTTTTCTGCTCCTTTCTTTCTCCTTTCCCATTCAGCAACTCCTATAATGGATATTTTTTGCTTATTTGATGGTGTTCCATAGATCTCATATGTTTTATTTATTCTCTTTCATTCTTTTTTCTTTTTGTCCCTCTAGCTGGCCAATTTCAGATGATCTGTCTTTAAGTTCACTGATTCTTTCTTCTGCATGATCAAATCTGCAGTTAAAACTCTATATTGCACTTTTCAGATTTTTCATTGTATATTTCAGCTCCAGAATTTCTCTTTAGGTCTTTCTTATTGTTTATATTTCTTTATTAAACTTCTCAGTTTATTCATGCATTGTTTTTCTGATTTCATTTATTTGTCTGCCTGTATTCTGTTACATATCATTGAACTTCATTAGTTGATTGTTTTGAATTTTTTGTCAGGCAATTTATAGATTTCTATTTCTTTAGGGTTGATTACTGGAGCTTTATTAGTTTACTTTATGGTGTCATGTTGGCCTGACTGTTTATGATCCATGTATTCTTGCACCTATGTCTTTGCATTTGAAGAAACAAACACTGTTCTTGTCTTCACAGACTATTTTTGCCAGGTAAAGACCCTCTCCTGTTAGATCCCCAGGCTGATGGAATTGCCTCTGAAATTGCAGTCAAGTGGGGTTGGAGCTAGGTCTTGTGGCTGTTCCTGGGTCTACATTTTATTTTGTAGTTGGCATGCCTGTTACTGGATTCTCTCTGGTCCCTGAATGGACTGGACTGCTTCCAGGACTTTGATCAGTAGATCTGGCACTGGGACAAGGATCTATTTTCAGACCTACAGTTGGGTCCACAGACAGCAGGCCTGCTACTAAGTGTGCGGATGAGTGTGGATCCTGCTTATCCGTGGGATGATTCAAACCAGGTCACTAGGTGGGCCACTGGATGAGTAGCACTGGCCCCAGGCTGTGACTAAGAGGGACTGGAACTGTGTCACAAGGCCATTTTAGGATCTAAACTCAGTCCAAAGTTGCTGGGCCTGCCTCCATGGGCATGGACATGCAAGTCTTGGCTGGTTGGTCCCTCTGTTAGCAGGACTGCTCCAAGACTGTGGCAAATGGGGAATGGAGCCAAACTAAAGGGCTGTTTCAGAATCCACAGTCAGACAGCCTGTCTCTAGGGGCACAGACAAGTGTGTCTTCTGCCAGGTTATTTGTGGACAGGACTCCTCCAAGACCGTGGCTGAAAGGCCTAGAGCTGATTCATGAACCACTTCAGAGTTTATAACTGGGAATGAGATCAGTGGGCTTATTACCAGAGGCACAGGTAAGTGTGACTCCTCCTGGGTCCCTTGGTGAATGATCCCGGTGGAAGACCAAGGTCAAATGGGGCTCTAGCTGAGTCCACAGGGAAATATGATGTTTCAAAGTCTGCATATTGGACCATGGACAGTGAATTTGCCACATGGGTGCAGAACTGCCTTCTCAAAACAGCCCTCCTTGGTTGTGGACTCCATAGCGATTTCAAAACCTCCAGTCTGGATCTCAAAGCTCACACAAAGACATTTTTGTCCATTTGGGTAGCTGCCAAATCACTGTTTCTGTTGGGGGATATTAACAGAGAACTTTCTGTTCTGCTGTCTTACTGATGTCTCTCTCCACAAAAGAATATTCCTAATATTTAAAGAGTCATTACAAAACAATGAGAAAACTTTGAATACAAAATACAACAGAAAAATGTAAGTTAACAGACAATTATTTCACAGATATGCAAATAAACATATAGTAAACTCATGAAAAAATAAGCCTTACTAAACATCAAAGAGGGAAAATATGCTGAAATCTCACTTTTTATTTAACAACCTGGAGTTATGAGTGACTTTTGTTTATCATTTTTATTTATCTAACCTATTTCTGTATGTTTCAAAGTTTCCATAATGACTATATTATTATTGTTGTCATCAGGGGATGACATCAGTAGCATCACTTTAGGGAAGTGTTTCAAAAGAGGTAACACTTTAGGTACTACAAGATAAACTTATAAAACACTGTAGATCAACATGATGTTTCCTGAATCCCCAGGTTCAAGTGAAAAAAGAAGAAAGAAGTAAGCCACATCTCTATTAGTGCTATCTGAACACAAAGTGCTTCTTGGTGGGTCAATTCCAACATTTCTTTAAAATTGCCAGAATTAAAGTCACAAGAGATTCTGTAACTGTAGACAGATTTTTTTTTTTTTACCTGTACTTTCAGTATTGTAAGGACAATAATTTCCCACTGTCTTTCCTCAAAGAGTTTAACTTAAAATTTCCTATGGCCACCAAGATCACAGTCAAGGTTACAAAATCCAAGTATTCTGGGCTGAACACTCTTACAAGCATCCTATTTCTTCCTGGAACTTTGCCATAAGCAGAGGCCAAGGCTCAAGCAGGATTTCCTGCCTTCACCCAAAATTTCCAAGCTCTTTTGAGTTGAATTCCTATGCTGCAGCTTTTTACTTAAAAATAGTTTGAGACAACTGAATGAATTCTAAAACCTACTTGTAGGGGGAAAATGAGAGTGGGAGAGAAAAGGAAGACGAAATGGAGAGAAAGAGGAGAAAAAAAGAAGAGAGAGAGATCCTTTAGCCAATGGATTCAACCCAACTTCTTTATCCACCCACCCACTCCAGAGTAAACTCATTGCTATCTTTTTCAGAGGGAAATTTCCATGTGCCAATGTCAAAGCTTTGAGAACTCAACCTCTGGACAATAATTGTGTCTTAAAGCAGATAACTTGGCAAATCTATGAGACTCTTCTAATCCCACAAAAGTTACAATAGCTAGTGCATTTTTTCAGGTCTGTGACTGAGTAGACACATATTTATTTCCCAAAACATTCAGCCTAGTGAGCTTAAGGAAGTTTTCATGTTTAAGACAGTGCTCTACCAAGAATCAAATACTCCTTAATTCAAATCCCTGGAAGTGTAGAAATGTGTACAGTGTTCTGTTTACAGTCCTTAAATATAACCTAATTAATTTGTGACCAGTAGTTCCTATCTGCATCCTTATCAAAATCAAAAAGTATTATAAATTTTTTATTCTCCCTAGGTTTTGAAATCATTTAGAAAGAAGGAAAAAAGATGAAAGAAATGAGTAAAGGAATATAGAAAGAAAAAAAAGAAAAAGGAGATAATGAGAGATAGACAGAAATACTCCCCAAATTGAGGGAGGAGAGCTTCCCTACACAATCCCTTCTATAGCAAGTGCTTGCTTATCCTACCGTGTAATTTGATGATATGCTCTTCTGTCCTTTGATATTCCATAAGATCTTGAGACTCAAATATAAAAATAAGGGATGGAACTTCTCTATTGAATTCAAGACCTTTTCTACAAACATTTATGAACAAAATCTCCAGTTTAGCAAATAAATTACCAGTAATATTTTCTAAGACAATCTCCAAATCTTGCCTTAAGATAAACTCTTATAAGTAATATTATGGGAACAATATATATATAAAGGTTTTTAAAGCTGTTATTATATACTAGTACATTTTCCCCCTTTGTCAATATTAATATTAACAGTATCTTTGAGATATTAGGTCATCTTATTTAGAGGCAATATTTATTAGTATATTTTTGAGAATGTCATTATTCTTCTTCAAGAGCTGAATTTTATGTGATTTAACTTAATCTGAAGTAACTCCAAAAGAATTAATTACCAGTGTTATAATGGGTAGCAGTCACTAAAATGAAATGTTTCTGGAAATTTTGGCTGCAAGCTGAGTCCTAGGAAGTCATACCTAAAAGAGACCTGAATAGCTCCATCGATTTCATGTTAATGATTTGCATATGGGGTTGTTTTAATAAAGCTTATGTAAAAGACAAAACATAATTCTGGCATTGTTAAAAATAATCTACCACATATTTAATTCTATGAAAATTACATTTAACTTTCAGTGCATCTGAATGCTTTGAATTTTTCTGTATTCCAATATGATTCACTTCCTTAATTTAGTAAGTCTGCCACAATGAATCAAATTATTTGTTCCTGATGATTTGTGTTGTTGTATAGTTGATGCTTCTTCTGCTTTGGTTCACCAATCGCAGCCTTGAATCCAGAGCCTTTGTCTTCCTGGTGCTATTTCTGCACTCCCTCATTACTGTCATGGCTTATGTCCACCTAAATGTGAGGTAACCATTTAGAATTCTTAACTACAAGAAATTCAGGGAAAAAAAATATTCTAAAGATCCTTCAGCTTAATATGTTAATACTGAATTGATCTTTTAATACCTGACTACCCACTGTCTACTATTCCATCAGTGTTGACAATCCCTGTTAATAAAGCACTGACAGTTCACCCAGTTCCCTCTTTCCTTGCCTCTCAAATCACATTCATTTTCCTCATTTCTGACCCACTGTCTACATCATGACCAAATTGCTTTTATTTATTTCCTTCTCTCACTATTTTAGGAAGGACACTCTTATTTACTGTTACATCTGAAACTCCCTTTCCCCACCCAGAGACAAGAGAAAGCATAAGTGAAGGGGGTTTCCCCATGACAATCAGCCAGAGACTCTCTTTACCTACTTAGAGGCACCAGGTGGGCCAGCCTGAGGACGCCCCTTCTTCCGCCTCAGGAAGCACTAGCGGGAACTAATCTGAGCCCCAGAAATACAAGATAAACCACACAGACCAAAATGGCACCACAGAGGCTATGAAAATTAAGTTCTCACTGGAACCAGAGCTTAAAAAGTAGGCTAGGCCATACATGCCAAGCCTAAATAAAGTGACTGCATTAAAAAATAAAATATTTTAAAGGGACTCAGAGACTCCTAACATAATAGTCAAAATGTCCAGGATATAATAAAAAATCACCTGCTTATCACACCAAGAAAAAAAAACTATATGTTGAATGTGAAAAGTCAATCTGTTGATGCTAACACCAAGATGAATCAAGATGAAACATCCATCATAAAAAAAATTTCAATAGCAATTACAATATCTCTTAAGAACAACCTCAGCAAAGAAGAAGTCATAAAAAAGAACCAGAGGGAAAATAGAACTGAAAAGCACAACAATAAAATTTTTTACATAGTAGAGTGAAGACAGAAGATAGAATCAGTGAACAAGATTGATCAATAATTTTTAATAAACTTACCCAGGCTGACCAACAGAGAGAAGATAGAGTAAAAAAAAAAAAATGAACAGAAATTCAGGGACTTAGGGCCAATAACAAAATACCCAACATTTTTATCACATCCTCTCAGAAGAGGAAGAGAAAACCTGTGGATCTGAAAGAACATCCAAGGAAATAATGGATAAAAACTTCCTGGATTTGGTGAATACTCTAAACCTACAGATTCAAGAAACTGAATAAAACCCCCATAAGATGACCCCAAATAAATCCATGCCCAGTCACATTATAATTAAATTGCTGAATACTACGGACAAAGCAAAACACATAAAATTAATCAGAAAGAAATGTCACGTGGCCTATAGGTGAGCATTGTGGTTGTGAATGCTAGTTCTTCCAAACTGATGTTTAAACTTCATCTCCAATGCAGCAGTATTGAGAGGTGGGGCTTTTAAGAGGTGATTGGGTAATGAAGACTCTGCCCTCATGAATGGATTAATCCAATGATGGATTAATAAATTAGCATTTTAGTGGATTAATGTGTTGTTATGAGAGTGGGGATGGAGGCGGCTTTATAAGAAGGAGAACTGAGCACACTCAGCCCCCTCGCCACGCGATGCCTCCTGCTGCCTTGGGAATCTGAAGAGACTCCCCGGCAGCAAGAAGGCCCTCACCAAATTTGGCCCCTCAGCCTTGGACTTCTCAGCCTCTGCAACTATAAGAAATACTTTTTTTCCTTTATAACTTACCCAGTTTCAGGAATTCTGTTATAAGAAACAAAAAGAAGGACTAAGGAAGAGAACAGGAGTTCAAATTACAACAGATTTCCCAGTGAAATCATGGAGGCCAAAGGGAAGTGGCATAACACTTTTCAAGGCTAAAAGAGAAATGTCAACATGTAAAGCTATCCTTCAAGGGGAAGTATAAACATTCTCATAGCTACCTGGGAGACAGATACAGGAAGATCACTTGAGCCTAGGAGTTCACAGCCAGCCTGGGGAACACAGTGAAATCCCATCTCAATAATAATAATAATAATAATAATAATAATAAAGAAAAAGGGGGAAGGAAATTCTGACTGTCAGATACTGTCTTCAGACACGAATAAAGTTAATCTTTCAAACAGAAAGAAAATGTTAAAAAGAAGGAATTTTGAGGTATCAGACAGAAAGAACAATGTAAAAAGCAAAAGTATGGGAGCATGTAACAGACTATCCTTTTTCTCATGAGTTTTCTAAATAATATGTGATGGGTTAAACAAAGATTATAACACAATCTGACACTCAAAAAATGATATTTAAATGTGGAGAAGGTAAAGAGACATAAATAAAAATAAAGTTTCCTCATCTCATACAAAGTAGTAAAATGTTAATACCAGTAGACTGTGATGTCACACATATATATTCTAACATTCAGAGCAATATCAAGAAAACTATACAAAGAGATATACTCAAAGATACTATAAATAAATCAAGATTGAATTCTATAAGGTATTTAAGTAATGCACAGGAAGGCAAGAAAATAGGACTGATGGACAAAAAAGGAAACAAACAGAATATAAAATACAAAATGGTAGATCTAAATTTTATTATATCAATAATTACTCTAAATGTAAATGTTCTAAATGTAACAAGCAAAAGGCAGAGATTGACACAGTGGATAAAAAACATAGGACCCAAATATATGTTACTTAAAAGAAATTCATTTACAATTCAAATGCATAGATTAAAAGGATAGAAAAAGATAAATCATGCAAACATTTATCCAGGAAAAGTAGGAATCATTATATTAATGTCAGATAAAGTAAACTTCAGAGAAGAGAAAATTACTAGAGACAAAGAGGGAATTTACAAAATGATAAAAGGATAAATCTACCAAAAAGATATAATAATCCTAAATGTGTATGCACCAAACAACAGAGCCTCAAAATATATGAAGCAGAACCTGATATAACTGAAAGGAAAAATAGACAAATCCACAATTTAGTTGCGGACTTCAACACCACATTCTATGCAAATGATAGAACTACTAGACAGAAAATCAGCGTGGATATAAATCTAAGTGATACAATCAACCAGCAGGACACATATAGAAGACTCCAGCCAACAACAGCAGAATAATACATGGTATCTGTATGCTTTGTTTTGTTTTCTTTTGTTTTGTTTTCAAGCATCCATGGAACAGTTACCAAGAAAATGAAAGAAAATATATATATCCTAATATGCTAGACCATAAAATAAAACGTAACGAATTGAAATCATGGAGTGCATTTTCTTTGCTTTGCTTTGCTTTGCTTTTTTTTTTTTCTTTTGAGACAGAGTCTCGCTGTGTTGCCCAGGCTGGAGTGCAGTGGCATGATCTCAGCTCACTGCAAGCTCCACCTCCCAGGTTCACGCTATTCTCCTGCTTCAGCCTCTCAAGTAGCTGGGACTACAGGCGCCCACCACCACGCCCGGCTAATATTTTGTATTTTTAGTAGAGATGGGGTTTCACCATGTTAGCCAGGATGGTCTCAATCTCCTGACCTTGTGATCTGCCTGCCTCGGCATTTTCTGATCATATAAAATTCCATTCATAATTTTTTTAATACTCTCAGACTTACATCTAACATCATATTTAATGATAAAAAGCTCAATAACATTCTCCTGAGATCAAGAACAAGGCAAGGATGTCCACTCTCACCACTCTAATTCAACACAGAATTGGCAATTCTGATAACTGCAATAAGGCATGAAAAAAATACATAAAAAGCACATCAATTGAAAAGAATGAAGAAAACTAGCCCTATTTACAGATTACATTATTTTCTACATAGGTAATTTCAAAGAATATACAAGAAAACACCTAGAACTGAAAGCTGAGTTCATCAAGTCTACAAGGTACAATTTCAATACCAAAAACAAAATCAATCATATTTTGAAATATTAACAATAAGCATATGAAAATCAGAATTAAAAACCTAGTATCATTTGCAATTAAGCCAAAGAAAATGATATATTTAAGTATAACCTTAAGAAAACACATGTAGGCTCCACATACTAAAAATTTTTAAATACACATGAAAGAAATAGAAGAAGACCTAAGCAAATGGAGCCCTCGTGTTCTACAAGAATCAACATAATAAGATGTCAGCTCTCCTCAGTTTGATCTATAGCTTTAATGCAATTTCTATCAAAATCCCAGCAAGGTTTTGTGTAGACATAGACAAGTCTATTCTAAAATTTACATGAAAAAGTACAGGTTGTAGAATAGCTAAAATAATCTTGGAAAAAAAAATAATGTAGGAGTAATTGCTCTTCCCAGTTTTTTTGGTAAGTTTTCCCAATATTAAGCTTCCTCTACAGCTACAGTAATCAAGGCAGCACAGATTTGGCAGAGGGATAAACAGATCAATGAAAAAGCAAAGAACTCAAATGCACACAAACATACCCAATGATTTTTGACAAAGGTGCAAAAGTAATTCATTGAAAAAAGTATGGCCTTTTTAACAAATTGTGTTAAAACAACTGGACCACCATAGGCAAAAAAATGAATAAGCCTCAATGTAAACTTCATACAATAACTAAACCACCTCCAACAGATCATAGACTCAAAAGTAAAACATAAAACTATAACTCTTTTAGAAAAAAATAGGCAGAAATTTTCAGGATCTAAGGCTAGGCAAAAAGTTATTTGACTTAACACCAAAAGTACAATTCATAAGAGGAAATATTGACAATTCATAAAAGGAAATATTGACAAATCAAAATTTTAAAATTTTTGCTCTGTGAAAGATCTTGTTAAGTGAATAAAGAAAATAACGTACAGGCTTAGAGTAAATATTTGCAAACCACATATCTTTTAAATGTCTAGTATATATAGCATCTCAAAACTCAAAAGTAAGGAAAAACAATGTAAACTGAAAATGGGCAAAAGTCATGAACAGACATTTCACCCCAGAGGATATGCAGATGGCAGATAAGCACATGAAAAGATTTTCAGCCACAGGAGCCATTAGGGAAATGCAAATTGAAACCACCATGAGCAATCTCTGCACCCTATCAGAATGGCTAAAAGATAAAAGAGTGAAAACACCAAGGACACAAAAAAAAAACCCTGATCATTTATACATTGCTGGTGGAAATGTAAAATGTACAGACCCTCTGAAAAACAGTTTGGCAGTTTCCGACAACACTAAACATACAATTACTATGTTGCCCGGCAATTATACTCTTTGACATTTGTCCCTGAGAAATAAAAATTTATTCACGCACAAACCTCTACAGGAATATTCCTAACTCAGATGTCCTTCAGTGAGTGAATGGTTCTGCAAACTGCAGTGCATCCATACCATGAAATACTACTCAGTCATGAGAAAGGAATGAATTATTGATACATGCAACAACTTAGATGAATCTTCAGGAAATTTTGTTGAGAGTGAAAAGCCCACCCAAGAGGTTATAAACAGCGTGATTTCATTTATATAGCATTCTTGAAATGACAAAATTATAGAAATAGAGGGAAGATTAGTAATTGGCAGGAGTTAGGGATGCCAGGGGAGAGGGGCTGCAGTGAAGAAGGTTTGTTTAGAAAAGGGTGACATGAGGGAGTCTTGTGCTGATGGAACTGTTCTGTAGTCAGTCTGTGGTGATAGATATACGAACCTACACATGTGGCAAAATTGCATAGAACTAAACACGCACACACATCACCCAAAAATGAGTACAAGTGAAACTGAGAAATCAGATTAAGGTCTGTGGATTGTGTGAATATCAATATCCTTGCTGTGATATTGTCCTATGGTTTTGCAAGATTTTACCATTGGAAAAATTGCATGATGAGTAAAAAGGATCGCTATGTTATTTCGCAGAGCTGCATGTGCATCTACTGCTTTTGTAAAATAAATAGTTTAATTTGTTAAGAAGATATTGCAAAAGGGAAGAAATAAAGAGAAAATTAAGAAATTGCCAGTAGGATTAGAGAATTAGAGACGGTTCAAGTAATAGAAAGAAGATAATATCGTTAGGTCTTAATTGATTTGGACACGGGGAATAAAAAGGAGAGAGAATTGAGGATGGAGCCCGAGTTTCACGGCCCCAGAAATGGGTGTCTGCAGGTGCCACTAACCAAGAAAGAACAGCCTGAACACGTTGGGTGGGGACTGTGCATTCAGCTGGCAACTGTAGGACAGTGTTTTGAACCCACATTTCTCTATCACTGATGTGTCCCACAGACTCCATGAGTCAGCATAGCCACAGTGGAAGGGGTGGTGCACCACAAGTATTTCACCCCACTCCCTCGCCTCCCATAACCCCTTCTGATCAATCACCCTGTCCTTAATTCTCCTCCCCAATGCTTCTTTAATCTGCCCATGCCCGTGTCTGTTCAATCACATGCACTCCCTCAGTTCACACCATCACCCGTCATGTAGGGTACTTCAAAGATTCCTGGCTATTCTCCTGATCTTCAGAATCAGCCCCTTTCAATCCATTATCCCAATAACAACTAGAGTGATCTTTCTAAAATGTAAATTGAACTGTTATCTCCATTGGCTTTAGGAAAAAATGGAAAATTCTTAGGTCAGCCTATAAAGAAAGTACTAATAGGAAACATTTTTGAAATATGTGAGCCCCCCTGTATCTATTCCCCTTTCTTGAACACCCTAATCTCCTTTTAGGGAATCCCTCCCTGCATTGTGTGCATTTGGGGTAGGACGTTAATCCAGGCACCTGCTCTTTTGCTGTGGAAGCTCAGGCGTCTCCTCCAGGCTCCAGTGGCCAGATTCCGACCCTCACTGCGTGGATACATCAAAGGGGCAGGCACTTGGCTGAGGCAAACTTTGCCAGCCAGACTCTCTCTCTCCTAAAATGTAGAATCTATGGAACAAATGCAAGAAATGAAAACCTAATGGGCATCAACTCATTCACTCCACCCAGAAGCCCCGGGGGCCATTGGGCAATTCCTGCTACAAGACCCTCTGGAGCTTCCTGGTTTTTATCTTTCCTTTTCTTTAGTCTTCCCTTTAATCCTGTGAGCTTCCCCATATACTTCCAGCAAATATGATTTTAGCTAAGTTAGTAAGAAGCAGTTGCTGGTGCTGGTGACCAGAGAGCCCTAACTAATATCATAACCCCTGCCCTGGCCCTTGTAAAGCTCCACTGCCATATTTCATGTTCACTCCCAGCACCACCTTCCCTCAAGTCTGTCTTGCCACTGTGCCAGACAGTTTGCAGCAGTTCTTGAATTTCCTGGATTTTGCAAACACTATGGCTTAACCTTCCAGTCTCAGCTCAGATATCACCCTCTTTGGATAGTCTCACCTGACTAGCCCTCCCACTCCAATCTAACCTGGATTGTATATACTTCTCTTCCTATAACATCCTGTCACCATCGCCATCATGGCCATAGGAGACTGTGTAATTTCTCGCTTCCTTGCCCAAACCCAGCTGCCAAATAGGAAATCCTTGGGGTCAGGGACTGTGTATTTTGCAACATTGTTTTCCAGGGCCTATCCCAGTGCGGACACAGTGCACATTCGGCACATCTTTGTTAAATCCGTGTGTCAAGCAAGGAAGAAGGTGGGACTGTCCTATGGACAACTGGGCTATAGAAATCTGAGTTTCAGAAAAGCGCTCAGAGCCAGAGATGAATATTTAGGTGTCATCAGAGTCGGAAACTTAATAACACTCAAAAAATAGAAACAAAAGAAAGAGGGGGCAGGGAGGGAGCAGGAAAAAGGAGAAGTCTTCCGAGAAGGGCGGAAGGGAGGGAGGGAGGGAGGAAAAGAAGGGGTAATACCATCTAGAACAGCAACATATCAAGGACAGGGATGAGGGGAATGGTCTAAATGCCTGAGAAGAAACATGAGAAGACAAGGCAGGAAGGGAGCAGAGTGCAGAGCTCAGGGAAAGCTGGAGGAAGTCAAGCATGTGTGGCCCTTCAGATGCGCCCCATAGGTAGAGAAGACTGGGTGTTTGCTTGTGAGGAAAGCATTGCCTTGGCAGGTTTGGTTGGTGGAGGTAGAAGGCGAGTTGAGGAGTGACAGTTCACTGTCAAGGACAGGAGAGAAAGAGGACAAAGATCATGGGGCTAACAGGGTTGTGGGGGTTTTCATGGGATGAGAAAACATTGAGGA
The DNA here is from genome assembly GCF_000001405.40 of Homo sapiens. Classification (NCBI taxonomy): domain Eukaryota; kingdom Metazoa; phylum Chordata; class Mammalia; order Primates; family Hominidae; genus Homo; species Homo sapiens. Next base: position 76,205,637 of record NC_000018.10, read on the forward strand.
AACTGAAATGCCGGGAGGAAGGAGCCAATAGAGGATGAGAAACTGAAAACAGAAAGAAAAGTAAAAGGGGATGGTATTATGAATGGAAAAAGATCTGCAAAAAGATGGGAAGAAAATGGATTCATGCACAAATGAAAGGGAGACACTTCGCTGAAAAGAGAGAGTAAGAGGTGAGAGTGGACGTGAACTTGAGGATTGTTGAGGGGCATACGCTTCCAGGCGTCAACGTTTCCTCTGTGTGATCAGTCATTTGTAGAAAGACTGATCTGGGCAACGTGGCAATGCTTCAATAGATTGGCAAGGTGTTAAAGTTTCAGGGTGAGTAATGAAGATATTGTAATCCAAGGAGATTTTTTAAATGTTGCCAGGTATCCCTGAAAGTTGAGCAAAAATGCTGTGCCACCCAGCAGGGCTGGGTCGTTCTCTCCAGCAGACTCCAGAAGCCTGGCGTGCAGGCAGACTCCAGGGCCCGGCGTGCAGGCAGCAGAGTGGACTCCCGAGCCCTCAGGATGAGCCAGCCCAGGGATGGGCGGCAGACTTTCTGACCCCCCTTCTGTGTTTGTAAGGACTTCTGAGCTCTTGGATGTCAGCCAACATCTAGCCAAACCCCCATTTTGCTGTATTTTTGATTCTACACAATCAGTTTCCTACAATGTTTCTAGTCTACTAACAAAGCTTATTCATTGTCCTAGCAGCAGAAAAGATTCCAAAATTCATGTTCTCCATAATTCAGACCAAAGTCAGCACCATGGCAGGTGCGGGTAATTTGGCCAACTCGCTGGCCATGATTCCGCATGTTGTAATCCATCATCATTATGAGCTGCATTCACGTTTCTTTCTTTGGCGTAACGTTTGAAATGCAAAGGGATTGTTAGGACAGAGAGAGATGAACCAATGAGATATCAAGACTCAAATATGTGCTTTGTTAGAAATGAAAATGGAAATATGATTCCAGGGGAAAAAGGACTTTGTTGCAACGTGGTCACACACTCCTTTCAAAACATGAAAAATAAATTCACCCTCAAGAAAAAGAAGAAAAATGAATCTGACAGATTCATTCTCTCCTATCTTGAGGTTTCTCCTCTGAGCCTATGCATCAAGGATCAGTCTGAACAAGCAAGGCCATGCCGTCAGGAAAGATAGCCTGCGCTTGCATTGTTCCGAATGTGTCCTCTCTTGGATAGTCAGTGCTTTTAACTCAAATGTGATTAAGTGGCTTGTCCCAGAAATGAAAAAAAGTCAGCTTCCAGCCTAAACACAAATAGATTATAGACTCTGTTAGTATCACTCTCATTCCCTACGTTCACTACAAATTTGAATTTTCATACCTTTGATTATATTTCTAATGCAGAAGGGAAACAAATATCCCACAGTTGTCCATTAATTACAAATTCTTTCTTGTAGTCTTTTGACGTGTGGCAGAATTATGCATTCTGGACTGCAGTAGAATTATAGAATATGGGCAGAGATTTTCCAGATTATCAGGCCAATGCCCTGAGATTGTAGATGAAGGAAGGGATGTGCACAAGGCCCACAGCTAGGTTTTTCCTACCGGGACAGTTTCCACCACATCACACTGCCCATTAGCTGGAACACAAAGAAATTTAAGCACCTCGATTTAGCTGACATCTGTCTTTGATTGCTTTTATCAGGTAGATTTTTCACGTACCAAAATGTACATATGGATAAACCATGACTAGGACACAGGAGCCACTCAATAAATACTTGTTAAATGCTTCCTGAAATCGGTGCACATGAGAACCCCTTTGATCTCATTGGGAGTCTCAATCACAAATGACTTTCAGACATAAAAGAAATCTTGACAGCGTCGCTAAGGATCATAATACAGTTTGTCAATTTGTTACAGAATTATCCTGACCATTTCCGAACCAAATTTTGGAATACTAAGTCTAACAATGGACTTTTCTGATTTATGAACTAATTGATATAAATATTCATCATTTCATTATACTGTTAGTGAATCGTTTTACTGGAAAATTTTTAAATTACTTGGAGTCAGAACTATCTCAGAATGTACAAAATATCTATAAGGCAAGATCACAAGATCCAATCACAAGTCAGAGTTAAACAACTTGAACTTCACGATGCTCATTTTTGAGTCATACTCATCTCCAAAGGGATATGATTTGGAAAATTGCACAGCACTCAAATTTACCATGTAATGTATAACTCTCCACGCATACACCAGTTCAAAGAGAGAGATCGATGGTATAATATCATTATCTTAAGCCTACTATAATTTGCCATTAATTTCATCTTTCTCTTACATATGGAGAGAAGTAAGGTCCATTCATAATGTCATAGCATGGTTTAATCCCTTCTCATTAAATAGTTTTTAGCCCATGGATCCATTTTTGAGTATTTATCTTGTAATCTGCCAGGCTACACAAAGACTGTGAGGTTTTCCTGATGGATATCCAGGCCACCTTCTTACCTATGAAAATCAAGTGTCACATTCACTGTTACTCCCCAGATGGAAAGCTACAATACACCTTAACAATTTTAGATAGATTTCCAAGTCAAGACCGTATCAAGATGATATAAAAAGTTTGAAGATGTCTGAAGAAATAATGAAATCACAACATTCTTCTTTCTTCCAAGGTACACAAATCGGCTAATTATTACTGTGCTGAACTCACTGCCCGGAAATGTTGTATGTCTAGAAATAGAAGCCAGTCACTTATAACATAGAAGCTACAGAAAGGATGACTGATTGGGACTGGGAAAGGGGGTACTTCAAGCTTATTTTCCAAAAGAAACTCAGGAGGAAGCATTTAGAAGAAGCCGGCTCCACCTAGCTTTCCTACTAACCTGTTACTAGCTAGCCGCTTAAGTCAGATAACCTCCCGTGTCCTCCCATGCAGGAGAGTGACAAACTCAGAAGGGAAGTAAAATTATGGCGAACTTCCAGCGCCAATATTCTATGGTTTGCTATGTTTCAAATTTAGTGCACAATGTGAAAATGTTATTTAAAACCGATGTTGGTGAAGACACAATAATGGCTGACAGAAAACAGGTGTCCCACACGCCTGTGTTGGACGAGTAGCCAGTGTGGACAAGACAGGGCCCACAGACCAGGGTGTCAGCTGCTGAGGAGCCCCTGAGTGGTCTCCCTTGAGTACCCAGAGAAAACCCCGGGTGTCTCTGGAGAGGGGCCGGCCCGACACGACATGACATAAGCGAGCATCAGCACATGCTTTCGTTTTTATGAGAAATGCCTTCCCCTAAAACACTGTGGGGACTTCCTACAGGGCTTGTATTTTTGCTACCAAGCTATATTCGTTCTGTTTCAAATGTTTCCTTCCTCCTCTCTTCTGCCCCCTCCCCCTTTTTTAATTTAACTAGAGAAAATGACATGTTAATTTCAGCTCCACCTCTGCTGGGTCATCGTCAGGTCAGCAGATTAGAGACAAACGGGAGAAAGGAGGCAGCGGCTCCAACAGCAGGGCAGCCTGGCCCGCATCCATCATGCTGTGAGCGCACAGCAATGACAGGCATCTGTCAGAATGCAGGGGGGCGCCTCATTAACAGCCGCTCACCTGCCCTGAGCTACACCTCGCTTATAATAATATCGATCATTCACTCTAAGGTGTTGCTTTTTTCCATTCGGTGGAGGAAATAGCAAGCATTCTCTTTCCCCCGCTCCCCGCTGGAGTTCACAGGCTAAGTCTCTTGGAGAAGGGAAGAAGGGGTGGCTGGGATGGGGAGAGGACAAGAAGAAGGCAGTCCTGGAAAGGGAAGGATGACATCACAAAAGAAAAGAAGGCGTCTCAGTCTACTGTCAGAGATCAACCGATGGATCGGATCACCTGGATGTTGAGCCATCCACATGCAAACCAAGGAAGGAGAGTGTGAGCTCCTGGCTGGAGAATTCGGTCAGGAACAAAGACACCTCCCCATTGTCCTTCACGAGGGATTTCCCTGGACAGAAAGATTCTAAGATCAACCCTTAGCTTTTCACGTTGTTTCTTGTAAACATGAATAATTTGAAAACAACAAAATTTTGATTTTGATGAGCTTGTGAATCTACCACTACTTGTTTGTACTAAACACAAGCACTTTTTCTTTCATCATGTCTGTCTCTAGCTCACAAGGGTGATGTGATCATCTTACGTGTAAAAGAAAACCGAATTTCACTTCTGGTGGTGACTATTGTCTGATTCATCATTACAGTAACCACCCAAGGAAACCCTGCCCACAAAAAGCATTCTTCTGGAGAAGGTTGGTTATTCATACAAAACTAAAGTTAATTATGTTCCCCCAAAGAAGCACTGTCAGGAGAGGTGTGTCTGTGTGTGTGTGTGTGTGCACGCGGGCGTGTGCACAAGCACACGCCTGGGCAGTCTCTGGTTCTGGGAATGTGTGCATTTCTCTTTTTTTTAATTAAATTTTTTGAATAGGTTTAGGGGGAATAGGTGGTGTTCGGTTACATGAGTAAGTTCTTCAGTGGTGATTTCTGAGATTTTGGTGCACCCGTCACCCAAGCAGTGTACACTGCACCCAGTGTGTAGTCTTTTATCCCTCACACCACTCTCACCCTTTCCCCCAAGTCCCCAAAGTCCCTTGCATCATCCTTATGCCTTTGCATCCTCATAGCTTAGCTCCCCCTTATCAGTGAGAACATACAATGTTTGGTTTTCCTTTCATGAGTTACTTCACTTAGCATAATGGTCTCCAATTCCATCCAGGTTTCTGCGAATACCATTATTTTCTTCCTTTTTATGGCTGAGTAGTATTCCATGGTATATAGATATACATATATATACCTGTATACATGTATTATATATGTATTATATGCATGTATTATATATATGTGTGTTATATATATACATGTATTATATATACATATTATATATGTGTTTATATATACACATATATGTATTTTATATATATAGATATAGATATAGATATAGATATATATCACATTTTCTTTATCCACTCATTGATTGATGGGCATTTGGGCTGTTCCATATTTTTGCAATTGTGAATTGTGCTACTATAAACATGTGTGTGCAAGTGTCTTTTTCATATAATGACTTCTTTTCCTCTGGGTAGACACCCAGGAGTGGCATGTCTCTGATGGGCAATGAATAAACCCTTGACAAAGCTTTAATGATAGGCTCAGAGCTTAAACCTGGGCCACCATCCAGAGTTGACCATAAAAGACGAAAAATTCTTATTCTTCTACTGTAGGGGAATTAAAAACATGGACGTGCATGCACATGCACACGCACACGCACACAATCAGCCCTTTTTAACTCTTGAAAAAGGAAGCTAACAACATACCTTTTTTCAAGTTGAAAAAGCAACTAAAGACCACTGTAGTTCAAGAGGGTATAGATGATAACACTGGGGCTGAAAGCAGCGAGGTGACCTTTCTGCATTCGTACAAACCAGAGGACGACAGAGCTGAAGTTTTAGCAGGTCCATGGCTCCTCGGTGTCCCACTTATAAATGAAGGAAAGATACACGTCTGTGGCAGTAAAGACTAATAACAAAACAAGTCGGTGGCAAACACATATGAGAAGGGGATGAGTTCAAGTTTCTCTCCTGGTGATGTGGCAAGGCCAGGACCAAACACAGCCGTGCTAGAGACAAGCTTCCCACTTCCGGAGCCTGCAGAAAAAATTCCCAGCATCTCCTCACACCTTACCTTCCTGTGGAGCTGGAGGGGTGACTCAAGTGTCCTGGGGGATCAGGTCACATAAAGAAGGGTGCTCCTCTGCTGAAGGGGTTCAGCCCCCGAGGGGAGACTCCTCCACCGAGGGCAGGAGTTCTTCCGTGGGAGGCCACTGCCCACAGAAACTGCAGAGCAGGGTTTCTCTACTGAAAAAAGAGCCATTCAGAAGTGCAATCCCTTATCTGCAATTACAAAACCCCAAAAGATTCGAAAACTGAAAATCTTTTCCTAGCCCTTTTTGCAGCAAAATCTGACCTAACTTTAACTGACGTGAGATTCTTTACTTGTAGTTTTTATTTATCCTAATTAGAGTGACCATTCCTACATTTGACTGCAACTATATGCGTGTGTGCGACCAGAACGCTGCCTCTGACTCAACTGGAAGCATGATTTAGGATGCAGTACATGCACCACATCATTTTTCTAAAATCAAAAAGATTCTGAATTCCAACACCCGTATGGCCTTGATGGTTTTAGCTCAGGCATTGGAAACTCACTCTCTCCGTCACCTCGGATCTGAAGGGATTCTGCACATTTCTGTCTAGACATCTGCTGACATCCCATCATTCCTACAGAAGACAAAACAACTACAAAAAAATACATGGTTTGCATCATCGTGTCTATTTTGTGGTTTCTGGTACCCCCATGTTGGAATTGCCCATCAATTACTGTTGTTCCTTCTTTTCCAGATAACAAATGAAGGTCTTGGTTAATAACAGTTCTGCCAGGAACACTGTGTTAATATAAACTCAGATGGAACAAAATCTTCCTCTGAAAATGAGCTAGCTCCTAATGATGCCACCATCGGTTACTTCTGTGGAAATTGCTAAGCTTATTTTGTGGATAAGCTTGTGGGATCCAATGGGAATAGTATCCCCAGAGGAAAGGCAAGAAATTGCATGGATATTAGCTTGGCCAAATCTTCATGCGTCCTTCTCTGATTTGCAAAAAGTCACTATCACAGTTGCTCTAAGGGGAAAAAATAAAATATAGGCCTTCCCCAATTCTACTTCCTGAGAATTTAATCTATATCACACAGGATTAAAATATTGATTTTCCAGGAGGCTACTGGAAGATAAGAGGTGAATTTTGATGCAATAGTCTTACGTGTAAAAGAAAGCCAAATTCCACTTCTGGCGACTATGGTCTTATTTACCATCTCTGTATTTTTCCCTGCCACTTGCCTCATCCCTTTATGCTTCACAGAAATTATTTTCAAAACTTCCTATTTTAAATCAACCACCTGGATGTCTGAAAAAGATTCTTTCCAATCGCAGGGGGGAATGATCCTTTCTAAAACACAATCCAGATTCATTATGCAGCTCTTTATGTCTTCTTTATGTACAAAAAAAATCGAAAATGCACACACTACACACGTTTTATTTTTTTAATAAGTGTCTCTCTCTCTCTCTCCCTACATCTTGTCACTCTTCCTTCCTCTCTCCTCTCTCTCCCCCCAGCTCCCTCTCTCCGGCTCCTTCCCTCTCTCTCTCCCCAACTATTTCCCCATCTCCCTCCTTCCTTTCTATTCCTCTCTCTCCCCTTCTCCCTCTTTCTCTCCCTCTCTCCTCTCTCTTTCACTCTCCCTCTCCCTCTCCCTCTCTCTTCCTCTGTCTCTCTTCCTTTTCTCCCTCTCTTCTCTGTCCCTCCCTCCCTCTCTCCCTCTCTCCCTCTCTCCCTCTCCTTAATTGCCAGGCCTTTACAAACCCATGCCTGCGAAAGAAACACCCGTCTATTGCCTGTCAAACAATGCCTGGCTGGGAAAGCTATTGGGTTTATAGAAGAGACAAACATTTCAGGCATGCCATTCTGGGGTAATGAAGCATGGCAACAAAATATACCTGTGCAACATTTGATAAAGATGAGCTGACACGCCAGTCCAAATAGGCTCTTTTGTGTGTCTGCACGTGTCTACCATCATTGCTTTCATCTTAAAACAGGAAGGTAGCAATAACCGCAGCAGCTGGCAGGGACCATAAGGGGGAGAGCAGCTCACACAATTAAACGTCGTTTACCTCTGGCCTTTATTTCACTCCCACTACCTTTAATTTATTATATGTTTTCTCCCTTTCTATGCACAAAAAAAAAAAAAGTGGCTCAATTTTTCTTTCTTTCTCTTGCTATCTCATTCCTTTTACAGGGCATTGGAGAAGACAATAGGCAAAATCCCTGGGTGTTTAGCATTGGATTTTAAGTTAAAATGCTTCTTAGAGGGGATTTTATGGCTTTTATTGTTGTTTGATTAATGCAAACCAAAATTAAATCCTATAGTTACACATGGTACATCAGCCAGAGAGAAGGCCAACTGTACTTGCTGCTTGAGTATACAGAAAACATCTTTGGTTGCTTAATCTTCAGACAAACAAAGGGTTGGGGGAGAGAAGGAGAAAGAAAGGGAGAGGGAGGGACGGAGAAACAGAGATGGAAAGATTGGAGGTTGATCTGCAGACCAGCCAGAAAGTGAGACAGGAAGATGCAGAAAATTCAGTGGCCCACATATGAGCTGGAGAATCATTTCTGGTCACTCATCTTATCTGAAGCCAAAACACTGTTCATTCTGGGTTGGATTCTTTTGTTTCTCCGCTCCTCCTTGGGGACTGTCATGGACACCACCCGTGGTATCCCACACACAGGTGCCTAGCATTGAGTGACCACCGGCCTTGGCAGGCAGGACTGAGAGACCACAGAAGGGGTCTTTCCTGCCTCCCTGGCTACTTTCTATAAAGCTGACTTCACAAAGGCCTATACAGGATATTGCCTTTCTCCTATTTTACAGAGAAGCACATCCTATTTATAAAAGCAATGCAGTGAAACTGAAAGGGCATAATAGCCACTCTGTATTATAAAGCTCTTCTGTTGAAAGAGCTGGACAAAGTGCCTTGGGTTATTTGATTTTTTTCTCCTTCTTCTAATGGCAGTAACAGTTTTTGGTGACACACATGATGGCAACAATGAACGCTTTGTGGCACGATGACCTCTATGAAAAAGAGAGATATACAGGTTTTGCTTTTGTTCACTCAACTAATTACCAACCTTTCATTATACCTCTACTCGGACATCTAAACTTCAGTTAAGCTCTATGTTTAAGTGGGATGGATCTTCAATTTGCCTACCTAAGGGTAAGATGTCTCTAAACGGCATGCAAAATAATTTGGGGTAAGGAACATTTTTTATTCCCCTCAGACCTTGTACAATGATAGTCTGTACTCAAGACAAAACCTTGGCTAGAGAAATTAAAGAGCAGGTGCTTGGAGTCTGGGCACAGTGGCTCACGCCTGTAATCCCAGCACTTTGGGAGGCTGAGAGGGCAGATCACGAGGGCAGGAGATCAAGACCATCCTGGCCAACATGGTGAAACCCCATCTCTACTAAAAATACAACAATTAGCTGGGTGTGGTGACAGGCACCTGTAGTCCCAGCTACTCGGGAGGCTGAGGCAAGAGAATCACTTGAACCAGGGAGTTGGAGGTTGCAGTGAGCCGAGATTGCGCCACTGCACTCCAGCCTGGTGACAGAGAGAGACTCTGTCAAAAAAAAAAAAGAGCAGGTGCTTGGGATTTGCTATTGAAGAATCTGGGTTTGAATATTTGCCCTGCTACTTGTTAATTGGGAAAAGTGTTAATATGGTTGCACTCCTGCTTCCTGTTTTATAAAATTAGAGGAAGACTCTAGACCCATGATAGGAGATGTTGGAGAAAATCAAATGAATAATGAATGTAAAAACACTTTGTAGCCTGCAAAATGCTATACATAGGTTCATTTGTTTTTTACAGTTTTTAAAAGTAGTTTTATAAATAAAGGTAAATTCCAGAAATGATTACATAATTAAATTGTGTTAAAACTTGGAAACTTAATGATTAAAAAAAAGAAAAAAGGCAATACACCTACAAATTGCAGTGCTTTAGGCCTTCTGGAGTCTTCAGTTTTATAAAATTCCCAGTTATTTAAGGCTTCTATCTTTTCAAAGTCATTACATCCACTCCATTCTTTTAATTTGCAAAGTAATGGTGAAGATATCCCTGGAGATTTACAGGAATGGAAACCTTCTAATGGAAGTCATTTAGTGAGTTGACTATTGTTTTATTGGTAATAGGAAACACACTCCTGACAGGAGGAGATGTAGTTTGGGGGAAACTGCATAAACTTATCAAAAAATTAGCCCATTTCTTAACCACAAGAAAATAGTGGAGTTAACAGAAATTCCTAAGGTAAATTAAGAGGCTTCATTATTTCCTTTTGTTTCAGATTTGAAGTCAGGTTTACAGAGGCATCATTTTACAATTATCAACTTTGATAAATGCAGATTGTCATGGAACTACCACCAGAATCCAGATAGAGAACATGCTATCATCCCTGTTATATCCCTTTGTGGCTAATCCACCACACTGTTCCATCCACCAAAGTCCCTAGAAGCCACTGATCTGTTTTATGTCCCTCTGGTTTTGTCTTTTTCAAAGTCTGAAATAAATGGAATTGTGGAGTGTGTAGCTTTTGTCTTCTCTCACTTAGAGTAGCCCATTTGAGAGTCATCCACGTATTGCACTATCAGTCGTTTATTCATTTTTTTGAATAGTATTCCATAGTATAAATATTCTGCAGTTATTGATTTGATGGATATCTGGTTTGCTTTTAAATTTTAGCAATTATGAATAAAGCAATCTCCACATTTATGTAAACCCTGTACATTCATTGCTCAAAGTGCAACTCCTGGTGGGTATTCTGCCCCTGAAACTCAACATGGACAGGAGTTTGTATTAATAGATACTTTCATTTCTCTTAAATACCAAGGACTGGGATTGTGAGTTATATAATAAGTGCATGTTTCATTTTAGAAGAATCTGTTAAATTGTTTTCCAAAGTCGCTATGCCATTTTGCATTCCCTGCAGCCATGTATGAGAGTTCCAGTGGCTCCACATATTCACCAGCACATGGTATTGTTGTTTTGGTTCTGTTTTGTTTTGTCAGCAATTTTAATAGGTGTGCACTGGTATCTCATTGTGATCTTCATTTGTGCTTTCCTAGTGACTAGCAACCTTTTATGTGCTAATTTATCACCAATATAGCTTGTCTGGTGAAAGTGCTTTCAAATCATTTGGCTGTGTATTTTATTGAAGTGTTTCTTTTATTATTGAGTTGTGAGTGTTTTCTGTGTAGTCCATATACAAATCTTTTATCAGACATGTGTTTGGAAGATATTTTCTTACAGTGTGACTTGTCTTTTCATTCACTTAACAGGGTCTTCTGAAAACCACAAGTTTTAATTTTTATAAAATCTAATTTTTCCACTTTTATATTCTAACTTATGCTTGTGGGTATGTTTAGTGCTTAAAATTTATTAGAAAGACCCACTTACCAATTAGAGCATCCTTCTTAAACAAACAAAAGTGATCATGAGAATTCCTTAACACAACATTCTTCTCTTCTTCTAGTGAATGTGAAATTCACTAAGGGCACATTGGGATCATGCCCTGTTTTAGCTTCAGTTGGATACCTGGTGGCTTAGGGCTCAGGATTAATAAAGCTAATGACACTAATCCTCACCTAATTATTAATTCAAATGTTCAGAATTTGGTAAATTTAAGAGTAACACGACTGCATAAGATTTATATTGTTCTACCTTTTCAGTTCCTGACTGAGGTTTCTTAATGAAATTTGAAAACAAAGAAATTGATTATAAACGATCTACCAGTGATCCATAAACTTATTTAATGAACAATTCTTATGTACATATATATCTCATTGACATATATTATAAGGATTTATTTTTATTTTTATTGCTCTTTTTTTTTGAAGGGTTCAGCTTACAAGATCCTCCTCAATTAAAGTGTTGATGTCTTGTTTGAAACACAGGTGGGTAGATGCCCAATTTTCTTGTTATGACTATCTGGGTTTCCTCTTTGTACTTACCAACCCTGGCCTCGCCTTCCCTCACTGGAATTCCCTGGAACCGTGCTGGTGCTGGCTCAGAGTTCTCCGGCCTTTCTCCTGTATGTCTCCCATCTCTGCTGCTGCTGATCTTTCCTGTGTTGTTACTCTTAACATTTCAGTTCAGTTTCACTATGCTTCTCGTGACACCTTTACGTACACACTTTCCTCTGACTACTCAGAAAATATATGGCATTTTTCTTGCAATCCATTCTGCATTTTTAATGCTTGTGTAATCCTTGCACAGTTCCGGTACCTCATGCCATGATGCCTACTGCTCTGTGCCATTTGTATTCTCTTGTGGTATGGTTGGTCCCTTGAATTTCTCTAGGCAAGTCTTCTTGTGAGTCGTTCACACCAAGAACAGGCAGACCTGAGCTCACCCATCCTCCATGCAGTGGAGCATTCGTGACCCCATCCTCAAGTCTCCTTCTGGTCCCACAGGCTGGCCGGCCACACACACCTGCTGCTGCACTCCATGGCCACAGGCAGGTCTTGGCAATTCACCTGCTCTCCGCAATCAAACTGAGTGCTATGGAAAGCCCAAATCCCACCGGGCACAGTAGCTCACACCTATAATCCCAGCACTTCAGGAAGCTGAGGTGGGTGGATCACCTGAGGTTGGGAGTTAAAGACCAGCCTGATCAACATGGAGAAATTCCATCCCTACTAAAAATACAAAATTAGTTGGGCATGGTGGCACATGCCTGTAATCTCAGCTACTCGGGAGGCTGAGGCAGGAGAATCACTTGAACTTGGGAGGCAGAGGGCAGAGGTTGCAGTGAGCCAAGATCACACCATTGCACTCCAGCCTGGGCAATCAGAATGCAACTCCTTGAAAAAAAGAAAGAAAGAGAGAGAGAGAGAGGGAGGGAGGGAGGGAGGGAGAGAGAGAGGGAGGGAGGGAGGAAGGAATGAAGGAAGGAAGGAAGGAAGGCAGGAAGGAAGGAAGGAAGAAGAAAGTCCAAATCCCAAGAAACACCTGATGTATCTGCTACCTACACCCTGTCTCCCTTCATCCCCCACACTCACAGCTGTTTAGCAGAGGAATCCCAGTGACACCCCGGGTCCCAGAGAAAAGCCTGCCCTGCCTTCCAGTTCCAGTGCATGAGGCATGAAGCCGACTGTTCAGGAAGTCAAGACTTATTTGTGAAACGAAAGGCAGTGGACCCCTGTGTTGCTGCTGGTGGGGAGCCCAGTAGGTGGGATGCTAGTCCAGCCCCTTTGGCAGTGGCGGATTCTCCAGATGGACTTAGTCACCTGATGCTTGGCAAGACTCGGCCCCAGCTACCCCAGTGGGAGGGGGTTGTGGACAATGGAGACACTCAGAATGATTGACCAAAATGGTTTTGAAACCTCTAGACCAAGGACCATTAATCTGAAAATGGCTCTGACTCTATTTGATTTCAATAGAAAGAAACGGCTCCTTTTGAAATGGATAGTGACAGCCAAGCTCAGAGATAACAGACTGGCAATGACAAGACTCTACTTTTTAAAACAAACAACAGAAAACCTTCCCTAGCTGTGTTTGGACAGTTTCACTCTGTTGATTTTTAAACCATCATGAGAGTTGATCACATTCACTTCCCCACCTGCCCTCCCTCCATTGGCGCCCAGACCTGCCACCCAACTTCCTGGAAGGTCAGAGGGATCCCGACCAGGAGAGAGGATACTGGAGCATGGGGGAAAGCAGGGAGAGGGTGCACTGGGTGCAGAGAAACCAGGGGGACCCGAAGGGGACACAAGCTAGGCAGTCCCCACAGGCCCTGCGCCCTTCACCCCTTCCACATGCTAGGGAAAGAAACCATTGTGTGAACAGAGGCAATACTGTATGAAGGGAGGAAAGGCGACGAAAAAGAATTTTACATGGACCTTAGAGAGGAAAGGAGGAAAGGAATCTGGTGTGTGTATGTGTATGTGTGTGTGTGTGTGTGTTCGTGTACATGCACAGGTACACGTGTTTTAGCCCTAGACACGTGGCCTATCAGAAGGACATGAGACAAGGTCAGGAATGAACTCCCCTTTGAATCACCCTTAAGCAGGCAGACGAATTAGGACTGATTTATGAATGTATTTCCACAATTTACTTGAAAATTTGTAATGTCTGTGCAGCCTGGCAAGAAAAAAAAAAGGCGAGGCACTGTGAAGGAATGCTTCTGCTCCACTTCATTGTAAAATTATCCCATGCTACCTGCTCTAATCCCCTGAAAACAAATTAAATCCTCACTAAGCTGACTTTAAATCAATAGTTTCATTTAAGAATAGTGTGACTTAATAAAAATAAAAAACTAACTGGTCCAGCCAATTTAAGAGGGAAATAAATCATTGCCCAAAGAAAAATAGCAGATTTGACTTGTATATGGGCCCTGGCTCTGTTTAGAAGGGAGAGGTGGTGTCTAAATTAACTCTGGCTGGGGAAGAAGCTCATAGACCCATTCAGAAACTCACTTTACCATGCACATCCCAGGAATAAGGAGGCCAGCCACCCCCAAAATGGGAAACAGCATCTCAGTCTATATTTTGAAAAATGTAACCACTAAAAAATAGAAGATGGCATCCTCGGAAGCATCCTGGCAACCCTGAGACTGCAGCGCTCACATGTGAAGACCAAGAAACCCATGTCTGGTCATGGCAGAAGCCACAAGGTTCCTCTTGAAGATGCACTGGTTAAGGCAACAGTGTCCTCAACAAGCCGGGACAAAGGCAAAATTAGGTGTGCTGGATAAACATCAGTAATTATAATAGGTGCACAATCTATGTGCAATTATTCTTTGGAATAAATCTAAGTGTGGGGTAGACATATTTTTGGCAGTATACAAAGGCCTGACTACCATTTTATGAATAAAGAAAGTCATCTAGAACAAAAGAGTAAGACTCGACACAATAGGGCAAGTAGTTACAGAGAAAAGTCTGAAATCCCATAATTCTAAACTAGCACTTTATCCCATTTAGCAGAGTACTTCTTTACTAATCATATAAATTAGAAAAATGCTTAGGACCCGACGCTTGCTTACTTAATTCATTATGTATTGGGGATATATAAACATTAAAGTGAGTGCCTTCAAAACACGACACATCAATATTATCAGTGTCACTATTGCCACTAACATATTTTAAACATTTAATAATTATACAACGTCAAGTCAGTTACTTACTGACGTTCATTGCAATCGAGCACTTTTATTTATCATTTTGACAATAACAAATAATAAAACATATTCCTTCTAGTAAAAGATTTAAGCCTAAAGAAGCCAGGCAAGACCATTTAGTTCCTTACCATAGTCCCTCTCTCAGAGACTACATTAATTTTCATTTGTTGGCCAGAAAAATACCTGGCCAAATACCTAGAGAAATCAGTGTATGAAGATGGCACAGTTTGGTGGAAACACTCTGGCTTAGACTCAGGCTCTGGAGGCTCAAGTCATGCCCCCACATTTAGAATCCTGTATTGTTTACCTAGTTATTTGACATTCTGGCCTTAGTTTTGTCATCTGTAAGATGGAGGCAATAATACCTGCACAGTTTATGGAGTTATTAGGTGGCCCCAAGCAGGCGATGGAGGGTACTTTGCAAGGTGATACACAAAAGTGAGAAATGACCGGGCCTCCCGTCTGTCCAAGGACAAGCATGGTAATTAATTCTAACTTAGAAAACACTGGCTTCCTATACATTCTCCCAATGTAACCATTCCATGGATGATGGCTCCAGGTAGGACCCTTGCAAAATGTGGTAACTAAAGAGTTTCTTATTGTAGAGCTAAGTAAGGGACAGGCACAGCTATGCCCAGTTTATGTCAAGCCCATGGTTCAGAACGTTGGGTGGCGGGCACAGCTATGCCCACTTCAATGTTGGGTGGTGGTAGCAAGGCATCTGGAAGAAATTATTCCAAACTTGGCTGAACCTGAGCAGTTGGTGAGATGAATTAATGGCTATTTCATGGTGTCAGTCTTGGTCCTGCTGCAAGCAAGTGACCTGACAACTACAAACTAACAACGTATTTGTTTCTATTTGTAGTAAATTAGGAGTGTTTTCCTTTTCTGGAAGGTCAACCCGTTGTTTTCAATACCCACTCAAGTGAAAACTTTCACTACTATGAAGCAATTCCACAGTGGCCGCTCCTTGGAAAGCAGTTTAAAATCATTTTGTGAATGACTTCTCTCACTTTCTCTGGGAGGGAGGCGGGCATTTTATAAATGAAAACGCTAACCATGAGCCAGAGGCCTGGCCAGACTACTGGTAAACGTGATCGCACAACCAAAGAACAGCTCACCACCCCTTACTGCGATTCCCAAACTTGCAGCTTCCGGCAGGGTCTGCTGTGTGCACGGAGCACCCGTCAGCCTGGAGCAGACCTGAGACGCTGGCACAAGAACTGTCATCTGGAGAAGCGTCACCTCCTGTCCGGCTGAGGTTCCACGGGGCTTCTGCCAGAGACCTGAATAAATGTTATAGAACAGCCCAATCTCACTGTCCTCCTTTGTCTTCCAGAAGCCCTTGCCCTGTCCTGAGCTTACTGACATGGCCAAAAGACTGAAAATGCTAACAAGACAGGGAGCCCCCCATCTGCAAATCCTGTTCTTACCCATCAAGCTAAGCCAGCACCTGTACTTGTTCCAGGTTGAGCCCAACAGCAGCCTCATATCCTAAGGCACAGCTCGCTGAGTTCTGAGCCCTCCCAAGGGAAGGTCTTAACCCTAGCTCATCCATTTCCAAAGCTGAGGCCATGAGCCAAGTGTCCCAGGATGCTCTCCACTCTGCCCACAGAGCGAGGTCGCTGGTCTCTGAAGCAAGTCCCAGGTTTCCCACACTTCCCCCATGAGAAGAATTCTGGGGTGCTTGTTAAACATCCAGCTCCCCAGGTATGTACCCTGAAGATTCTGTTTGAGTTGGTCTTGAGTAGGACACAGGAACCGGTGTGTTTAATAGGCACCCAGGGGATAACAATCAAATGTGACTCAAAGCCAGCGCGGTAACCTTGGCTCAGAAACAAGCAAATCTGGCCAGGCGCAGTAGCTCACACCTGTAATCCCAGCACTTTGGGGGACTGAGGTGGGCGGATTACTTGAGGTCAGGAGTTCGAGACTAGCCTGGCCAACATGCTGAAACCCCTTCTCTACTAAAAATACAAAAATTAGCTGGGCGTGGTGGCAGGTGCCTGTAATCCCAGCTACTCGGGAGGCTGAGGCACAAGAATTGCTTGAACCCAAGGTGGAGGTTGCAGTGAGCCGAGATTGTGCCACTGCACTTTAGCCTGGGTGATAGAGAGAGAATCAGTCTCAAAAAAATAAAGAAACAAGCAAGTCAGTCCAGGCTCTTAGACAATTCACCATGAGTTTTGCCAAATTCAGTCCATATGCAGAATGGTGGTACACATGTGGATTTGGTGTTTCAGGGCCCTTGTGCAAGCCATCAAACAGGGCAAACCTGCCACCCTTGCAAAATGTGGTAACTAAAGAGCTTCTTATCAATAAGGGGCATCTATACAGGTCAAGATTTCACATGTGACTATCCCATTCCTAAGGTGACTGTCCAGTGGAGAGCCTCCTGGTTCTTTCATGGCAGGAGTGTCCCAGGAGACCATGCATCCAGAAAACATGACAGAATCAGGTGGGAAAATCAAGCTAGTCTCTGAAGCGGTTTAAACTGAGAAGTTTCCAACCAGGTTTATCGGATGCTGACACGCTTCCCCATGCCTGGCTTTGCTGGACGGTCTGGGGTGTGGTTCTCTCTGCCAGCGTGGCTGCTGCACATCTTTGCTATTAATTTCCAGAGTGAAGAGATAAGGTTGGTGGGGCCACCATGACTTTGTTTCTTTTCTTTTTCTCTAATAAGAAAATTGCTTTCCAACCAGTAGAGAAATTCAGAGACAACTGGTGAGGAGGCTCGGTTGGGGAGAAGCACATTCCTACCTTTCATGTGCTCCTTCCCCAGCACCGGCGAGGCCGGTGACCTGCTATTTAGTGCAGCAGCCCGAAGGCAGCAGAGAGCAATGCTCGCAGCTTTCACCTTCTCTAATGTGGTCGGCCTACAATTTGTAAATGAGTCTGTTTCACATTCAGTGCTACACGTACTCTTTGTGAAATAATTTTAAAAGCCTCAGGATACATTGCATAAAAAACCAAACAATTAAAACATTTCATGAAACACAAACAACAACAGCAGAAACCCATAAAAACAGCATCTGGGCTTTCATATCTCCTTCAGGGCCTATAAAGTGGCCGGGGTTGTTGGATCACGAGCCGTGGAACCCAGCCTGCTTCTTTCTCCAAGTACAGCTAGGCCAGGTGCACCCACCCTCCCTGACAGGCACATGCCAGCAGGCCAAAAGTCCTGACACCTTGCACCCTGCTCAGCGTCTGGGAGCCTTCCACCGGCAGGTGGTTTGTGGGCGCCTTGTGTTCTCTTCACATTGACCAGAGGGCCTGCCTCCCTGAGGCCATGTCCCTGTGGCCTCCAGGCTCCTTCCCTTTCCCATCGCGTCCTCTCTCACTGAGTCACAGGGCCTCAGAGCTCACTTGTTTCAACCATGCCTTAACATTGAAACTGAGACCAATTGAAACCCCCAATGCAACAGTGCTGACCGATGGTGGGACATTGAAGAGGCATTTGCAGCAGAGGGCTGGCTCTGCCCTCATAGCGGGATTAATGCTCTTTCTCCAGAGTGAACTCTCACTCTTGCAGGACTGGATGAGCTATCTGGAGAGCAGGAGGTCACAGAGCAAGGCCACCCCTTGCGTTTTGTCTCTTTGCATACACCTGCTCACCTCTCTCACATGTGCTCTTGCCAAGTAATGTCATCCACCATGTTGCAATGCACACGAAGCCCTTGCCAGATGCAGCCACCTGATCTTGAACTTCACAGCCTCCAGAACTGTGAGCTAAGCCTTTTTCTTCATAAATTACCTAGTCTCAGATCTTCTGTTATAGCTACAGAAAACAGACCAAGACATGACTTATCCAAGAGCTTTCAGGGAATTAATGGCCAAGCAAAGGTTTGAACAAGCAGCCCTGACTCTTGGACAGAAGTATTCCTGACACACCATGCTGGAGGCTCAGGAGTGAAACCACCTGGCACAGGTGCTTAAAGAAAATGCAGGTAAAGAAGCAGCTGTCATTCCTAGTAGGCATAACAGGGAATCGTTCGGTGGTTGGGCCGAGGTGTGTCCCATATGTGTCCAGACACGGTCACCCAGTGTCTGTGATTGGTGGCTAGACCATGGCATGTTTTCTGTGTCCAGACACAGTCACCCGGTGTCTGTCTGTCTTGCTGCATTGGGTCATGAGTGGCTTGTCTGGTGTTGCTCTTCAGCGATGTGTTGTGTTAGGGAGAATGCCAGGCCCAGCTGTGTGGGCTGGGCTGGCACCAGGGAGGGGCTGCTATTCTCTTTCTCAGAAATGCTCCCATTTCACAGCTTTGTTCCAGTTGGCTTCTGGCACGTATCGGTCATGTGGACCTGCCCAGCAGTGTGCATACCTGCGAGTATCAGTGTCCCATCTCCACAGCATCAATCCCTTTTTGGTTCCTGTGAAAGGTCTCAGCTTCACAGTGGAGGGGCTGGGACAGGACCATTAGTGACAGCCTCAGTGCTCCTGATGTTCCTACTTGCTGAATGCCAGCATAGCCATGGTCAGAGGCAGTGTTCTGTAAAAGTCCAGGCTTCAGAATCAGGCAGACCTGGGATTTTGCTCAGGCTCCATCTCTGACAAGTTGTGACAATGTTGAGCAGGAGACGAAATCTCTCCAGGCCTCAGTTTCCCATCTGTCAGTTTACCCTCTCTGTAAAGAAAGGGTAAAAACACTTACCTTCCATATTTATTGTGAGGATTTAATAAGATGGTATGGGTTTACCATATGTGAAGTATTAATAAATGTTTAATCATCACTTTACTGCCTTTTAGTAGTTACAATTTACTTAACACCTACCATGTGATTTGACATTTGAAGTTCTCTCATCTTCACAAAAATACATAATTGTCCCTGTTTTACAGACAACAAACTGGAATGTAAAGAGGTTTACTAAGATACCCTGAGGTTAAAAAGTGAGTGAAGTCTGAGGCAGGGTTAAATCTCTATCTGTCTGTATCCACAACCCATAATCTTCCCAATTGACAAGGGATCCCTAACCAGGGGTGTGGGCCACATGCACAGATGGCCTCAGCAATCCTGATGCAATATTGTGGGGTATGAGCTTTTTTTGGAGAAACAGTTTCATCACATCTCAAAAAAAGGTCTTGCACCAAAGAAGGTTAATAACCCAGCATTATACCAACTTTTCCTGACTTCCCCACTGCAGGGACTTTCAACATGTCTTGGCATCAAAATATTTCTTTAAATAACATCTTATCCAAAACTTTATCATTTACAAAAGGCAGGGAGGTTAAAAACTGCTTTGGATTAAGGGCACATAGGGGGTAGGAGAGAAGGGATCAATGGCTCAGGTCCTCACCAGCTCAGTCTCCTCCTCCTCCCAGTGCTGCCCCTGCCAGGCGCCAAGACTCCAGGGATCCCAGGTGGAAAGCCACCATGCCAATAGCCACAGTTACCACAATAGTTTTCCATATTATCTGCATTGCAGCAGCCACTAACAATTCCATCAAGAGACACTCAGAGCAGAAACCATAAATGTCTCCAAGATGCTGTGTGGACCGAGGCAACACTCAGCTCCAGCGTGACAGGTTCCACTTTAAGGACCAGGCCTCAGATGGTTGCGTGAGGAGGTTTCCTGAGCAGACAGTGCAGGGAATGGAGCACAAAGTGCTTGGTGGACCTCCCAGAGTGCTCGCTGTCCTGCCTTCCAGCATGTGAGGAATTGAACTCTGAGTTGAAGACGCTTAAGCCTAGCAGTCAGAGGAACGCAGGACAAACATCAGCCAAGAACACCCACTGGAGGCACCTGGACAACCTTTTTCTGAATGATTTCAGAGACGCCAGGAGGAACTTCCCAAGAACGACACCCCCTATCCAGCCTGCTAGGAAGTCTGAAATGAACCCTGAGGCTTCATTATTCTGTATCCTAAAGAATGTTCTACCTTCAAACACCCTGGCTGGAGCTGCACACACAGAAGGAGAAAGGTCCCCGGAGACCACAGGAGTCACCACTCCAGGGAGACCATGGGTTAGAGCCTCAACCAATGTCTAAGCAGTGCCTTAGATTGCAACAGTGCTTCACAGCCTCACTTCATCTGTTCTTCCCAACTACTCATGAGATTGAATGCAGGAGGTAGATGATCCTCTTCTCACAAATCAGCCACTTCATGAGATGTTTACAGAGGGATGCAGCAGAAATACTGATGCTGAGCCTGTCCCCTCTCCAAATCACTACACCTACACCAAGAGGGTACAAGAAAAGAAGTGGGAAAAGGCATTAAAAAATAATTTTAGCTGTTTCTTAAAAGTCTCTGGCCTTGACATTGGCTAGGCATCATCAGAACACTAGACCACATTGCACTTAATAAGCATTGACTTTATAGGAATCTGTCTTCCAAATGTATTGCTTCCCGCTATGCTGTCTTCTGTTGTAAAAACACTGCAGCATTTTTACAGGTTCCTAGAAAACCCAGAAAGAGTTTCTAGAATCCTAGTCTCACATAAGGAGCTGCATTCCAACGTGAGGTATCTTTAGCCTGCATTGGACTGGTGGTGACCAGTGTTTCCTGATCTACATTATGGAAACACCATCACAAGGGATAGCTCCAGAAAATGGCTAATTTCAGGGCCAGGTCACGGAGGAAAATGTGGCACAATTGCCATCAACCCAATCAGCAAGTGGATGATCACTAGGATAATGCCCTTCTCCGTGAGCCCTTAGAACAATGTCAGAGGAACGCCGCACAAACATGGCCAAGAACACCCTCTGGAGGCACCTGGACAACCTTTTTCTGAATGATTTCAGAGATGCCAGGAGGAACTTCCCAAGAACGACACCCCCTACCCAACCTTCTAGGAAGTCTGAAATGAACCCTAAGGTTTCATTATTCTGTATCCTAAAGAATGTTCTACCTTCAAATACCCTGGGTGGAGCTGCACACACAGAAGGAGAAAGGTCCCCGGAGACCACAGGAGTCACCACTCCAGGGAGACCATGGGTCTTAGCCTCTATTATGTGACCTCTATGTGCCTCCCCTGCTACCATAAGCTCCTTACAAGTAAAAGGTGAGTTTTAGAGTGAGGTCATTGTGCCATAAAAAAAGTGCCATATGGACAAAGGATTGTTATATTGTAACACATGTGCTTCCTCCAATGAAATTTTTTAGGATGGGGACCTTATTGTACTGATTATCATTTTTGTCTTTTAATTTTTGACATAACATTAATTTCTTGGACACCCAAGAAAGTGTTGATGTTTTTGACACATGAGAAGCCAAGCTTCCCGTTGGCTTATGCGCCTTCTGCCTTATGAAATTGCTGTTCCTGTTATTTACGGCCATGCTCATCTTGTTCCAGGTACTGGACCATGCACATGTGTGGTCTCAAAGCCTCCACACCGCAATCCAATGCCCAGTTCAGCGAAGCTGTCAAAGACCTTTAGGAAAAAAGATTTCAAGACAAGCAAAAAAAAAAAAAAATACATAAGGCAAAAAGAAGATTTGCCCATGAGGCAGTAAAGACCTAGCATGTAGCATAGCGCTTGGCAGCTCCAGCTCCAGCGAGGCAGCATGGCTGTGAAGCCCCTCTCAGAATGCCTGCACAGGACGCCGTGCTCCACGCGGGATGCTGGGAGGAGCAGTGGGCCAGGCTGTGGAGGGTCACAGACTCGGAATGGGTGGCATGCAGCTTCTGGAACTCGGTGAGCTTCCAAATGACATTTCATGCCAAAATTATGCAAAGATTAGTTTTTATGAGTGGCAAAATCACAAAAACACAAAACAACAAATGAAGACAGCAGCTAATGTGTCATCACTATGCGTATTTTGTCTACTTCCAAAAACACTTCTCTAGAGCCTACAATTGAAGAATATGTATACACATGAAAATGTTTGAAAAAAAATTAAGAAAGAAGTCAGGTAACTGAAAAATGGAAAGTGAGTCAATAGTTGTAAAAGCAGCTAGGGATTTATACACTTAACCATAACTGAGTTTTGAACTTCCTGGCAGTCAGGTCAATAAGTGAAACCTATGGCTTTCTAAGGACATTACAGTTCTCAAGAAAAACAAACATTTTTCCCAAGGTAAAGTTCTGTGCTTAATTCATTAAGCAGATATGTAACATAAAAGACACTGAATAACATCATTAATAGTCTTTAACAAAATTCAGAATATAGAAAAATGTGGATTATTTAGCTGTCTCCTTTAAGATAAAATCAAAACCTTAATTTCACTTGTTCTTGTAACTTCCAAAATTAGTACGTCTTATTATAAAGGATTCTTATACTGCACAAATGAGTAAAAATGTAATTGTTTTCATTTCTAAGACAGAATTTTTAGTTTTTGTTCATTAAAGATATTTGTATTGTGGCTTTGCTTCTCGATGAGCCTAGAACGTGGGAGAAGGGACGTTTTCAAATCCTCTACCCTTTCTCTCTCAAGTGTCAGCTACCTGCTTAGATTTCTGCTGAATTCTTAGTAGGAGTCAATTCGAGATGTGGCTCTAGACAGCTCTGTCCACAGAGCTGTCTGTGCAAGTAAAAATGCTGCCCACCTGCTCTGCCCAATGCCACCACCGCTGACCCCGCGTGGCTCCTGAGGGCCTCAACTGTGTCCAGTGCAACTGAGGGACTACAGACCACTGAAGTGTTCACTCTAAAAACAGTAAGGCAGCAAATATTATGTTGTGTATATTTCATCAAAATAAAAAATAAACAGTGCATATAGCAAGCTGTAGAAAGTTCACAGAGATTCTGAAAGGAACACAAATTTGTGTGAAGATTTTGCCAAATCTGGGTCAATTTTGCTGGGCTTACTCATAAGATTTCCAAAAACGTCTCTTGGTTCCTTTAGACTCAATTTCTAGAGTGATACAAACACAGGATCTGGTTTTCTGTCTGTGAAAAGTGCAGGATTTGGTTTTTTCTCTGTGAAAATGACAGTTTCTTTAAAAAAAAGGTTGCAAAACTTGGCTCTTTGCCTGATAGGGTGATCTATCCAAAAGCAAAGCCTTCACCTCTGACCAGAGCTACCTTCTGCACTTTGGTTCTTTGTCCCACCCTGATCATTCTCCTTAAAATAAAAGAAACAGCAAATATAAAACACATATAATACAGGCACATATACATATGTAATAATATTATATATACTTAACATATTATACTAAATATTATAAATATTTTTCTACATTTACATAATTAAACCTATTTTTTTAATAATCCTGATCGAGGCTTCAGCTCACCTTCCACACAAGAACACACGCAAATTAATACAGACGCAGAATTCAACAGACACACAACTAAGCCTACGAGATTTCGGATCACCAAATATTTCAATAGATTCATAATTAAAGTTGGTAGTAGGTGTGGGGCCTTCTCAGGTATGGCTTTGAGACAAGTGTTCTAGGTATAGGTGAGAACAAATTTGCAGTAGGTATATTTTCTAAAATGGTTTCTTTTAGGATCAAGCCAGCCCACTGTCTCAATCTCCTACTGACAGGAGGTGCAAGAGCTTTGCCTCCAAGTTGCCACAGCACCTTCACAAATCTTCCATTCACACAGGCATCAGATGCCTACACATCATGTTTTGCAATGACAGGATACTACTTTTTGAAATATTGCCCTATTTACTTTTTCTGGTAATTCCTTTCCTTCCTTTATTCTTACCCCATTCAAGCACCTCTGCTGTCCTGCGTTTATTGACTCAGGGGAATAATTCAGTAGAGAAGGAAGGAAGGAATCTTGAATCTCCTGGCTTCTGGGTCTCAAAAATGTAGTCCCTTGGAGGAACAAATAAATGCTCAAGCCAAGATATATGAAAGTTTTGAGGAGAGACGTGCTTGTCTCCCCAGTTGCCCACCCCGAACTCACCCTTGGACTAGATTAAAATGTACTGGCTTGCAGGGAAAGAGAAGAAAGGTGGATAAGAAAGAGAAGTCCAGTTGCAGGTACGATCCTGGGAGGCTGCAAAACCTGACATAAGTTCATAAGATCCGGAGTTCCCACGCCCAAGAGAGAACACCTGTAGAGTGAGTCTGGGTCAACTGGCCCATGAGGAGCCCACAAGATTTTTGTAATCTAACACAGCAAAAGCACGAAAGGCAGATTCCCAGGCACCATCAAGTGCAGGCCAGCAGCAGCAGCTACCAGGCACATGCCAAGGAAGGGGAGAGCGACCTGAAGGCCAGGGTGCCAAGGACCAACTCACTGCTCTGGAAGGGTAGGGGCCCAGACAGAGGTCAGCAAAAACCCCGGGCTTCCCTGAGCATCCCTGCAATGCTGAGTAAACAGTGGTGGGACATTCGAGGGGCTGACTGACTTTTATTAAGGTTCCATTACCCCCAGGAAAAGGAAAACTTGAATTAGAAATTAAATCAAGTTACTAAAAACTGAAGATGCATATTTCTTCCACAAGAGTTTAGGCATTAAGAATTTTACCGCCTTTAAGTAACAATCTACAGCCTTCACACGAGGGTGTGCATTCCCCGGGGCCAGTGGGCTTTCCTGATTCATCTCTTTGCAGAGCAATCCACAAAAGAAAGCCTGCTTTGGCTGCAACGCCAGCACTTACAGACCAGAGCATCCTGTTCTGCACACTTTCGCCTTATTCGAAATGTGTGTATATCGTGTTCAAGTATCTAGAGCAGGAAGTGCAGACAGAGGGCAAGGGTCGCACCTGCATCACAGCGTGCTCCCCTCAGAGTCCTGCTGTCCTAGGACAGGCTGCCCAGTGACCAGTGGCCACGCCGGCCCCCAGGGATGGATGGAGAGCTCTGAGTAAATGTGATCTCTTCATCTGTACACGGAAAACCTTTTGGAAAGGGTATGCATGTTGTCCTTATCCCTCAGTGTCCACGGAGCCCTGGGGATAAGGAATCATTCACAGAAATCTTCAGGAGAGTCTTGAAAACCCACTTAGTCATCCACACATGCTTCAGAAATTATTCACATAAGTTAGGAACCCAGAACATTTGGGCTGATTTTGTTATTTGTTGTATTTCTCTCTTTACGTTCATTTTTATCCTCCAAGTTCCTTTCCTCTTATGCTAATAATTATCTGCCTTGAATGGATAAAAAGTGAAGACCCATTTCCTTCTGATTAGTCTGCCAGTCTTCAATGGGTCTTCTTGCCTGATCTATGCATTCCTTCTTACCTCCAGCCTCAGGGCCAACTCAGGTGATCCAGTTGATCTCACACCTGGATTCCCGCAGTAACTTCCAGCCCCGCCTCCAGACACACCCCAGCCTGGTCTGCTCTGCTTTCAGCTAGGTCACTCTTCTCAATCACTTCCTTTCTCTTCTTACCCTTGACTGCCTGCCACAGGTCAATCAAGCTGGCAGCAGTGATACAAACCCTACTGCAACCAGACTGGCCAACGTGTTCCCTTTCCCCTGGCCACAGAGAGATCATGGTTCAGGCCGACCACAGCCTCCCATTCGGCTCTCTAGAACTTAACCTTGCAAGTTGAGGCTGCTCACCCTCTGTGGCCTCGGGGTCATCAAGACTGGATGTTCCCTAAGGCCTCTTTCAAATGTGCATAAGCAGAGACATTATGTGGAGGAGGCTATGCTGCTGGAGTCGAAAGGGGTCTTAAGTGCCACCATGACACCTCTGTTTATGCAAACTCCACATGCAGATGCCCTGTGCCAATTTCTCTGCCTCCATTTCCTCATTGTAAAATGGGTATCACAACAGCACTCACCTTGAAAAATGATGAGACTTAAACAAAATATCCACATTAATATTTAGAACAGGGCCTGGCTCACTGTGAGATCTCAGTAAATGGTAACTTTCTTCAGACATCAGCCCACATCCACCACCTTCAGGAAGCCTGCCATGACAACTGCAGTCCTTAGTCATTTCTCCCTCTTAGTAACTTACAGCATTTCTTCTGTCTTCCCTTCACTTGACACACAGTCATATACACTCTACAAATACTGTTTCTTGTATTCTTATTTCATCCAACTTGTAATGCTTTTCCCTCAACCAGATTTATGGAGGGTGCCCCCTATTGTGCTTCTCCGTAAACACTATGGTGACTTCACAGTGCCATGCCTCTTGCTGAACACCTGGAGCTACAGACATTGGAAAACTCCAACAAATGCCCAATGTCCCGGTGTGCCCAGAAAAGGGCCTGTCCAGGAAGCTGAGAGTCAGCCAGCTTCAGGACCAAAAACTTCACTTCAACAAAGATGAGATAGTCATTGACACATCAACTTCCAGAGAAATTGCTCATGGTAGATGATCTGTGATAAAAATAAAAATTAAAAAAGAAAACTCCCCAGCTGTTTGATCCACTTACAGGGCTAAGGAAGCCCAAAGATTTGGGAAAACTTCAGGTTTGGGGATTTCCTTTAAATTCTGCATGTTATTAGCATAGTTTACTTTTCCTTATCAGTGAATATTGTATCCTTTGCCAATAAGAACACATCTCCACACATAATGTGCCTAAAAGAAAAAAGGAGAGAGGAAGACCAGAGTGTTCGGGTGGTAGTAGTTCCTTAACACAACCCAAACACACAATGCTCAATATGTCATAATGGAGATATCAATCTTAAAAGAATTTCATCAGTCTCCAAAGACACCATTGCCAGGAACCATGCCACACCATACCAGTCAGTGAGCCAGGCTGGTTCTTCTTATCACAAAAGATCAAATGCCCAGGAATATGAGTCATCTGAAGATTCCTGCTAATGAGCAGAGCCCTGCACGAGGGTTGACAAGACTGAAGCCCAGAGTTCTTTGTCCATGAATGTTGGACAAGAATGAGCAGTGCCTGCTTCTCTTAACTTCGAATCTGCTTTAGCAGAAAGAGCTTAATGGAAAAGCATGCCCTGCACTTCTGTTTTCCATGAGGAGCCAGAAGTCATCAGCAAAGCTGCAGCCCAAGATGAGAGAAGCCATTCGCCTCCTGGGGCCTCCATGGAGTGAATGCCTTTAAGATGACAAGAGCTGGGATGTAGGAGGAAGGTCATTTTGTGAGTGTGTCTTCATTTTGGTAGATTTTCTTGCAGATGTTTCCAGATGATCATGTCTTTATAATGGTCTTAGTAGACTTGCAGCCTTAACACTTTAAAATAGAAAGTTACCACCTCAGCAATGCTATTAGTGTCACAATAGGTGGTCGTTTGTAATAAGAATCCTTGTACCTGGGATAAAAAGACAACTCTGCTTTTCTACCAGATGATAGATTTTCTGAAGCCTTGGCTGAGCAAGTGGTTTAAATTTGGGTGTAGCTTTCTGGAAAGGAAGCCTTTGGCCATAGAACAAAAGTAATCTTGTTCTAAAACAACTCCTGTGAGATCTCCTTAAATATGGGAGTTAACCAGGGCTTCTCAAATGATCCAATAGAGATATTTCAAAAACAGAATGCTCTCAGCAATCTGGAATATTAAGTCCTTGATGGTAAGATCAATGATTTGCAAAGAAGCCCCTAAATCAGGGTCTTCAACCTTGGCACGATTGACATTTGAAGCTGGATAGCTGGATAATTCTCCACTGTAGGGGGCTGTCCTGTGCACTGTAGGAGGTATAGAAGTGTCCCACTAAATACAAGTAGCAGGAAGATCTCCTATGTTTTGACACCAGATTTCAGCCAATGCCTGATGCTTCACTCAGTGAACCAGCAAATTTTACCATATCACACTTTAGCATTTAGTAAGGGAACGTAAAAAACACCCCTTCATGTTCTTCCAAAAGATTTTCCAAAGGAAGCAACTCAGAATGAACCCAGGTGATTCCAGTGGTTTCCAGGAATTCTCATGTTTCATGCATGGGACGTGGCCCCATGGTGCTCAGATCCTGCCTTATGAATAACTGTCTCATCCTCCTCAGGGAACAAATCCTCCAGCTTTTGAAGGACACCCAGACAGGTTGCTTAATGATCATTGGGACATTGTGGCACCGATTTTTTAAATGAAATACACATAAATATCCTGAGCCTGGGGGCTATTTCTCTCTAGTCCTGATGGCCTCTCTCATCTTAAAATAATTTAAAGGAATTCTGCAATTATAGTAGGTCCCGGGTTGTTTTTCCTTGCATCACTTTACAGAGATACTTATCAAAAGCCCAAACAAGGCACCATAAATTGTTCACTTCCTTGGTAGGCTCATATAGTTCTGAGTCCCATGTGGTCTATCAAAAGGTCACTTGGTGAGAGGCCAAGCTGCCAGACGTCTTCTCTCATTGCTTTTTAATTTCCTCTCTTCCTTTCTTTATTCTCAGAGATACTACATCTTTAAATAAAAGACAATGCACAACTTTAAGGGAATTTCATTTTAAATAAAATGTTCTTGAATTTAAAAAAGAAGAAGGAAAAAGAGAAATGAGGGGGAGGAGGAGAAAAAGAAAAGCCTCTTCTTGATAACTTGCCTGGACTTCTTGGCTCGGGGTACTGGCTGGGTTCCCACTCGTTCCATTCCATACAATCGGTTACTTTCAGACAACTAGTCAATGGTACCAAAGCCAAACAAAAAGGGAGCGCGCTCATTGACTATTTTTCTTAAGCCTTGCTATTTACAGAAGATGAGCGTCGTCTGCCTTCGCTAGCTGGTCTTTCTCCGTTGGATGGCTGGCTTCCTTCGTTGAGTCCGTTGTTGCTACACTGGGCTTTGTGCAAGGGACTCGTTTCTTGCAGGTGGCCAATTTCCCATCTCCCTGATGTCCCCCCTTCCTCTGTGAATGGTCTCATTCCAGCAAACCTCATAGTCAAATGAGAGAGTGGTTTGGGGACTGAAGCACGCCACGGAAGACTCATTTCTTTTGCCATTAACTCCTGAAGCCCCATCCATAGTAATCAGAACATTCTGTCCAACAGATGACAAAGTCTGCATTTTGTCTCCTCTTTTGATCTATGAAAAATCATGCATCTCATGGCTGTATATGAAAGCAATCTGAAATAGAGGTTTTTTCCTCCTTTTGACAAATGTTACTAGAACAGAAGCTCTCTTGTTCCTCTCACTTCTCTGTTTCTTGATATTTTGAACTGGATAGATGAATGAATCAATGAATAGTTGCAATGCAATTCTGAAAGAGAAAGTTTTATTTTAAAACACAAATTGATAGCACATGTGTGCTTGGGTTTTGTTTTCATTAGAGTGCAGTTTCCCTGAGGACAAGTATTTGCATGGAGCTCTCTATCCTTTGTTATAATGTAATTGTGGTATTATCAGCATATATATTTTTTTCTTAAATTAAGATGTAGTTGTTAATATGCTTCATTCATACCCTGGGCTAGGCTCCAAAGATACAGTAGTCCCTAAGTGGGGTTGTCATTTTGCACATGTATTTGTAATGTATTTGACATTAATCCTGTATTAGGGTGGGTTTCACACACCAGAAGAGAGGACAATCTCTGGTCCCAACTCATGGCTATGACATGACATGACTGGTTTGTGTCTAAAAAGAATGTAAGCATTTCCTCGCCTGCTTGCTGAAACACCTTGGATGGAGAGACTATCCAGACTTAAGCTTGAATTAAAATGCAAGAAAATTCTTAGAAAATCACTAGGCAGGTAGGGGAATTAAATGATGTGCCACAAAACTGGGTGGGAGAGAGAGCAAAGAGTCCCACATCAAAATCCCACCTGCCTAACCTTATTTATCACCTGTGATAAATTCAGTACTAAAGTAATTCCTATTTCGCTGGGCTGATGTTATCTCAAGAATAAAATAAGTATAAATTCCACATCTAGAAGTCCCTCCCTCATTTACTCTTAGGAAGGAAAGTGTGACACAGAGGGGGATGGTTGTGCTTTATTGAAGGGTGAAGTGCATGGGAGTGATGATTTTTAAAATGCTAAAAATGAAACCTACTAAGATTGTTAACATAGAAATAGAGTCAAGGTAAATCAATCATCATCAAAAACAACAACAAAAGATTCCTTGATTTAGAAGGTGATCATTTAATCAAACCTTTATTCTTTTTCTGTTGAAAGCTCTCCAATCTCACACTAAGAAAACGACTATACATCCAGGTTATTCTGAACCTTGGAAAAAAACAGAGTAAGATTATTTTTTGTTATTTAGAAAAATTGAAACATTTTTAACTTCAAAAATTTAAATAGTAGTTTTATTAGTATCTTTTGTTATTACCTGTTCTGAATTCTTTTCAAAGAAAAAATACAAAGGAAGCAAAGGAACAACAAAAATTGAGGGATGATGAGAAAAAAGAAATGAAGGGAAGGAAGAATGAAAAATAAAGGAGAACTATAGGAACAAAGGAAGGAAAGAAGGAGAAAATATTCTTCGAACACTTATAAAGATAGGTACGCTAATATGGAAGTACTGACATAATCAGCAGTAAATATAACATCATAGACTACTCATTTAAAATTATTTTTGAATATTCCACTTGCAGAAATATGAAATAGTCGTATTTTTTCTATTCCTCCTGCTAAGAGCAGATCAAATTCCTGCACATTACATATAAAGCAAACTTCAAAAGACTCTAAAAGTTGAAGAGAAGAAAACAGACCACCAGCAGGACCTTAGAACCCCAGGAAACACACAGTGGTGGTTTTTGTTGGTGGTGGTGATTTATTTATTTGGTTTTTGCCTCATATATACTAGACTTGTTACTAGAGAAGCCAGAAACCCAGAAATATCCATGGGCACACAGAAAGAAACAGAGAGGAAAGCTTGTTCCCCATAGACAAAGACCAGAGGAGGCACTGCTTAATAAGAGTGAAAACTCTTAAGTGAAACTCATTTTATTCCAGCCAAATACCACAAAAATCCGCAGCCCACTCCCACCCCTGCCAGCACACGGAAAGTTTGGACTTCCATCATGACAGAGCCATAATGAGGCACCCAAACCCTGTTCCATGATGTTGCCTAGGAAAGCCAAATGGTGAGTCTGTACTTCCAGCTCACCCACGGTAACAAAGAAACCTTCCCCTCCCCACAGTCATGGTATCAGAAGTGACCTCCTGGACAGTCAGGATTTTTATCACTAAACAATAGGAACAAAACCATCCCACCATAATGTCAGTGAAGGCCATATAGCATGCAGACACAAGCACACTGTCCCTCCCAGCCAGGTTAGGTATCAGCAAGACCTAGTGGGGAGTTTGAGCTCCCAACCACATTTAGCACTAATGAGATGCCTTTACCTCTTCCTCTATCAACAGAGACCAAGTGGGGAACTTGGACTTCCACCCTACCTGGTTGTAATGAGTGGCATCCCCACCCTTCCTTCCTGTGCCATAGAAGTGTCAGAGAAGGTCTGCTAAAATAGGAGACTTAAGTGGAATCCAGAGACTCATAACATACTACACAAATGCTTAGGTTGTAACCAATACTTATTCATCATAGGAAAACCAAGAATATCTCAATTTCAATAAGAAAATACAATCAATAGACACCAATACTGAGATGGTACAGACATTAGAATTACCTGTGAAAGATTTTGAAGTAGTCATCCTAATAATGCTTCAATGAGCATGTACATTTTGAAAAAAATTAAGAAAGTCTCAGCAAAACAAGAGAACATATACAGAAGGACTAAACGAAAACTGTAGAACTGAAGAAAACAACTAAAATTTTAAAACTGAATGGATAGACTCAACAGCAAAATGTAAGGGACAGAGGAAAGAATCAGTGAACTGGAATATAAAACAATAGAAATTATTCCACTGGAACAACAGAGAAAAAGCAGCCTGAAAAACAAAGAGCCTGTTGCTATCACTAAATAGCTAATATTCATGGCGCCAGAGTCTGGGAAGGAGAGGAGAGAGAAGGTAGAGTTTACTCGATAAGATAATAACTGAAAAATATCCCAAAGTTGCACAGACATAAACCTATGGATTCAAGAAGCAGAGAAAATTCCCAAACAAGACAAACCCAATGAAATCCATGAGAAGATATATCATAGTCAAAATCTGAAAACTAGAGTCAAAAAAAAAAGCAGCAGGAGTGAAATGACATCTTACATAAAGGGGAAAAACAATTGAAAAGATAGCAGATTTCTGATAAGAAACCATGTAGTCCAGAAGAAATTGCTATGACATTTTTCAGGTTCTGAAAGAAAAGAACTGTCAACTCATAATTCTATATCCAGGAATGATGGAGAAACTAAATACTTTCAGATGAAAAATAGCTAAAAGAATTTGTTGCCAACAGATCTCTCCCAAGAAAATGTCTATAGGAAGTTCTTTTTCTTTTTTTTTTTTTTTTTTTTTTTTTTTTTTTTTTTTTGAGACGGAGTCTCACTCTGTCGCCCAGGCTGGAGTGCAGTGGCGCGATCTTGGCTCGCTGCAAGCTCCGCCTCCTGGGTTCACGCCATTCTCCTGGCTCAGACTCCCGAGTATCTGGGACCACAGGCACCCGCCACCGCGCCTGGCTAATTTTTAGTAGAGACGGGGTTTCACCGTGGTCTCGTTCTCCTAACCTCGTGATCCGCCCGCCTCGGCCTCCCTAAGTGCTGGGATTACAGGCGTGAGCCACTAAGCCCGGCAGGAAGTTCTTTAAACAGTATACAATGTACAGTTCACTCAAACTGGTAAAATGACATCACCCGTAGACTTTAAGTTATGTATATAATGTAATGCCTAGAGGAACCACTAAAGAAGGCATGCAAAGAAATCACTAAAAAACTATAAATAAATAGAAATGGAATTCTAAAGAGTTTTCAAGTTACCCATGGAAAAGTAGAGAGAAGACAACAGAGAAACAAAACCAAGAGAGACAAACAAAAAGTAAAATGACAGACATATGCCCTAACACATAAGTGATTATATTAACTGTAAGTGGTCTAAGTATACCAAGTAAGACTGAGATTTTCTACCTTTTATGACATTATGAATGGACCTGGACAACACTATGCTAACTGAAATAAGCCACATAAAGAAAGACAAGTACTACATGACCTCACTTATATGTGAAATCTAAAATAGTCATACTTATAGAAACATAGAATACAGTGATGACTTCCAGGGGCTAGAAGGAGGAGGAAATGGGCAGGTGATGGTCAAAGGACACAAAGTTTCAGTTATGCAGGATAAATAAGTTCTGAAAGTCTACTATATAGCATAATACCTATAGCTAGCAATACTGTATTGTATACTTAAAATTTGCTTTAAAAATTATAATGATAATAAAAGGGGCATGAAGACATTTTGGGGGGTGATGGATATGTTTATAGCCCTGACAGTGATGATAGTTTCACAGGTGTGTATTTATCCCCAAACTCACCATGTTGTACACATAAAATATGTAAGCTTTTTACATGTCAATCATACCTTAATAAAGTTACTTTAACAAAAATGACAGAGATTTCCAGAGTAGGCTAAAATACATGGCCCAACCATATGGTGTCAACAATGAATTCACATTTAGTAAAACAGTGTAAGCAGGATGAAAGTAAAAGGAAAGATATGCCATCCAAACATCAATCAAAAGGAATCAGGAAGTGGCTATATTCATATCACATAAAGTAGATTTCAGAATAAAGAGAATTACTAGGGACAGAAAGGGACACCACCAGTAAATATGTAATGATATACTAATGTATACTGTGTAATATACTGATAATTTTCCTGGTAATCACATATATGTGTGTAATGTGCATTATGTGTGTATATATATATGTTATATATGTATACACACACATATGTATATATGTATACACACACATATGTATATATGTATACACACACATATGTATATATGTATACACACACATATGTATATATGTATACACACACATATGTATATATGTATACACACATATGTATATATGTATACACACATATGTATATATGTATACACACATATGTATATATGTATACACACACATATGTATATATGTATACACACACATATGTATATATGTATACACACACATATGTATATATGTATACACACACATATGTATATATGTATACACACACATATGTATATATGTATACACACACATATGTATATATGTATATACACATATGTATATGTGTGTATACACATATGTATATGTGTGTATATACATATATGTGTATATGTATATACATATATGTATATATGTGTATATACAAATACATATATGTGTATATGTATTATGTATATATATTCCATATATACATAAGGTGTATATATAATGTGTATGTGCATTATATATGTATATAAGAATAAAATATTGATCCACACAGAAAAATAGAAATTGTAAATGTATATGCATCAAACAATAAAACTGCAAAATATATAAAACAAAAACTGATAGACTTGAAAGTAGAAATATACAAATCCAAAATTATAATTGGATAATTCATCATTTCACTCTCAACAATCGATAGAGAAACAAGACAGAAAATTAGTAAGGATATAGATGAATTCAACATTATCAACCAATAGGATCTAATCCATATTTATAGAACAGTCCACCCAACAACAGCATGCACATTCTTCTCAAGTGCCCTTTGCCAAGATGGGCTATATCTTGAACCATAAAATAAACCTTGCCAAATTTAAGAGAATTAAATCATATAGTACATGTTCTCTGACTACACTCAAATCAGAAACTATAATCAAATTAGAAAACAATCAATAGAATAATAAAAAGAAAGCTTCCAAACTCTTAGAAACTAACAAATAAAAATATTTTAAATAATCCATGGATCAAAGACAAAATCTCAAGAAAAATTTAAAAATACACTGAACTAAACAAAATGAAACTATGAAACTATATTAAAATTGGTGAGATGCAGCTAGAGCAGTCAGAGAAATGTATTGCACTAAATGCTTGCATTAGAAAAGAGGAAAATACTTTAATCAGTAGTCTAAGTACTCATGTCAAAAAACTAGAAAACCAAATAGCAAAATAACCTAAAACAAGCAGAAGGAAAGAAATAATAAAGACGAGAGTGGGGATCAATGAGATTAAAAACTGGAAAACAATACAGAAAATCAGTGTAATTATGATATAGTTATTTGAAAATATTAAGAAAAATGCCAAAGTTCTTGCTAATTGAAAACCAGAAAAATTATTCATATTAAATGATTAATATCAGGAATAGAACAGTGGGTAGTAATACAGATTCTGCAGACATTAAAGGAATAATAAGGGAATACCACATACAACTCTACAGCATAAATCTGACAACACAGATAAAATGGACCAACTTCTTCAAAATATGCAAACTGCCACAGCTCATCCAATATAAAATAATTTGCATAACCCAATAACAATTTAAGAAATAGGATTTCTTATTTGAAACTCTTAAAAAGGTAATTCCTGGCCCAGATTATTTTACTAGCAAAATCTACCAATCATTTAAAAAATTAACACCAATAGTACACAATTTCTTCCAGAAGATAGAAGAGAAAGAAACCCTTCCCACTTCATTTTGTGAAGTCAGTAGTGCCTTGATACTAAAATCAGAGACAGTGCAAAAAAAGAAAACTATAGACCAATAGCACTCATGAATATAAATGTAAAGATCTTTAAGAAAATATTATCAAATAGCATTCAGTAAAAAAAAAAAATCTAAAATATGTCTGTGTGTAATGATCATGAGAAGTTTATTCCAGGAGTTCCAGGAGTTTAGTTCCAGAAGTTTATTCTAGTTTAATATTTGAAAATCAATCAATATAATTGTTATAGACTGAATGTTTATATCTCCCTCAAAAATCATAAGCTAAATCTTAACACTCAAAGTGATGGTATTTGGAGGTGTGCCTTTAGAAGTTATTAAGTCATGAAAGCAGAGCCCTCAAAGTGATGGTATTTGGAGATGGGCCTTTGAAAGTTATTAGGTCATGAGGGTACAGCCCTTGTGAATGATACTAGAGATTCCAGAGAACTCCCTCATCCCTTCTACCATGTGAGGACACAGTGAGAAGATGCTTTCTATGAACCAGAAAGTGGGCCCTCACCAGTCACTAATTCTGCCAGTGCCTTGATTTTGGACTTCCCAGCCTTCAGAACTGTGACAAATAAATTTCTGTTGTTTATAAGGGACACATTTATGGTATTTTGTTATAGCAGCCCAAATGTACTAAGATAGTAATCCACCATACTAACAAGGTACAGAAGAAAGATCACATGTTTATATCAACTGATGCAAAAAAATTTGACAAAATTGGACAACCATTTATTTAAAAAGCCTCTCATAAAACCAGGAATAAAGAGGGTCTTCCTCAGCTTCATAAAGAACATCTACCAAAAAAAATGCAATTAACATTGTACGTCATTTTGAAATACTGAATGCTTTCCCTGCTAAAATTGAGGGCAAGGCAAGGATATCTGCTTTCACCACTGCTATTCAACAATGTGCCAGAAGTTCTAACCAGCACAGTAAAGCAACAAAAGGAAATAATAAGCATGCAGACAGAAAAAAAAAAAAGAAATAAAACTGCCCATATTTGCAGACTTTCTGTGTAGAAATCCCAGGATATTGACCAAAAAAAAAAAACCCTTTAAAGCTAATATGTGAGTTCAGCAATCTCACAGGATACAAGAACAGCATACAAAACCATTTGTGCTACTATACAGTAGCAATAAACATGTGGAAACAAACTAAAATTACACTACCATTTGTAATCGTTCAAAAAAGAATGATTTTTTGAAATCATTGGTAATGAATAATAATGAAATACTAACTGTAAATCTATCAAAACATACACAGAACTTATATGTTAAAAACTAGGAAATACTGATGAAAACATTTAATCAATGTCTAAGTAAAGGAGAGACATACCATATTCATGGATTGCAAGACTTAACATAAATATACCAACTCTTCCCTAATTGATATTCACATTTAATGCAATTCCTATCAAAATCTCAGCAGGATTTTTTACAAATACATAAAAGATTATTCTAAAATTTATAGGAAGGCCACAAGCCCTAGACTAGTGATAACAATCATGAAAAATAAACTGGATGGAAACACAAAATGCTATCAAGACTTATTTTACAGCTACGATAATCAAGACTGTGGTATTGACAGAGAAACTGACACATAGATCAATAAAACAAAATAGAGAATGCAGAATTACTCCCAGGAGCATGGCCAACTGGTGTTTTACAAAGGTGCAAAAGCAATTCAGTGGATAAAGAATAATTTTCTCAACAAAAGGTGCTGGAGAAATTGGATATCCAGAGGTTAAAAAAAAAAGACCTCAAGCTAAATCTCTCTCTCACTTCTTATATTAGGTTGGTGCAAAAGTAATTGTGGTTTTGCCATTAAAAGTAATGTAATGGCAAAATCACAATTACTTTAGCACCAAACTAATACAAAAAATAATTCAAATGTATCATAGATACATAGATGTAAATGTAAATATAAAACTATAAAACTTTTAGAAGAAAACAGGAGAAAATCTTTGAGATCTAAGGTTTCTCAAAGAGTTCTTAGACATAACACCCACACTTATAAAATAAAAATTTCAATAAATTGGACTTGCATAAAATTAAAAACTCTTTATCGGCAAAAGACTCTTTTAAGAGGATGAAAATACAAGCTATAGACTGGGAGAATATGTTTGCAAATACATTGAACTACGGGGTCATACCTAGAATACATAAAGAATTCTCAAACTCACCACTAGACAAAAAAATTGAAGTAGAAAATAGGCAAAAGACATTAAGAGACATGTCACCAAATAGGATACATGGGTAGCAACTTAAGCGCATGAAAAGTTATTCAACATCACTAGCCAATAAAAAATGGAAAACAAGACCATGATGATATATGACTATATTCCTATTACAATAACTAAAATAAAAATTAGTGACAACACCAAATTCTGGTGAAGATGCAGAAAAACTGAATTCCTCATACATTGTGAAAGAGTATAGTTACTCTGGAAAATAGTTTGGCAGTTTCTTTAAAAACTGTATATATACTTACCTTATGCTCCAGCAATTGCACTTTTTGCATTTATCCCAGAGAAATATTTATGTTTCTACAAAAACATATACAGAATTATTCATAGCAGCTTTATTTTCACTAACCAAGAACTGGAAACAACCAAAATGTTCCTTTAATAGGTGAACAAACTGGGTACAGCTATACCATGGAAAAGTACTCTGCTATGAAAAAGCACAAACTATGGATACATATAACTTGAATGATTTCAAGAGCATTAGAGTATTATGCAGAGTGAGAAATAAAAAGCCAATTTCAAAAAGCTGC
Source organism: Homo sapiens (assembly GCF_000001405.40). Classification (NCBI taxonomy): domain Eukaryota; kingdom Metazoa; phylum Chordata; class Mammalia; order Primates; family Hominidae; genus Homo; species Homo sapiens. The sequence goes on from NC_000018.10 coordinate 76,244,478, forward strand.
ATGCTATATGATACCACTTATGTAACATACTCAAAATGGCAAAATCATAGAGACAGAAAATAGACTAGTGGTTGTCAAGGTTAGGGATTGGAAAGGGAGGGGTAGAAATGATTATAAAGAGGTGGTATTAGGAAGTCTTCATGGTGATAGAATAATCCTGTATCTTGATGGTGGCAGTTGCATAAATCTATATAAAATGATAAAGTGACAAAGTGAAATGGAACCATACACACACATTGTGCCAATACAGGTTTCTTGTTTTGATGTGATGGGATGTTACCACTGGGGAAAGCTTGGTGACAGGTACATAGGACTCTTTGTACTGTCTTTGCAACCTCCTGTGAATCGTTCTTATTTCAAAACAAGAGTTTTTAAAATTATTCTAGCTTTTACTTACAAAAGTAGTGCATCCATATGGTCAAAAAGTCAAACAGTATGTGAAAACATAAAATCAAAATCAGAATTCCCCTTTTCACCATGTCTATGCCCAGATCCACTCCCAAGTAATAAACATAATAAACAGGCTCTTCATTCTTCCATGTGAAATATGCTCCGTCACCAGGCTGGAGTGCAGTGGCACGATCTTGGCTCACTGCCACCTTCACCTCCCGGGTTCAAGTGATTCTCCTGCCTCAGCCTCCCAAGTAGCTGGGACTACAGGCACACAGCACCATGCCCAGCTAATTTTTGTATTTTTAGTAGAGACGGGGTTTCACCATGTAGGCCAGGATGGTCTCGATCTCTTGACCTCATGATCCGCCCACCTCAGCCTCCCAAAGTGCTGGGATTACAGGCGTGAGCCACCGCGACTGGCCAAGTTTTACTTTTTTAACACAAATGAGATCATATGATACATGTTGTTTTACACCTTGCTTTTGTTTTTTTGGTTTTTTTGTTTTCTTTATTATTATTATTATACTTTAAGTTCTAGGGTACATGTGCACAATGTGCAGGTTTGTTACATATGTATACATGTGCCATGTTGGTGTGCTGCACCCATTAACTCGTCATTTACATTAGGTATATCTCCTAATGCTATCCCTCCCCCTTTCCCCCACCCCACAACAGGCCCCCATGTGTGATATTCCCCTAAAATCTTTCTTGGAGATTTTTCTTCCAATCAGCTTAGTCTTTTCTTTAAAGGCCACACGTCATCAGTTGTGTGTGCGTCTCATCACCTATTTCACCATTCTCCTCCCCACAGATGTTAGGGTTGCTCCTAGACTCCTTATGCATTTTGCTTTGCTCTGTGTTGCTATTGCAAACAATGCTACAATAAACAAATGAGCATCATCTACATACACCTTTGCGTCTAGCAGTGGTATGAGAAAGCTATTTCATGAGAGTCTAACCAACACTGGGTTTTATCAAACTTTTGAAATGTTTGACATGATGCTGTTTAAAATGCTACCTTTGTACTTTTGGACACAGCCTTTCTTTGACTTCAGCAACACCGTGCCACCTGTTCCTGGTTCTCCTGCCTGGCAGGCCCCTCCTGATCTCTTCTCCTCCCCTGAAGGCCCCTCCTGATCTCTGTCCTCTGGTGGTTCCTTCTCTTTGGCTCAAACTTTAACCGTTTTCATCCGGAGGGCTCAGTGCTGGGTCCTCTTTCCTCTCTACATGGGCTCCTTGGGAATATGGTACCAATTCCCTAGAATTTAAATACCACTGTAATGCAGGCAAGTCCCAAATTTGATGTTAAGCTCAGAGCTTTCATCCAAGTCCCAGATTTGTATCTATAACTGCTTACTTGACATATCTAATTAGACACCTCAAAGATCTCTCAAATTTCTTAAGTCTAAAGCAAACAGAAGTCTTGGTTTTCCCCCTTTAAACTTCCTGGTATCACTTGAAGTCAATTCCTTTTCACTAAAATGCCTCGAACCAATCACTCAAGGAGAACAGAGCTGCAGCCCCACAGTAGCCCTCACATACGCCTTCTCCTGTCCATCTCCAATGCCCCACCTAAACAAAACCCCCAAACATGTTTAATTGTAATAAACCTTGCTGCCTGCTTCCTTCCATTCTCTCCTCAGCTGTAAAAGTTACCTTTTTACAACACAAACCTGTAAACTAGATCAAATTATTTATTTGCTCAAAATCCTTCTACGGTTCTTCACCAGGCTTCATTCCTCAAATTCCCACATGCTTTCTCCTACCCACTGTGTTAGAAACCTGTGGCTGCCATAACAAAACACCACAAACTGGGAGGCTTAAAACCACAGAAATCCACTCTCTCTTACCGTTTTGGAAGCTAGAAGTTCAAAATCAAGGCATCAGCAGGGCCTCACTTCCTCTGGAGGTTTTAGGAAGAATCTGGCTCTCCCAGCCACTGGTGTTGCTGGCAGACTCAGCATTTAAATTTAGCAGCTGCATCATGCCAGTCTCTGCTCATCATTCTGTGGCGCTCATCCATGAATCTTCTGTGTCTGTGTCCAAATTCCCCTCTTACGAGTGCACTACCCACTGGACTCGATCCCACCCTCATCCAGCATGACCTCATCTTCACTTGATCGCACCTGTAGAGACCCTATTTCTGAGTAAGGTCACATTCTGTGTGGGTTGCTGGGGGTCAGGACCGGAACATATCTTTCTGTGGGACAGAGCCCACTACACCAGTATCCCAACTTCTCTTTATACATCTCTCCTCATCACTCGTTGGCTTCATGTAGGGGCACCCTCCCTTCCTTAAAAGCACCCAGCAGCTCTGTCCTATTATAAGGCCTTTGGACATCCTATATCCTTCCTCTGGAAGGTTTTCTCTCCACCTCCCATTCTCCATGTGGCTTTTTCTTTGGGTCTCCATTTAAATACCATCTCCTTGCCCACCCTAAGTCAGTAGGCCTCCTTTGCTGCTTTCCACCTCAGCCTCTTAGAGTGCTTGTCAGCCTGGCATGGTGGCTTACGCCTGTAATCCCAGCACTTTGGGAGGCCAAGGCACGTGGTTCACCTGAGGTCAGAAGTTCGAGACCAGCCTGGCCAACATGGTGAAACCCCATCTGTACTAAAAACACAAAAATTAGCCAACCATGGTGGTGGGCACCTGTAATCCCAGCTACTCAGGAATCTAAGGCAGGATAATCACTTGAACCAAGGAGGTGGATGTTGCGGTGAGTCGAGATCGTGCCATTGCACTCCAGCCTGGGCGACAGAGCAAGACTCCGTCTAAAAAAGAAAAAAAGTGCTTGTCATGGAATTTATGATTGCATCTTAAAATTATTTACTTTTCTTTGCTCCTTCCTTGAGTTGCTCTCTGCTGGATAAGTGGTGGCCAAGAGAACCACGTGTGCTGGTGGAAAAGCGCTGGACCTGCTGCCCAGCACCACAGCCGACAGCAGCAAATGGCCATTGAACACTTCAAAATGCGGTTGGTGCAACTGGGAAACTACATTTTTAATTTTAGTTCCTTTACATTATTTTAAATTTAAATAGTTACATGTGGCTAATGGCGCTTGAGTACTGGACACAGGCAATCTAGAATCTCAACTTTGGACCAGCAAATTCAGTGTCAGTCTTGTTGACATCTGTGTACATAGCAACTAGCTCAGGACAAGACATGTTTCTGTTCAATGTGTATTTTAAATGAATGGTAATAGAGTTTCATTTTTATTCGCATTTATTTAATTATAATGAGGTTGGGTATCTTTTCATGCACTTGTTCACCATCATTTTTAATTCTTTTATCCATGGGCTGCCCACTTTTCTGTATAGCTCTTTATTATCTTAAGCATTTTTGCATCTTAGGAAATTCACCCTATGACTATCATATGTGTGGCAAATTTTTTTGCAGATTGTGTTTGTCTTCTTACTGAGGCCTCTGCCATGTGAAAGCTGTACATTTACATGTAATCAGTTTTATCAACCTATTATTTTATGGTTTCTGAGTATAAACTCTTAGTAAATTGTTTTTATAGTACATGTAAGTGAATTTAACAATAACTGGATAGCTTTATATTCCTTTTTATCTCAGCATTTTTCAGAAGAAAAGACAACCCCAGCCATAGGTTAGTATTACAGTTGCATCATGTTATTTTTTATCAGAAGATTCATAAATTTCCATGAACCAAATGGCCAATAACAACTACTAGAAGAAGTAACAGAAAATGAATGTCCACTGAGACTTTTAAAAAAGAAACATTTCTAATTCACTGAATTAAAATTTTATTTCAGAGTTGTTTGGCTTGATGTATAATTAGAAAGGAAAGTATCTCTTAAGAAACCCCATAAACTACACACTAAGGCATAATCTCACGCCAGTCAGAATGGCAATTATTAAAAAGTCAGGAAACAATAGATGTTGGCGGGGCTGTGGAGAAATAGGAGTGCTTTTACACTGTTGGTGGGAGAATAAATTAGTTCGACCATTGTGGAAAAGTGTGGCGATTCCTCAAGGATATAGAACCAGAAATACCATTTGACCCAGCAATCCCATTACTGGGTATATACCCAAAGGATTATAAATCATTGTACTATAAAGACACATGCACACATATGTTTATTGCAGCACTGTTCACAATAGCAAAGACTTGGAACCAACCCAAATGCCCATCAATGATAGACTGGATAAAGAAAATGTGGCAAATATACACCATGTAATGCTATGCAGCCATAAAAAAGGATGAGTTCATGTCCTTTGCAGGGATATGGATGAAGTTGGAAACCATCAACCTCAGCAAACTAACACAGGAAGAGCAAACCAAATACTGCATGTTCTCACTCACAAGTGGGAGTTGAACAATGAGAACACATGGACACAGGGAGGGGAACATCACACACTGGGGCCTGCTGGGGGGTGGGACAAAGGGAGGGAGGACATTAGGACAAATACTTAATGCATGCAGGGCTTAAATCCTAGATGACGGGTTGATAGGTGCAGCAAACCCCCATGGCACAGGTACACCTAGGTAACAAACCTGCACATTCTGCACATGTATCTGGGAACTTAAAGTAAAATTTTAAAATAAAATAAAATAAAATGAAAATGAAAAAAGATGGAAAATAAAAAGAAACCCCATATACCAATACAGTTGCTCACAGGTATAACCAAAAGTAGGGTGCCAAGGGACAAGATACTCACGTTGGGCACTCCCATGCACCTAAAGAACCGAAATGAAAACTTCACATCAACACTGCCTCATGGGAAGTGACTCACTGACCTTATATTCCTCTGTTTCTTTCCTAATGCAAGGGGACTCTCGCCCATTTCCCACAGACCTATATACCCCGCCTGCAAACCTGACGGAAAGGCCCACACACCACACCAGAGAGATGTGGAGGGACGGAGCATTCATCATAGACAGCATTGGAGCCCCCGTCCCGGAACCCTGAGCATGCCTGCAGGTAGTGGAGGGTTTGCCTTCATCAGCAAACACCAGATGCCTTTCACATCTTACCCACAGGGCTCCAAATTATTGTATTTTTCATCGTCGTTTAATCAGTGTTCCTTCTGTTGTGACACCTGACAGACACTGCCAATGATGGTGGGTGATCCCAAATTTGAACAATTCATTGTTGACTGTAACAAATACCTGTCAATTTTAAACTGACAATTTCTACTTATGTTAAATTGCAGAAAAAAAGATAAAACACCCTCTCTTATGGTATTATGAAAAGAAATAAGAAAATATTTGATATGTGCTTTTACAGGTTTGAACAAAACCTAAAAGCTTTAGCTTTCATATTTTCCAAAAAAAGACAAAGAAAAAGAAGAATGAATAGAACAAAGCTGGCATCATATTGTATCTGATTGATGGTTCCATCACAAAGTTTTCTCTTTGTACAAATGCACATATGTCTACATATACCCTTACATCTGAATATTTGAATTTAGATTTCATCGCATCAAAATTTTAAAAGTAAAACTCATTACCAATGAAGTGAATTAGGAAAATGTTTCTGGCTCCAAAAGTCTCTACTTCTTAAAAGGAACATAATTATAAGGGCTATAAACATTTGAATCATTTCCTCGAACATGTACAAGTATGTGCCTGGTGAACCTCTTCCATAGGAAACTCTAGCCCTTTCCCTAATGGCACATTTTCTTAATGGCTTTGCTGTTCCTGAGTTCATTTCATTGCACGGTTACTTGTTATATCCGACATGAGTTAATATTGCAGTAAAAAATATTGAAAGGCATTTCTCCACCACATCAACTCCCTCCACCTGCAGAGGAAGGGATGGAGAATGAGACTGAGAAGAAGGAAATTCACTGGTCCCAAAACTCCTGGGATCACATTTAAAACTCAAATTGGAGGAAGAAGATGAGAGATGAAGGGAAGCTAGAATAAATACCTCTCAAAACAAAGAAGAGAAATGCCCCTCTAAAAACTACACCCTAAAAGTAAACAGAGGAATTCGACATCCACGGTCTGGACTAAAAGATACATGCGATGGGCCCCTACATGGACGCACCAAGCCAGCCCTTCCAAGAGTGCAGCCTGTGAGCTGACTCAGGAACCATATCTCCCATGATGGATGCTCAAAATTGAGAAGCACGTTTGCAAACATGATGACAATAGAAAGCAGGCTCCAAAACCGGAAACGGGCAATCTCCAAAAATATGCACTTTTATTTATGCATTAATAGTCTAGACTGCGTTGCCTATAACAAACTCACTAATTACACTTTCATTCATTTACAGGTTATCAGTGGATGCCTCACCTTAGAAAAGTCCCGTAAAACTGAGGAAGATTGTGGGAGGTATCCTTGGGGGTCATCTAGACCAGCACTCCAGCCTGCCCCAAATCTACAGATCAAAAAAGCAAAGTCCAGAGAAGTAACGTCTCAAGGTCACATAAGTCAGTCCCTATCAACAACAGCACTAAAATCAAGGCTTCCTAAAACCAGTCGGATCATTGTTCCATTATAGCATATGGTAATTCTTGTTAGATGGAAAACAGAAATATTTAGAAAGTCCTAGGAGGGTCTTATTTCTTGAATGGAAAGTGAAGATTTGACATTCTTTAAGACTGCTGGTCAACTCCAGACAAGCTGTATTAAATAATGAAGTGGGAACAGAGACTGTGAAAAATCTAAGGGGAGGAAAAAAAAAGAATCTTTAAAAAAATGCTATATAGATTTCAAAGCACTTAGAATTACTATTTTCCTTCCATATCTTTGGCTCCTTCTTCTATTCTGGGTCCTAGTCAAATGTTAGTTTTACTGGAGTGTTCTATCGAGGCCAAATTAACACCCAAACTGGAATTAATACTCACCTTTGTTCGGCAAATTCAGACTCCCAGACGTCACAGAGGTGCTGAACACATTTTAACACTCAGGGACATTTACACCAGAGAAATGCATCAATTTACAAAAAAGTATGAGCCTCAAACGTGTACACCCAATCCATATTGGCGGCCAGAAAGCAGTTTCTCTCCACCCGCCTCCTCTTCCTCCACTCCCTCCATCCTGCTGGACCTCCCGTGCACTGGATTACCCGGCCCACTCTGGGACTGTTGCAGCACGAGCAACTTTGGTGCCATGCTCTTAATTCCTCAAACGCCGTTACCTCTCTTTATGCTTAGCCCCAAGGTGGGAAGAAGGAAATAAATCTTGTTCCTTGTGGGATGTCACATCCTCTGGCGTTCTGGGACCTTCCATGCCAGGCCTCCAAGCCCTGGTGCGCCAAGGCTCAACATGGCTGAATACAGGGTTCTAGTTCATCTTGGCAGAGACACGGACTTTCCACACACAAATTAACATTGTTTCATCTCATTTTGACACCATAATGTCTTTTCCATACACCTGCTCTGACATTTTCATGAAATCATTGCATCCCAATCAACTGAGTAGGGAATTAGCATTGTTACACCAAACATTCTGAAAAGTGTGGGTTATTTTTCATATCTAAATATCTCATCCCCATATGCTGCTTTGGAAAGATAAACTCAAGATCTAACATACTGCAAATTTAAAATTCTAAAATATGCATATTTGATTTTACAATCCCCTTATTGGCAACACGTGCCATGCAAAGCTGTATTCATGCTTGGGTAGATGGGTAACTTTTAAAGTAAATCAAATCTAGGATTTCATAGGAAATGAACCCCCTTTTAATGTTTCAGCATTTTAAAATTAAGAAATATTCCTGGATTGTCATTCCTGACATTACAAATAGTAATTATTCTTCTTGTGATTAATAGCAATGATAGTATTTCTGGTTTCTAAGATGTTTCTGCATACCTCCTAGATGGAGGTATAATAAACTCAATACAATTCGTTTATTATGGATTTCATTTCCATACAGAAAACTGAGGCTCACAGATGCTGCATGTGGTATGTAAGGCACCAGCTCTAATGGGGAAAGGAGGGAATAGAACTTCAATCTTTTGATTTCCAAACTACCATATCATAAAGCACATGAGACAATAACCCTCTCAGAAAGTGACTTTGCATACTACTATTCCTAATTGTTGCTTAAATGAATCTTAAATACTTTTTTTTAACTTTTTATCAGTGTCATTTTGTGATCCAAGAAATAGCTAACCAAAATCAGCTATGTGTGGGCTCTGGGCAGTTAACTGAATGCTTGGAAGGGCCCACGTTAAACAGATTTTTGTCAAATAATGTTGCCACCACATAAGGTGACATGAAAAAGGCTTTTATGTGAAGTCTCAAACTGTAGTGCCCCCTATGTGTGCTGTGTGGGAAATGCCTAGGATTTGCTGATAAACAGGAAAAGCAAACAGAAATTGTTCTCATCTGTGTAAAATGGCAAGAATACTTAGTTTGCCAGGGTAAAAACGTGCATTTAACAAATTTGAAACCAATGTTCCTCTATCTAAATGCCTAATTACTTACACGTTTTCCTCATTCCCCGCAAACGATCCTCACTCTACAAGAACTTAGCTAAATGTTGTTTTTTTCCTATTAACTCTCCCAAATGAAATGATAAATAACCTTTATGAATTCATTTTAACCAAACACACTAAAGTATTATAACACATGACAATTCATTTGATATCTGTGTTTATATTTCCACCTTCCCCACTCCCAAAATTTAGCCTATTAAATCCTTGAGGGCAGAGATAGTATGTTATAATTTTCAAACCTCCAGAAATTAGCACTTGTTAAATAAACAAATTTAACAAAACATCTTCCTCACCTCCAAATATCTCCCTCAATTTATACTAGGCATGTAGAAAAACTATTAAATCAATATATATTCAAATCAATTCAACAAATACTGATTTGCACATCTAGTTTAGAGATGCAGTGTGACCTCCATACTTTTTCTCATAATGCAATAGCTTTTCTGCATTTTACAAAATACTTTAAGATATTTACCTATTTTGAAAACAAGTTGATATGGATGCACCTGACACTTAGACATAAGACATTCTGCAAAGAATACCAGAGCGAGAGATGGATTCATTCTTCAAAGATCATTCCAACCTTAGTTTCTCCTCCAAGCTCAATTAGTGGAATTTTATGGAGCTTAAGGTGTTGGCACTCAGGAGAACAAGCATGGGGAATTTTGTTTCATTTTGCATATAACCCCATTCAGGCCTATTTGCTCTGCTGAGCAGTTAACTCCTCATGCCTCTGGTAATTCTAATGGATGTACACTTAATAGAATTAATATTTTTGTGACTGTAAATGGTTCCACCTTCTTAAAGTTTGCCATAAATAGCCAAGTACTGAAGAAAGGAACATGTTTTTCTTTAGGTGCTAGACTTTTTAAAAAATTGTGGATATTAAAAATAGAACACTCACCACTGAGTATCATCAATCATTCTCCCAATTCCAATGAGATTATTTCCAGATTCTGGTGTGGACAACAGGTTTGGGGCTGAAGGAAGCACATAACCTACATTTTCACACACACCTGGTGGGAAGATTGATCCTCAGCTGATCTATGCTTTTCCTAGTGACACCATGTGATGCATCATCAGTAACAGTCCCATTGCTGGCCAGGTCCACCCAAGGTCCTTAGGCTGTACAGATACCCACCACAATCTCATACATAAGGAGAGAAAATAGGATGTCCAAATGAGTCATGATGAGCCTACACTGAAAGCGTTTTGTGGCCCCAACCATCAGTTTCTCCAGAAATAAGTCTGCTACAAAGTGGAAGGTCCTGCTTGCTTCATTTCCCAACTCCCTCGTCATGTGCTCTGAGGGCTGTGAATGCTTTAACAACATCCCAGCCCCGAAATGCAGTGGAGCCAGTTTCCAAGGAAGAACAGCAGCAGTCGACCCCTAACAACAGGGCACAGGTAACGGATAAAAGCTCACCCCGATTTCCAAGTCGCCAAAAGAGTGATCACTGCTAGGCTTTTACCTCTGCTCAGGGTTCCATTTCCATGTGTTTAAGAGGTTATCGAGGTTTTTTTAATTCCAATGGGTTGGCAGGGGAAGTTGTCGGGCTTTTCAGTGACGAAAACTCCTCTGCATGTGTGCCCATAAAACATTAAATGAGAAATACAGTTGCTAGAATGCCCAAGTTAGAAACTGAGAGCTAAACATCACAATCCGGATGTTCCCCACGCATTGGGACGAAACCTCTTGGACAAGATGCTGCACTTAGGAGCCTCAGTTCTTCTCCTGCAGATACTCCACCTCAGCCACTTCCGACCCGCCCGACTATCAACATTACAGGGCTAGGTTCCGTTAGTCAATATTTAGTGAGAAAAACTCTAAAAAACGGCGATGAATTGGAGAAAATCTTCACAATCTATACCTCCAACAAAGGACTAATATCCAGAATCTACGAGGAACTCAAAGGAACGGTGAACAGTTTTAATCACCATTATTACGCCCGTACTTAGCCGGAAGTGTGTCTGTCCAATTCCCATCCGGCCGGACTTCAGACTGACTTCCTTTCAGGCGTTCTGGAGAGAATGCGCGTGCCCTTCTCTCCGGATTCTGTGTACCCGGAATCTCATTAGTCTACTGATTGGGAATCGCAAGCATCAGCCAGGCACAATGGCAGCTGAACACTGATTTGGTATCAACGTGTTTGTGCTGAATCCCTCATAAACTGGGAAGATGTTTCTTTCTTAGGATCCCTCGCAGACCACAGCTTCCTCACAGGTACCCGATGGAGAGACAAGAAGTGTACACAGCTGACATCCAGCCTTCTCTCTGGCTGATTCAGGCGCTGAAAGCCACGTGGTCATCACGGTCTTCTGAAGATTATTAATGAGAAAGCCACTTAGAACAAAGCCGTCCACAGTTATAGTTCTTTCATCTTGAAAACTAACAACACAAGGTCACTGCCCTGGAGGACTCCTTGAAAAACTGACACTTGTCCATTATGCAAATTCTTTGTTGATTGTTGTTGGGTCCAGAGTCTAGTTATGTAGGGAACTAGAGAGAAAAAGAGAGAGAGAGAGGAGAGAGAGGGAGATAGAAGAGAGAAGAGATTTGAAACCCATCTCACACCCTAAATGTGGGCAGGCTTGCAGACAGATATCTTGGAACTACGAGGTAAACATGGTCTAAATCCCCTGTTTTGGGAAGATAAGTGCTCAGAGTTCTGTAAGCTAAATGCACACTGCTGAAATGTGATTGAAAACTTTGTGATGTGAAGACTAAAAATCACAAGTAGGAGGCAGGCAGTGTTTAATCTTCTGCTGGATGACAATTCAAGATAGACTGATAGAGATACCTGCTGCCTGATAAACCAGTCAATACTGTAGATGGTAGATATTTGCAGTCAACAGGCCCTGGGAGCAGGGAGGGGGAGCTGGGGACCACAGCATTACTATACTGCAATTCTGCTCCCAGCTCCTTGCTAAGGAAGGCGAGACCTATAATTTGCTGCATTATGTTATCATACTATGGATCGAAAAGCATTCAAATCCTTCCAAGTAGACCATGTTAATCCTGTACATAGGCGTTCTTCGGCCACGTCATTGTCCATTGCAGACGGCACATGTTAATCTATCCTAAAAGTGAAAGTGAAGGGTGGTCTTTGAAAGAACTCTCTCTCATTCTAGAAAAGCCAGGTTTTCAGGCAGAAATTTTTCTGGTTTGTCTGTACTTTAAATTCTTAGCTTTTTTTTTTTTTTTTTTTTTTCAAATACACTGGCAGGAATATACACCAAACACTCACAAAAGAACCAGAGAAATCACTGGTTCTGGCCAAATGAGTAGAACACACACACACACACACACACACACACACACACACACATACACACATACACAGTGACTAAAGCGGGATAGTAATGTGTCTAGAGTAGTTTTCAGAGTATGTGTGTGTATGTGTGTGTGCGTGTGTGTACCTACATGTGCATATCCCTGGTAGTGCATTACTGCTGCACTTATTTGGAGGAAATTTGAGAAAATGTCTTTGAACATGGTTGTCTTACTGGATTTCATTTATTAAATAATTCACCAGGCTTTTCTTCTGGAAAAATGTCCAACTGTAGCAGACAGAAAGGAAGCCAAGAGAGGGTGTTTACAGCAAGGAGGGGCTATGAAATATCTTCACTCCAGGTTCTTTATGAGGTAAAACCGTGTCACACCACACCACTATCCCTGTTGCAAACTGTTCATCTAATTTCCCTCTTTTTTGGGATATTTTGTTTTCCCCTAAATGTCAGAGTTTGCTTGGGGAAAAAATATTTTTGGTTGTTTCTTTGGAAGCTTCTTGCAGTATGCCTCCACCTGCTGGAAGGAATCAGGCATGTTGTTAGGTGCAGCTGCAGCCCTGCACGTTCAGAGCTGCCTATTTCTGTGTAACTGAAGAAAACAGAAATTATAAATCTATAGAAGAGATGTTTACTTATAAATGTTTACTTATAAATATCACATGTAAATTAAATGCTATGCATCAACCTACCGCAAAGTTGTATAGTCAATGTATTTTTAATATAGTTTGAAATGAAAATAACTTCATTTTAAGGGAAACAGAATTTATGATGATGCAAGTAATCCAGGATGTCGATCAAAATATACCCATTTAAAGGTAAGGTGAAATGTAAATTGTGGTATTAAAGTTCCAAATGTTAACAAGTATTTTCATTTCCCCAGCTGCAGTGTATCATTTTTATCAGCAATTGGAAGCATGCTGCATGTTTGACTCTGTGGACTCCTGCTTTACACAACAGAACATTCCGATGGTGTGCATGTGCCATAGTACGTATAGAAATTCTAAGAATTCATATAATTTACCTGCTAAATCAGGGACTATTACAGTCTGCTGTGTAAATTCACATTTTGGCACTCTTTAAAAAGTGGATTATTATTGACCCAATAGACCATAACAGCTCCAAAGAAGCCGTTACTGTACATCGTGTAAAGCCTTCGTGGTGTGTGTTTTATTGAAGCTCTGTAGCTGTCGGGATCTGCTTGTCAATCTAGCTGCCATGCGCGTGCACCAAATGCATTGCTAAAGATGCCTTGTAAATTGAAGCTTTAGTCAAATTACCCTTGTTCTTGTCCAATAAGCCATGGTATAAAATTGGATATTTCCACTGCAGTTTCTTTCTCCACCTCCAGAATTCTATTTCCCTGTATTTATAGAGGTTGAAATTTTGAAATGTGGATAAGGGAGTGGTGATTTGATTTCAAGTTTCAAAAAAAAAAAAAAAAAAAAAGCAGGAAGAAAATTGAAGACAGTTTTTGCTTTGCATGAAAAAACATCTCAAAGAATGCATGAATTTACCAGCTTCCAGGAGGCTGACAACGGTCACAGTGAGATTTCTCTACTTTAGGCTTTTGGGAATCCAAATAAGATTTTTATTTAATTTTCTATGTGCTAATTTTGTGTTTTTCCACCTGTCTGTCCTCTTCTTTCATTTAACAAAAAAATGAACATTGGAACATTTGTCAGGAAAAAAAAAAAACTTTTTAGTTACTTGTACCTTCAGTAAAAATAAAATAATACTTTGAGGTCTCAAGCTGTAGGTGCAGCACTTTCAGTGTTTTCCTGGGCTGGTGAGAGGTTTTGGCAAAGCCGTCCTGACACCCACACAGCATACACAGCGTGTTTGTGATGATGATTAAGCCATTTGTTAGTCTCTTCCTGATATGGCTGAAGCCATGCAAATCAGCATGGATTCCCAATCCTCAGAGACAGGGTATGTTCTAGAAAGCAAGCTATGAACAAAAAGTTCAGGCTGGATTACCTGAAGGAGATCCAGGCTTAATGTCACTAGGTATATGTCCTTACTTTCTGGCCGAGAGCAAACATTTGGTAAGTTTCTGAGCTAGGAAGAAAATGCTTATGGAACCGTGGTTTTAAAAACATACAGTCAGCAGAACATATCCGCTTAGAGACCAATATTTCTTCAAGTTATAGAAGAAAAAAAATAGGAAGGGTAAGATTAAGTGCTGTACAACTTTGTTCTTTCCCGTAAGAAATAGTAAAAGCTCATATTTTTATACTATGTTATTTCAATCTATAATTGTTATAATTGATAGCTTAAAATCCTAAAGTTCAATGGTAATGTGACAAATGGGAGATAGAGCTAGAGCAAACTCAATGAGGTATTTTTTTAGTTCCATATCACGTCAGATAAATGGATAGAGAGTTAAGAACCGCAAATTTCTAAGAAATCACCAGCGTAATTATCTTAGGAAAATATAGTTTATTTTCATTTTGCAAATATCTGCTAACCACTGCATCACCCCTCCTGTGCTCAAGAGAAAGGAGCACAGTGTGTCCCCCTAACACTGTGGAGTAAAGCATGAGAAAATTCTTTACGCAGCCCTGCCGTAACAAATCTCAGCTGGTCCTCTGCTGTCCTCTGGGGAGAATGCATTTGAACTCATCTCAAAAAGCTGGTTTTCTACCCTGGAGGTCTCCGATGGCTACTGCGAGAAGAAAGCCATGTCCCGAAAGCAGTGATACAGATTGGCAGCCACTGCAGAGATGCAGAATGTCGAAGAGTGTGTGTGTTGTAAGAGATTCTTAACCCCTCCCTAGCACCCATAGGGGCAGTCCACAGCCTGCAGCTTGGGCGGGAGGGGGTTAATGCGGGGCAGCTGCCTGGCGGGGACCAGCTGAAATGGATCAGCTAGGAACCAGCCTCCCCTCTGCATTAACCCTCGAAGGGATGCAGAGGCCCAGGACAGAGGCCAGCCTGCTGTGCTGCACCTCGGCCTCATTTATTCATGGGAGACACACGCGCGTGTGTGCATACACACACACACACACAGAGAGAGAGAGAGTTCATTTTACCTCCTGACCCCTTCTGCCTCTTGTCCTGATTTGAATGAGAAGTTATATTTCTAAACACAGTGCTTTCTCACTGGGCTATTTTTGTAATATAGTATGCTGAGTTGCTGCCTTAAAATTATATATATATATATATATATGCACACACACATGCACACACACAACAGGCGTGCAGACCTTACAGGCTGATGATTCTGCCTCTTGCCAAGGGAATTCCTGGACAGACACTGCTCTGAAAGAAAAACCCTCTGGTTTTGGAAGTCTGGCTGGGCAAGGCAGGCGGAGGTCATGGAGGGGCCGGCGTGATGGAATCCTCGGTGCAGCTGACTGCGCAGCCCGACACTGGCGTGGACACTGGGACGCGTCATGCAACATCCAACCAGAGCACACTCACGAGGACAAACATGGGCCCACCTATTTACCATCAGAAAAACAAAATCATGCTCTTTCACTTTGAAAGAAGGGGGAAACTGGAAAGTTATTATTTGAAATAAAATGGAATTTTAGGATAATTATTTTCTTTAATATCCCTTTTATTTCCCTGTTTTTCATTTGAATTCTGGTCTATCCCGCATACAAAGAAATTGGCATTCTCTGCCACCAATCAACATTTGAGTATTTGGCAAAGTTATGATTTCAGTTCCATACACGACAGCTGAATAAAAGAGTTGCAAATCCAGAAGAAAAGCAAAGTCCTGGGGGTGGGGGGGAGGGGGTTCACAGAATTGCATTTCCAAGGGATCCAGTGTCCGGAGTGCTCCATGTAGCACACACCCACCCTCAGCACATTACAAATGTGTTTGCACTATCAATAAATCATATTTCTAGCACTGTACTAATTACAGGGGCAGCAATGTATATAATAAAAAGTTTATGCCCATCGTGCTCAGCACACACCCCCTCTGGGATACTGTTTAGCTCATTCATGATTTCTGCTTGTGAAGACATTCATCCAAAACATGCCTTTAATTGTAATGTCAAACACAAGAGCAAATCTTCAGAATCAGAAAGGCAGCATCCCTTCACATCAATTCTGGTCAGATTCAACTTTTTTTTTTTTTTTTTTTTTTTGAGACGGAGTCTCGCTCTGTCGCCCAGGCCGGACTGCGGACTGCAGTGGCGCAATCTCGGCTCACTGCAAACTCCGCCTCCCGGGTTCACGCCATTCTCCTGCCTCAGCCTCCCGAGTAGCTGGGACTACAGGCGCCCGCCACCGCGCCCGGCTAATTTTTTGTATTTTTAGTAGAGACGGGGTTTCACCTTGTTAGCCAGGATGGTCTCGATCTCCTGACCTCATGATCCACCCGCCTCGGCCTCCCAAAGTGCTGGGATTACAGGCGTGAGCCACCGCGCCCGGCCCAGATTCAACTTTTTTTTATTCATTGTTATTAGTCACTGTATTTCTGGCACAAAGGGGGATTTGGTAGCCAGAGAAACTGAAACTTGGGTGGCGAAAAGCAGTTGTGGCGGCTCCTCTCTTCCCCAGGAAAGAAGCGAGGCTTTAAAAGATATTTCTCAGGAAGAAATGAGCGATCCATACAGTACAGCCTTGTGTGGAGCAGAAAATGAGGCTGCGTGCTCGCTGATGTCTAGTTACTGCAAACTTAGCATCACAATGCCTGCACTGCCAGGCCCTGAGCCTCCCGGGAGAGCATCCCTGAAAACCCGAATGGAACAAGAACAAGAGCTGCTCTCTCTCGGAGTCCCTGTTCCACCGCTGTGTGCAGGGAGCAGAGCACAGGCTGGCATCGCCTCCCACTGGGGCCTGTGTCTCCGGGCTCATATGAGGAGGGAGATTTGTGAATGATGGGTATGGAGAGGCAGGAATTGTGTTGAAAAGGAATGTAAAAGAAGGGAAAAAACTTGAAATTTAGAATCAGAATCTTGATTTTCTTTTGTAGACACTTTTGTAAGTTGATTAAAGGCTTTCAAGGCATGTCCTCGCAGAATGTGGAGCAAGTTAAAAAGGAAAAAAGCAAGTGCCTCCCTCATTCCCCTCTGCTGAGCCTGTGTGGGAGGCAGCCCACCAGCGACACACACCCTCAGGACGCCTGGCTCTCTAAACCCATAGGAGAGCTGCCATTTGCTCTCAGACACATTTGCTCTCTGATGTCTGAGTCAAGGAAGGAGAAAAGGGCTCTGAGCAGGATGCAGACCTGCACACTCAGCTCAGAGACCCTCCGTGCATGGTGCTGAGGACATGTTCATGGTCAGAAGGGAAGAGAACAGCTCTGTTTCTGGAATTATGTGGGTTTTTCGGGGGGCCAGTGGGAGCGCTGGGAGGGAGGGTGGCAGGGCCAGCCATGTATGGCAAGATTGGGGACTTTCTCTCTCATCCTATGCTCCCCATACTCGCAGAGGTGCTCTGTGAACTCTGGACCCCCAGACAGTGCAGCCATGACAGGGGGCTCCAAGGTCCCAGAGCCAGGCCTCCCTCTTGGGAGGCCTCCCCTTTCCCGAAAGTGGGCGTGGGGGCAGAGCACATCTTAATGTTCACAAACAGGGGGCCATGAGGCATTTGATCCATGGCCTCTAATTATCTGTACAACTTTAATAGTCTTCGAGTTCATTATCTTGGAGATGAGAAATAAAGGACCGAGTCATAGGCATCCATATTTTAAGTTTATTTATTGCCTTGCTGAAATCAAAAAGCAGGGGAAGAACTCTCAAAACTTGGCCTGTGCTAGACAAAAGGATTTTGCTCCATTCCAGGACTGATTGAGTGTTCAGGACCCAGAGGAGGATAGACAAGTCCCAGCTCAGAACAGGCTCTCAAGGGGTTCCTGGGGGTCTCAAGGCACAGGACACCAGGACAGCCAGCAGGGAAGGCGGTGGCCTTGCCCGGAGAGCCCACTGGAAGCAGTGTGGAAACAAGCTCCTATGGGTGGGTGACTTGCTGTCTCTCCACCCCAGGCAGCATCAAGTATGAGGCATTAAGTAATGACACAGGGTTACTACATTGAAAAGATGTCTTGTAAGATGCTGTATACAAACATTGCTGAAGAACAAACAGGAGGCTGGAAACGTGGCGCTGAAGGCTGGAGGCTGAAGGCTCCTCGCAGGGCAGCCCTGGGAGGGCCGATTCTTCCCACTCCCTCTCCTTTCACGATGTTATGAACAACATGCTCTGCTTCTCAGGAAGAGCTGGAGGATGGAAACAATGAGGAAAGGGGCAGAGAGCGTGCCCGGGGAGCGGTCAGACCCCCTGACTAGCTCCAGCCAGGGAGCAGTGGGCCTGACTTCAGGGGAAATGCCCACTCTTCCTCCACAGTTGCGTCTCCAGTGTTCCAGTTTAATTACCTTCTTCATTGCTGCCTTAAATGAAGACTCTAAACACCTTCCCCTTGCATCCGTGCTTATAGACTAAGCCAGCAGTCAAACGGCACCATTTATGTCTCGACTCCTATTCTGTGACTTCTTCTCCCCCTTTTAACCTGAATCTCTAACCTATTTTAAACATGCCATCCCCCACCCCCCCATTAACAGAAGGGATCCTTTTTTCTCTTTCTGTCTTTCCCCCTCAGTAGATGAACTTTAAATGCAATCCTGCGCTCCTCCTGGCTGACCCGCCTGCTGTGAGTAATTGTCTAGAGAGAATAGGAGAATCTAAGAGCTTTTGTGAAAGGGAATAGAGAAGACAGACATTATTATGATTTTGAATCCGGAGCTCTCTTCTTTTCTTTCCTTCCTTTTATTTTTTTTCCTGGATCTAACAGCTGTTTCCCATCACAACTGGTGTTTGAAAGACATTGCAAAAATGACTGTATCCGTATCACAATTAGTTTCACAGGCAGCTAATAACTTACTTGCCATCCATGCCTGATTTAATCGGGACAGCCCTGATTTACGAGTGTTTGTCCCAGTGTCCGACCCTCTCTGCCAGTTCCTCGGGCTGGGTGCCCTTTGGGTTGCTGATGGAGGGAAACGCCCCCTCCAGGGCTGCCTGTCCGCCAAGCAAGGCGAGGATGGGACCCTGGGCTTCTTCCCAGACAGGAGAACCCCAGACCCAGAGACCCAAGAACTGGGTGGGGCAAGGCAGCCTCCCATGGGCCACACCCACCCCTCCTGCCCGCACCCCACTCACCTGCCTCCCTCTCCTCCCCAGCACAGAGCCCTCTCACACTTTAAGGTCAAAGATAGTTCCAAGCTTCACATTCGTTCAGACATAAAAGCCCCAAGCCTTTGGTGGGGAGGCTGCTGTCAATGGTGCCAAATTATGCGTGTCTAGTTTTTGTGATGTGATCTACTGCCGTTCATTAGGGACTGAGCTGGGCCCATCGACTCATTTTTCTTAGGGCAGCGAGCTGGTCTGTAGGGAGTCCCAGTGCTGAGAGGCCAATCCGTCCTTTGCTCACTCAGCAACTTTGCTCTTTGATTTTTTTTTTAATGAAAAATTTTAATGCAGAATAGAGGAATCAGGTCTTGGACATAGAAGTGAATGAATCAGATCTTGCAGGAACCAAGCCCTGGAATATATTAATATATAGTGGGTGCAGTAACAACTTTGAAACATTCAAAAATCTGTCTGACAGGGCATGTCTCCTATCTTAAAGTGTCACTGCTAGGCCTTAATTACACACATAAGAATAAGGTAAGGGGGCGTGTCACACTTCGGAATTTTAGAAATTCACATTGTATGAAACACTGCACCTCCAAAAGGCTGTGCAAACCACACTAACGTGTCAGAACTTCCCTCTTTGGCAAACATACAAAAGACTCGTGCAAAGAGTAACGGAAGTTAAATGCAGCGGGCTAAAAGCAACGCTTTTCTGTTCCTAAGCGACCAGAACTGGGCCAAGGAGATTCAGAAAGCATTTAAACATCCCGGTAATGGATCAGTGAAGGAATGAAGAGGCTTGTCCTCCATTCAGCTGCTCCAGCTGCTTCAGCCCATCTTGGCAACTTCTGGTGGCAGGGAAGTAACAGGCATCAGGGCGGAGGGCAGGGTGGAGGGCAGGGCAGAGGGCAAGGCAGGCATCCTGAGAGGCGGACGTGGTGGATGCACCAGTTGGGCCTTTGAACCTCCATCTCCTGTGCCGTCCCCTCAGGAAGTCCTCTTCCTAAGGCTCTCCGTTCTAGGGAGCAAAGTCCTGTCCCAAGGTTTAGAAAGCAAAGTCTTCAAAACTGCTGCCAGTCAGGCAAGAAGAAAACCAAGGGAGTTTCCCAGAGCGCCCAGGAGGGCAGGAGATCAGATGGACGAGCACGCGTCTTGCAGAATGCTTTTCATCCCAGCACCCTGTCCACAGCATCCCCATGGAGGCCCAGGAGAAACAAAGGTGAGGACAAATATCTGCCCTGTAGTACCTGAAATGGCCATTTCACCCAAAGTCAGGGACGCTGCCTGCTGTTGTACAAAGTAAACACACACACGTTCCTGAAAATAGGGCATCAGGTGGTGACTGCGTAGACAGCGCACTCCAGCCTGCTCAAGAGCCCCTCGTCAGCTCACAACTATCTCACAGGCTCTCAGGCTCGGCCATCACCACGCCTGGGAAGAAAAAGCCTCCGTTCCCGACAGTCATCACAATCTGTTTGCAATTACCAAGAAAAGAAAGGAAAGATCCTAAAGATCCATCCTCACGGTGTTAAATGGAGCCTTTGGTTTTATATCTGTGTTGCTGATGAGCCCATATTTTTGGAGAAGCTGTAACAGGAACTATGGGGGACTTAAGTCCCCTTTTGTTTTGTGTTTTTGTTTATCGGGCATTTTCTTTTGTGAAGAAAGGTCAGAGATGGGGGACAGTATTCCCTTATTTGTTAGGAAGGCACTGAGCAGAAAGAAGTTTTGTAAGAGGTTATTTCAAAAACATTATTTAAAGAGAAAACAAGACTGCCATCCAATGCCAGAGATGGACGTCTGAGATGCTTACCAGCCTCCAGCTTCCATTTGGCATTATTTCTTACATTTTTCTACAAACTTTTTTTCTCCATGTGCAAAACAGGCCAAGTTTGGTTGTTTTGGGGCAGTGCTAGGATTGGACTCTGCACAAGTACTGCAGTCAAAGATGAGAAAATGCAAGAGATCCATCTCACTTGGCATGCTTATATGTTCTTTTAAGCAAAAAAAAAAAAAAAAAAAAAAAAAAAAAAAATTCCTGTTTACCAAATGGAGTGTCAGGAACATTGTGTAAAAGAACACTTATCTGTGAAACTTTGATCTTTCTCTGAAGCACCATTAGCAGAGACTCACAGGATGATTGCTTGGGAGCAGGGGCAGGCAGAGGGGAGGGTGGAGGCAAGGAGTTTTCCAAGGGGGAAATAATGCTTATTGTGCTACCTATGGTCATGTTTAGAACAGAAATCCTGTGAAATCCCAGGAAGCAAGCTGAAGCTGGGCCACTGGCTGGGCAATGCCACCGCCCAGGCCCCCCGCACCCACAGAAACATGGGCCAGGGCCCAGCTTCAGTCAGCCCCTCGCTAAGGCCGTCTCCAGGAAGCACAGTCCAGCAGCTCTCAGGCAGGGCGGAGGGGCAGCCCAGGCTCCAGCCTCCTCCCCGAGAAGCCGGAGAGCACCGCATGATTTGTTACTGAGATCAGGAAATCAGAGGCTTATGAAATTTCCAGTTACTTTCTGTTTCATCTACGTCTGGCAAAAACAAGCAGAAGAAGAAAGAAAAGAAAAAGGAGGGACAGAGAAAAGGAGGAAGGAAGGGAGGGAGAGAGGGAGGGAGGATGCAAAGAAGGAAGAAAGGAAAGAAGGAAGGAAGGAGAAGGAAGGGAGGGAGGAAGGAAGGAAAGGAAGGAAGGAGAAGAAGGGGAGGGAGGAAGGAAGAGGAAGGAGAAGGAAGGGAGGGAGGAAGGAAAGGAAGGAAGGAAGAGGAAGGAGAAGGAAGGGAGGGAGGAAGAAAGGAAAGGAAGGAAGGAGAAGGGAAGGGAAGGGGGAGGGAGGAAACACTCTCATATGATTGGTATTTCCATATCCAGCTTAATTCTTTTTAAGGAAGGGAGGGAGGAAGGGAAGGGAAGGGAACACGCTCATATGATTAGGATTTTCGTGTCCAGCTTAATTCTTTAATTTTTACCTGTAAAGGAACAAACAAAACCTGTATGTAGAAAAGAAATCTTAGTTTTTACTATATATGTTCAAACTGGAAATGTTCAAGGAAGAGCAAGGAAGAATTAGGGAACTGACAAAAGGACTTCACGGGAAAGCCTGGGGCAGGTGCCAACGATGGCGCAGCTCAGGGCAGAGAACAGCGGAGCGTCCCCGGTCAATTTTTGCTCATGTGGCAGCACAAGTGGCACTCACTGGAGGAGTAGTGTTGCCCCTGCATGTGTCTTTGGAGGATCCAGAATTCACATGAGTCTGAGTTCTTCAAATGTTGCTGATGGCATTGCGTGGTAAGAGAAGCCTAATGATTGTAGAAATGCTTCCATTGCACAAAGGCTTCCATTAGGCCCTGGCTCATCAGCCTACCTCACTGAGCACCCACACTTCTCTTCAAACCTCCTGGACAGGAGCCGAGTTTCCGAATGAATTCTGTGTCCCTTTTGGAAGTGTTTCCCATGCACCTTCTATAGGTCAAAGAGGGTTAGCCACCAAGAGCTGTAGAAGCCTAGGGCATAGTCTCTGTCCATAAACAAAACAAAAGAATGTTCTTGATAGAGGCCAAAGAGCCCTCAAGAACCATTAGTGGAAGCAATAATTCTATATAATAAATTACCAAAAACGTGACACATGCAATTAAAAACGGAAGCCAATGGATGCCAGTAGGAAGTACTGGCCAGGATGGTGAAGTCAATGAGAGCAACTGTGAGGGGCAAAGGCATCAGAGAGGTCTTCAGAGGGCAAGTGACTTGGATGATCAAACATTACAGATCTGATGTGGGGCCAGGGCCCTGGGTGCTCAGTGAACACTGTCTGTCACACTCCCAACAAAAGGTGTGGAGTGCCACAAGTCAAGGAAACCAAAGGGCCCATGAAAAAGTAAATGTAAAGCCGGGCACAGTGGCTCCCGCCTGTAAACCCAACACTTTGCAAGGCCAAGGTAGGCGGATCACTTGTGGCCAAGGTAGGAGGATCACTTGTGGTCAAGCCTGGCCAACATGGTGAAACCGTCTCTACTAAAAATACAAAACTTAACCGGGCATGGTGGCACACACCTGTAATCCCAGCTACTCAGGAGGCTGAGGCACAAGAATCACTTGAACCCAGGAGGCAAAGGTTGCAGTGAGCTGAGATCGCACCATTGCACTCCAGCCTAAGCAACAGAATCAGACCCTGGCTCCCTGGCTCAAAAAAAAAAAAGAAGAAGTAAATATAGAAAGCTACCTGGGCAGTGAAGTGGCTTGACACCCCTTACCTATTAGGGGATACTGGGGATGCAGATAAATTTCTCTGAGTTTCTGTTGCTTTGACTGCAAAATGGGAATTCCAGCATCTTCCCCCTGACCGCAAAGGATGCTATTAAAGGTACAAAATAAACAGAAAGCAACGAGGATTTATCATTTTAGTTGGAATCTCGTTTCAGCGCTACTAAAAGTAAGGTTCTTTCATGTACCTGAGTTAATCCAAAGAACCCAGCATGGTTAGTATTTTCAGCAGAAGCCACAGAGAAGTAAATACGTTGCCTCAAATCTCCCAGCTGTAATGAATCAAGGACTAAAATTTTGTCTTCTATATTCTTTTTACAACATTATTTTATAAAAGATTCTAAGTTAGACTTTCACAAGAGTTTAAACAATTCAATGTTCTAAGTTGTTGCTTTCTATTACAATTTAGTAAGAATCAACTCAAAAGCAATGTGTATGCCATGTAGCTAATACACTTCCCTCCGTTTCATCTTTGCTGCAAGACAGAGGGTGGCAATGCTAGGCTTGTATGACAAATGATGAAAGTAAGGTTTAGCAATTTTTTTTTTTTTTTTGAGACGGAGTTTCACTCTGTCTCCCAGGCTGGAGTGCAGTGGCACAATCTCGGCTCACGGCAACCTCCACCTCCCAGGTTCAAGCCATTCTCCTGCCTCAGCCTCCTGAGTAGCTGGGATTACAGATGCAAGGCACCACGCCTGGCTAATTTTTGTATTTTTAGTAGAGATGGGGTTTTGCCATGTTGGTCTGGCTGGTCATGAACTCCTGACCTCAGGTGATCCACCCACCTCAGCCTCCCAAAGTGCTGGGATTACAGGCATGAGCCACTGCGCCTGGCCGAGGTTCAGCATTTTTAACAAATTAGCCAAAATAGCACCTCCAGAATGTCCAGAAATGTGCCAAAATTGCAGAGCACGTCTATCTGCCTCCAGGAGCCAGTGCTCTTCCCTGTCATGAAGCCACGGTCACCCCTCAGGACATCTAGTCACCTCACAAAAGATCACAGCTAGCTTATTAGCTGTGTGGCCTTGGGCAAGTCCTGTGGTCTCTGTCGGGCTCCTCATCTATAAAATGGGTATGTTAATAGTATCCACCTAAGGCTGGGTGTGTAAATTAAATTAAAATTTTAATTTTAATTTTTAATTTGAGTTCAATTAAAAGTTAATTCAATTTAATTAATTAAATTATATCTATTAAAATGAACTTGGTTAAAGTTAAAATACTATCTACCTAATGCAGGCAGCTTGGTGTGAATTGAAGGAAAGAAAATATGTAAAGGGCTTAGCTTAGAACAGCACCTGGCACATTTTAACACTTTACAAATGTTTGTCTTCAGTAGTGACAGTGTCATTCTCATTACTGTCATTTTTATTATTATTTTGGTTGTGGCCAAGAGAGTTCACTCAGGTTCACGCTACTGATCTGAAAAGTGTTCTGTGTAGGTTTCTATGCAGTAGTCAATAAAAACGTGATTTTGAAATCATTTCTTGCAATGTCCTATAAATTCTACCTACATTTGATACATGTGAATATTTGGCAAACTGATCAAGGTCTATCATCTGCCCTTCGTGCTGCTCATAGTGCTTCATTGCCAGCAACTCAACCCATTTTCAAAGGTCACCATATCCTGCAATTCAACATTTACACATGCAGCTGCTGCTTTAACCCAGACCCCTAGCTCTGCTTCTTTAGAAATCTGACTATGCCCAGGGTCTGATAAGTCGATCAATCAACTCAAATCAATGCACCAGGAACTCAGATGCATGCTGCTTTCAGATTGGTGGACACACTGGACAATGCCCAGGTTGTGTCCAGTGCAGTTGACCACACCCTTCTTCTTGAAACCCCACTTCTTTGTTATCCCAAGAACCCACCTCTATTGTTTCTCCCCGCTAACTCTTGGGTCACGTGTTCTTGGTCCTGGTTATAGTTTCCTGTATATCCAGTACTTAAGTGGATCTCCATCCCAGCCTATTTACACACTGGGTGCTTTCCTCCATTCCAATGGTTCTAACTCACTCCACTTGTAGGCTGAAGACCCCAAAGTTACCATTCCTTGCCCTTGAGCTTCTACATCAGTCCACCTGTGTGATGCCACCCTTGTAAAGCTGAACTTTGCATCTTTTCATCATGCCAGTCCCTCAACACCCAACCAGACCTCAAGCATTCCTGAGGGTTGGACTCCTGTCTCTCCCATTATCACCACTACCCGGTTCACAGCTTCGTTGTCCCTTATCTGGACTGTTGCAGTAGCCTCATGCATGATCTCTCTGCCTTTAGAATTGCCCCTTCAAATCCACCCCCAACACACACACACACACACACACACACACACACACACACACAGACATGCACACATTCACACACACACACATGCACACATGCAGGCACACACACATTCACACACACACTCACACATGCACACACACACACATGCACACACACATGACCACCCTAGAGGTCTGTCTCAGACACTCACCAGATTAAGCCATTCTCTGCTGAAAACCTTGGTCTGGACCCTATCACTACAAAACAGATCCTAAGCCCCTCTGCATGTCAGAGGACCCTCCAGAACCCACTCTTCACATGTGCAAATGTCTCATCCCCCACCCTCTGCCTTGACCTTTATCCTTCGGTCATCAGGAAATGCTTATGATCACCAGCACTGCCTTCACCCCTCAGGCTTTCATGCTGTTGAGTGTCCTCCTTTGTCTACTCCTGTGCTGTTCAATATTGTCGCCACTGGCTACATGTGGCTACTGAGCACTTGAAACGTAGCTGTACGTGGAAAATAGACATTGCATTTTGAAGGCCTGGTGACAAAACAATGTAAAATATTAACATATTTCATATTAATATGTTGAAATGATGATAAGATTTTTGATATATTGACTTAAATAAATTATATGATGAGTATCAGTTTCACTTGTTTCTTGTTACTGTCCTACTACAAAGATTCATAGTAGATGCATACCTTGGGTATGCAGCTCACATTCTATTTCTAGTGAGCAGCCGTGGTCCCGTCCACCTTCTCTCCATACCTCCCTGACTTCTCTTTTCTTCACCCATCAATGTCCTTCATATCTCTCATGACAGCTTATCAGCTCTCTCAAGGGGCCCTTCTGACATCCCACAGAACTAAGACAAGCACCTTACTCTGTGCTAAGACACCCATGCTCACCTTTATCCTTGCATGTTTCACACTGAAATAATCTGGTTACTCACACCCTACTAGACTGTAAGCTCCTTGAGGGTGGGCATTATACTCAGTCACATTAGTATAAATGCATTCATACATTCAACAAATATTCCTTAGACATCTGCCATGCCCCAGCACTGCTAGAAATTCATTCCTAATGGTTGACACAGTACTAGCCAGGAATAAGGAAGAACTAAAATAGGTAGATTAAATTTAACGAGTATTGAAAGCATCTTAAGAATTGGTAATTTTCAAATAGTCTACTAATCTAGAATTAAACTGTTTATTTCAATTTAACAATATTTCCTGCATGCACACCTCAATACATGCTTCAGAGAATGCAAAATAGAATATGCATTCATGCACTCTTCCCTCAAAGAGCATTAAGTCTAGTAGCGATAAGATACAGGAATAAATAGGTATGATAGACTACAGAATATAAATGTTGTGAGAAAAGTTCAATGTCTTATGAGAATGCAGAGAAGGTTCCTTGGTTGGGCACGGTAGCTCACACATGTAATCCAAGCACTTTGGGAGGCCGAGGCAGGCAGATCAGTTGAGGCAGGAGTTTGAGACCAGCCTGCCCAACATGGTGAAACCCTGTCTCTACTAAAAATACAAAAATTAGCAAGGTGTGGTGGCGCACACCTGTAGTCCCAGCTACTCAGGATGCTGAGGCAGGAGAATTCCTTGAACCCAGGAGGCAGAAGTTACAGGAAACTGAGATTGCTCCACTGCACTCCAGCCTGGGCGACAGAGTAAGTGAGACTCCATCTCCAAAAAAAAAAAAAAAAAAAAAATTCTACCATCTAGAAAGTCAGGAAAGGCTTCACGGAGGAGGTGAATTTGAGATGGCCCTAGGAAGACGAATGGGATTTTGAAGGGAGGAGTGGTGATGGGGAAGGAAGGAAGAGATGGAGCACAGGTACTCAGGAGAGAGGGACAGGGTGCAGCCTTGCCAGGAGACAGGAGAGAACTGGGTTTGGTAAGAGGCTGATGTATGTCTCCTAGACATACATTTGCTGGGGCTGCCATAACAAAGTACCACACAGTGAGTGGCTTAAAGCAACAGGAATTTCTTCTCTCACATTCTGGAGGCTGGAAGTTCACAATCAAGGTGTCAGCAGGGCCACACTTCCCACAAAGGCTCCAGGGCAGAGTCCTGCCTGGCTTCTTCTGGCTTCAGGTGGTGCCCAGCAATCCTTGGAATGGGCACCTTTGCTTGCTGCAACGTCACCCCTATCTCCACCTCCGTCTCCAATGGCCATCTTTCCTCCATGTGTCCTTGTCCAAATTTTCCTCTTCCTAAAATATCATCAGGCCAGGCGCAGTGGCTCACGTCTGTAATCCCAGCACTTTGGGAGGCCAAGGCAGGCAGATCACTTGAGGCCAGGAGTCTGAGATCAGCCTGGCCAACATGGCAAAAACCCTGTCTCTACTGAAAATATAAAACATTACCTGGGCGTGGTGGTGCATGCCTGTAATCCCAGCTACTCAGGAGGCTGAGGCATGAAAATCACTTGAACCCAGGAGGTGGAGGCTACATTGAGCCAAGATTGTGCCACCGCACTCCAGCCTGGACGACAGAGGAAGACTGTTTCAAAAAAAAAAAAAAAAAATCATCAGTCATTGGATTAGGGCCACCCACTCCAACATGACCTCATCTTAACTTGATCACTCTGCTTAACTGGACCAATGTGACCCAATCAAGTTCCAATCCATAGACTTCAGGGGGCGGGGCTTCACCAAACCTTCTTCCGGGGGACACAATTCAACCCACAGCAAGGAAAATCAGGAAACAAGGACCAAAAGGAAGCATGGGGCCAGACCATGCAGGACCATGAATCCTAGCAGAGGATGGTGAGGCTGATATGCAGGGAAATAGTTGCTTATGTAAAATCCAAACAGGACTGAGATCTGTCGAGCACGAAGAGCTGAATTCCTTACCATCTTTATCCTGCTGCCCTTAGGCGAACGGTGGCCACAGAAGGTGCAGCATGGAAAGCGAGTGTCCTCCCACACACCCATGCTCTGGTTGTGCTTTAGGTACTTGGGGAAAGTTCCAAGGTCACCGGAGTACTCTCTGGCTCTTGGAAGTCGTACGTTGTAATGACCCAGCAGTGGCTGCGAGAGCCGTGCTGTCTGTGTTGAGCGCAGTGGTACTGACAAGACCATGTAGACTTGATGGTGCCCCGGGCCACCAGGGCTCAGAGATCAGGAGCCGCGCTGGATATTCACGTGGTGTCTGATTGCACAATTCCGGGAGGCCGAAGCGAGCCCTGTCTGCGAGTATTCATTCCGTGCCTTATTGCCTTCCTGCTGTGTAGCAGCTACGCGGCACTTTCCCCATCAAATCCCATGAACATTAGGCCTAAAAATACGTATTAGGGTTTTTAAAAGTTGGGAACTGTACATACAAAATGAACCTTCATCAATTTCTAATTAGCGTTGAATCACTCATAACGGGCACTGAGGGACCCTGTTTCACTGAACAACTGTCACTTCAGGATGCATTAAAATTTTCAGAAAAAGAAAAGCACAACTACGTAAGAACTTATTTAATGCCCCTGATGGCTTGGTAAATTTTAATAAGAATGTGCTGCATAAAGAAGTAACCCACAAAATGTATACAGCCTTTGGGAATGTAACGATATTTTCAATGCACAATATTTTACATCTCACTTCGGCCCGCCCCTCCTTGACACACTGTTCACTTGGACAGACATAATTTTGTGCCCTAACACTGGATCTAATGCCTCGCTCACTGGCCATATAAATATGTTAGCCCCTCCAGCTCCTTTTCTGAGGAGATCTACAAATAAGTATGCAGCCGTTTCTTCCAAAAGTTTATCTGCATTGTCAAGGTGATCCCTTTAAAAGACAGACTTGAAAGGCTGGGTTGGTTGTGAGTGTAAAAGAGGGCACTGCCGCTCCAGGAAGGTGTGGTTCATCGTGGGGAGAAGGAAAGAATGAGAAGATGAATCCTCAGCTCCCAGGCCTCCACCACGGCCCAGGCTCCCCGGCGCCAGGAGGCTCCACTGGCACAGGTCTCCTCAGAGCATGGGATCCCCTCAAATCCCTCACCCAGGGTGCAGCTGGTCAGCTGCAAAATCCTTCCTCAGCACCTCCCAGGAAAACTGGGCCTAAATAGTCATGCTCCTGTGTAAGATAAATACAACTGGCTATTATTCCTGGAGCCAGAATGCCATGCGGAGTGTGGTGCAGGGCAACCAGGGGGCTGAGGGGAGCCCGCAGCCCACTACACCAGGGACTCAGAGTGATGGTGCCCTCTCAGCACCATGAGAACCTTCACAGAGAAGTTCAGTTTATTTTTAATGGGGATTTGGTATCTGTACAATAATGACTCTAAATATGCAAGTCTCTAGAGAGACAAAGTGCCCAGGTCTCTCCCAGACCCTCCAACCACTTAGCCACCGCATTGGAAGCTCATGGGGAAGACACCTGCCTGGATTTTATCAGCAAAGCCTGACTGCCCAGCTCACTCTGAGCAGTGTGTGCGCTGCGCCCTGGTGCAATCCCCTCTCTGCTCACTCCCACGCCCACCGCTCATCCTCACTCCTCTCCGCCTTTCCAGGGTACCAAGGAACTCAGAGGATGTTGTGATTTCTGTGAACTTAGACAGGAAAAGAGGCCCCCTCACCCTGTGTCGTCGCCTTCAATGAAGATGCTGCAGAACTCGTACAAAAACATTCCAGGCAACCCGGCTCCTGCGACGCGTGTCGGGCACTGAGGGTGCTGGTGACATCTTGTGGTGGAGCCTGTGACAGCCACTGCTCACGCCTCCCTGACACCACACAAGCTGTCCAGGAGCATCTAGCCCTGTCGCTCCTCATACATCAGCAAGGAGGCATCTGGGATCTGAGGGCTGCTGCCAGGATCCACCGGTGCACCCACCTGAAACTTCTTTGCCCACCTGGCCAAGCCTTGCCACTGACAGGCCTGCCAGCTCCTCTCCCAGCAAAGCCCTTGGATTGCGGGAATGATTTGTTTGCCATTAAATCACAGTGGTACCTTTTGGTTAAATTCATACAAAAAGATTCTTGTGCAGAGTGTCTGCAGGCAGTATTTGTGAACCCTGAACCCTGTAATGAGAGCGTTATTGAAAGCATGAGGGAAGCCAGCAGAATGATTTAGAATGTGTCCTCAGAGCAGAGTGGAAGTCCGACTTCTCGCAGGCACGGAATGATCCGGGGACAACAGGGAATTGAGGTGGGAAAGGGGTTTCCAGTACCCATTTACTTTCTGTCTCATGTTTCTTCTCAACACACATTTTATGCAAGTGATTTGGAGATTTTTCTTTAAAGCAGTGGGTTCTGGGTCTGGATACTTTCTGAGTCATTGATGCTTAGAAAAATGCAACATTATTTAATCAAAGCAAATAGTATAATGTATTCTTTCAAAGAAACCATATTTCATGTTTGGAGCCTACCAACATACGGAACACAAATGACTGTGCTTCGCTTTGAAGACGTCCTGTCTTTTAAATCTGATTCCCTAAACACTACCCATCAGTGCTCACTATTTCCAGAGATTATTAGAGCACATTGTGTTGATTACCAACTCTACTATTCTAGCACTTGTGTAACTGTTATTTAACTTACATTTAAGGTAATCTTTCAATATGGGAAATGGGGATATTGCCATAACTGTTTTTTTCAACAGAACATATTGGAAACCAGAAAGCGTTTTCCTGCAAAGTTACACAATTAGTGATATACTAGGAACTAGTAAACCAACTCCTCCCTTTGTGCTGGGGCTGGCACCTCCCATAAATTCCAGTCCTCTCTCTCAGCAACTTGAGGGTGATCCTGTCCTGCTATTGGCAGAAGCAGACCACTCTGGATTGCAGAAGACCATGTGCATCTCAAAAGAAGGATGTGCAGAGCTCCGGAAGTGGTCCACGCTACCCTGACTGCCACGTGTTGTGGTTCAGATTGTGCACTGCACAAGTGGGCGTGGGGGAACCGTTATACCTTGGTCTATGCAAATGGCACTTCCTAATGTGGCACTGTGCCCAACCTGCACTGCCATCAACAGCAGCTTCTGGGTGTGTCTGACACTCTGAAACTCGACCTGACTGCCTGAGATGGAGCCCTCTCCCAGAAGGGGCCAGGCTGAGCCTTCTTGTTTCTATAGGGCCCTTTTGTGACCAGCCTAAGGTGCTGGCTCCCCAGCTGAGGATAACAGAAAATTTGACAGCTGATGCCCCGAGGGACTTCTCTTTCCTACTCAAGTTTCAAAACACAGGGATTCTGAGGAAGCTTGGCTTCTTCATGCCAGAAAACATGTAGCTAGTACCCTCAAGTCCAGATTGCAAAATGCCAAAGTCTGTTGCGGGCTTAAGCACTGCTGTGTCCTCCTGTGCATTACACACAGCTGAGGGTGTCACCCCAAAACAGGCATTCAGTGCTTTCACAGGTATTGTTTGAAATCCTGTAGGCAAGAAACACTGGATATTAAATCGAAGGATCTGTTTTTAACCTATTATGTGGGTATCTTATTGTCACAACACCAAATAAAGTTGAATCCACAGCTACAAAAGAAATTCCAAAAATATTCAAATATGTCGATGACTTCTACATGCATTCTGTTCTCACAACCTACTGTCCTGTGGTCCTGAGAGCATGCCGGCCAAAATGGTGTTGTAGCATTTTCTTTTCAGGAATGCAGTGGCCTGTGGGGTCTGCTGCACATGACTGGCTTGAGCTTTGGGACCCAGCTTGCTCTGGCACATTGACAGTAGACTCTGAAGTTAGTTGTGGTTTAATTTCTTCTTCTCCCTGGATATAAATTTATGAATAAACTGGAACTCCCCACTTGGAGAGAGGGAGCAGCACTCTAAGGGTATCTATCATGCATACAGAGAACTTCCCAGGCATTCAACTCGACATCAGCAGATAACCGTACAGATGCAGATACCTCTTGGAAACAGTCAAAAGACTACATTTTTTTAACAGAAAGGATTCAGTTAAAATGTTAGCTGAGTAATCTGCTAATAGATAATCACACAATACAAAGAAAACGTTTCAGTAAATACTTTGGATTTCTGTCTTCTGCCATAAGTTCCAAAAATGATGGCAACTCAGAATAAAAAGGATTATTTGAGGCAATGGTATCCCAAGTACCCTGATTTGATCATTACATATCATATGCTTGCATCAAAATATTAAATGTACCCCACAAATGTGTACAACTATTATGTACCATATTTTTTCTTAAAAATGGTGTTTAATCCTAATGCACCAAAATTCTCTGTTTATTCCCAGCACATTGGTATCACTTATGAAGCCTCTCCTCTACACAGGATTCTGTTTGGGTGTGAAAATACTGACCAAAATTGAGGCAATACAGCCATTGCTCTTAAAAAGCCTAAAATCAAGAGGAAGACAATAAACATATGAACATTTTAACTGGGACTGACAGTGAGAAGGGGGATAGCCTTGACACACAGCAACAGAAAACACCACCATGACCAAATACAGAGGATTGCAGCCCCTCGGGGAACTGAAGCAGTAGCATCCCACCCCCTCCACTGCACTGAGACATGAATGCTCCTCCCAAGATGAGTGGAGGAAAAGAATGGAAATAAAGACGAGGGAGGAGGAAAAGCTAAGAGAAGAGAAGCTGAACAAACATAACCAAGCTCCTTATTTGCACATCTTAAATAAAGGGCTAATCTAGGTTCCTCCTGCCAATTAAGGTAAATGCGGAAAAATCTGATTTCTGGAGTTGGATGCCGACCTCCCCCATCTCTCTACTGCTCCGTTTCGGAAAGCACAGCTAACTGAATGATAGATGGTGAAGTCACTTGGGCAGTAGCCAGGAGCTATCTCCTTCTGTTCTGAGACCTGCATCCAAATTTGAGCCTGTGAAATGGCTTGGGTGATCTTAATTTGACAGTTGTCAACATTTCAAAATCATTGCCAAGTTCAACCAAATGGAAGTCTTTGATCAGGCATGGCTTTCTGTGTATGTGTGCATGTGAGTGTGGGTGTGTGCCTGTGTGTGTATATCAGAGAGTTGCCAATCTGAGCCCAGATAATACACCTGTGCACCCTTCTTCCGTCATATCTCATTAGCATCTCTCTACATGATGAATTCTGTGGGAGGGTGAGAAAAAAATGGCACTTCAACTTCAATAAGTTTGGTCCAAGAAGGAACAAAAAATATGCACATAAAAATTTTGGATAATGGATTCATTTAAGCATCACAATCTGAAAATAAGTACATTATTGCACAGAATATAAAGAATATAAATGTACATAAAACAGGATATAATCATGGACAAAACACTTCTTAGTATTATTGACTCCGTGCATACATTTTTCAGCACAAACATCTCAGCATAAGCTAAATTTCAGAACCATTTAACCAATTCAGCATCAGTAGAAAAATCATTAATAAAAGGAGATAATAATCATAAAAACAAGGCCTGGTGTGGTGGCTTACACCTGTAATCCTAGCACTTTGGAAGGCCAAGGGGGGTGGATTGCCTGAGGTCAGGAGTTAAGCCTGGCCCTAACATGGCGAAACCCCATCTCTACTGAAAATACAAAAATTAGCCGGACATGGTGGTGGGTGCCTGTAATCCCAGCTACTCTGGAGATTGAGGCAGGAGAATCACTTGAACCTGGGGGTGCTGAAGTTGCAGTGAGCCAAGATCACACCACTTCACCCCAGAATGGAGTGAAACTCCATCTCGGCGGGGGGAAGAACAATGAGATTTACCACATACAAGATATCTCATTTGAAAATGAAACTTTTGGCACAGTAAATATGGCATCACCTTAGGGAAGTTATTGAAATAAAAATGCAAAAATATCTAAATCCTCCATGTAGGGAATATAGCTGTGGGTTTACGAATCTTTTTTCTTTATTATCTAAGGGGCACTCACAGAATCTAAAGGTCATTTCTATTAGTGCCAAATATCAAGAAAGCATTACTAGAAGATAAAGGATATGTTTTTGAGGCTTTCCCTTTTTTTGGTTTCAATATGTTGAAATGATTGCTTCCCAAAAAATTAAAGTCTTCATAAAAGTTGTGGATGTATAAACACAATGTTTGTTTGATAAAAATAGGTCAGAATGGCCTATTTTTGGAAGTATCTAATAAATGTTTATGGAATAAATAAATGGATGGCCAATGAATATAAACAAATCCATATAGTTCCATAAAGCAATAAAAATGTCTTTAAAAGCTGAAATTTCTGGTTAATTCTATGGTAAAAGTATTTCCAAAACTGTCACCAGTTGAACTGTGCTAAGTTCATAAGTTATGGAGATATTGCCAATGGACTTTGACATCCTATAATCAGCTCACTGGAATAGTAACTAAGCATCAATCTCTGAAAAGGTCTAGAATCTTGTCCAATAATCCTAATCAGAGCCTCTGAATAGCTCAGCCTCTGGAGTCAAATACTCACCTGTGATTCGTCACGAGGTGTTTCTTATGCAGACGTGTTGACCAACATAAGGATCCACCTGTCAAGAGACATCAAAACTTCCTCAACTGCCTTTTCCACCTGGCCTTACATGGGTGAACCTGGAGTGACCAGATGTTTTTTAGAACTGCCCCATGACTCAAGGTAGAGTCATGCACCTCCATCTTGTGATTCTATTGCAGGGCTAATTAAGTTTTGTGAAGGAAAAAGAACTCATAAATTATTGCAATGGTTTAGAGAAAGAAGTTTCTTCATGGCCATGGATCCACGTTTCATATTGATGATGGCTATTCATTGGAGTGCCTGCAATGGTCACAGGGTTCCAAGTTTTCCATCAGCAACCAGATATGACTGCCCCAAATAGTCAATGAACTCCAGAAAGTATAGAGATGATTGTACCCGTGATAAAAGTTTTGCATGTTAGAAATGGAAGGAATTATTAGTAATCCTAAACATTTGTATGCCAATATTTTTGGGAGGGTTGATTAAACTTTTTATTTTGAGATAATTGTAGATTTGCATGCAGTTGTAAGAAATAATACATAAATCCAGCACTTTGGGATGCCAAGGTGGGCAGATTACCTGAGGTTAGGAGTTCAAGACCAGCCTGGCCAACATCATGAAACCCCGTCTCTACTAAAAATACAAAAATTAGCTGGATGTGGTGTTGCATCCCTGTAATCCCAGCTACTTGGGAGGTTGAGGCAGGAGAATCACTTGAATCCAGGAGGCAGAAGTTGCAGTGAGCCGAGATCACGCCACTGCACTCCAGCCCAGGTGACAGAATGAGACTCTGTCTCAAAAAAAAATAAAGGAAAGAAAAGAAAAGCAATAATACAGAGGATCCCTTGCACTCTTTCTCCAGTTTCCCTGAATGGTAACATCTTTCAGAACTAGAGTGCAGCATCCCACCAGGATTAACCTAGCCGGGATGCAGAACATGACCTTCTCCACAACTCTCCCTCCTTTCACCCTTTTACAGACACACCCACGTCCCTCCACACCCACCCCATCTTTACCAGTGGAAACAAGCTGTTCCCCATTCCTATAATCATTTCTAGAATATTATGTCAATAAAATCAAACAGCATTTAACTTTTGAGTCTGGCTCTTGGAAACAATTCTCTGGAGATTTGTCCAGATTGTTGTGTGTATCAATAAGACTTCAGTATATTGCTGGGTAATGACCCAGCAATGGTGTGGCTGCTGCTTCTAGGGTGAGGTTACTATTAACAAAGCTGCTATGAACATCCATGGACAGTGCTGGTGTGAAAATACGTTGCATTTCTTTGAGATACATGCCCAGGAGTGTGACTGCTGGATTGCATGTTAAGTGTGTGTTTCATTTTTTTAAGGAACTGCCCAACTTTTTTCTAGAGTGGCTGTACCATTTTACACTCCAACCAGTAATATATGAATGACTCCATTTCTTTGCATCTTCACCAGAATTTGATGTCGACCCTATTTTTTTATGTTAGCCATTTTGATAAATGTGTAACGATATCTCATTGTGGTTTTAATTTGCATTTCCCCAATGGTTAATGATGTTGAACATATTTTTGGATGCTTATTTTCTATCTGTATATCTTCTGGGGTGAAATAGCTGTTTATGACTTTTGTCTGTTTCTAATTGGCTTGTTTCCTTACTGTTGCATTCACTCCCAACTCACTGACTCCTCCTTCCCCTCGTTCATCCCTTGAGCCTGTCCATTGAAATTTTATTCCACTTATTGTATTTTTCACTTTTAAAATTTCAGTTTGCTTCTTTATACCTTCTACTATTTTGCTGAGGCTTTCTATTTCTTTGCTGGGATTTTCTATTTCTTTTCTCCAACTTTCTGTTTCATTCGTTTGTTTCAAGTGTGTTCATACCAGCTCGTTGACACATTGTTGTAGGGCTTCTTTCAACCCATTTTGAATAATTCTAACACGTGTGACCTTTGGTCTTGGCAGCTTCTGATCATCTTTTCTCATTCCATTTGGGATCTCCCTGATTCTTCGTATGACAAGCGGTTTTCCATTGAAACACAGACATTTTGGGCATTGTCTTATGCGGCTCTGGGTCTTCTCTAAACCTTCCTTTTAGCTGGCTCCCTCTGGCATCCCTCCAGTGGGGAAGGGAGCCACCACCACCTCATGACTGCCAAATGAGAACAGAAGTCCAAGAGCCTCAGCTGCACTCCACTGACACCCAGGGTGGGGCTGGTCATTACTGTGGTGGAGGTGGTTTCTGCCTTCCCACAAGCCTCTGCTGATACTTTCCTGTCCAGAAGGGTCTGGAAAGCCGGGCATCTGCTCCGTTCACAGCCTTGAATGACACCAGCACTCTGACCCCAAACCAGAGGGGCAGCAAGGAGCCTCCTTACCACTCAGACTGCCAAAGACTGGGCATCTTAAACCACAGACAGTAATTTTCTCATAGTTCTGGAGGCCAGAAGTTGAAGATTAAGGTGCCAGCAGAGCCCATGTCTGGTGAGGGCTCTCTTTATGGCTTGCAGACAGCAGCCTTCTTGTTGTGTCTTCACATGGACTTTCATCTCTCTCTTCCTCTTTTTTATAAGGACACTAATCCTGTAGGACCAGGGTCCCACCCTTATGACCACACTTAACATAATTATCTCCTTGTAGAGCCTTTCTCCAAACACAATCATGTTGTGGGTTAAGGCTTCAGCATATGAATTTTGGAGGATACAATTCAGTGCATGGCAGGAGGGGAAGTCCAGGTTCCCAAAGTGGTCTGCACTGACACAGGCATCATTGCCAGCCAGCAAGATGAAACTCCCATCTCCTGGAATGCAGACTTCTCTGACACCACCCTAGTGGGGAATTGGCTGCCTCAGCCCACATGTCTAGGTTCTCCACCAGGCCTTTTCTGGTGGGCAGGGCCACAGTTTTCTTGCAGTGTTTCACTGATGGAGTGGTTATTGACTAAAAGTTATCTGTTGTACTTGGCTGCCTCTTTCCTGCTCCTCTGGCAAGAGAGCAAGTTTTGTAGGGGCTGCTTTCATCTGAGCATGTTGACTTTTCCAGGTTGTCAGCTTCTTTAGCTCTAAGTCTGGGATGTATAAGGCAAAAGGAAAACCCAGAAAACCCAAGGTCACTGGGAAGCCAGCCTCCTCTCTCTTGCCTTTCACAGTCTTTTTTTTTTTTTTTTTTTTTTTGAGACAAGTCTCACACTTTCACCCAGGCTGGAGTGCAGTGGCGCAATCTCGGCTCACTGCAAGCTCTGTCTCCCGGGTTCACACCATTCTCCTGCCTCAGCCTCCCGAGTAGCTGTGACTACAGGCGCCCACCACCACGCCTGGCTAATTTTTTTATATTTTTGGTAGAGATGGGGTTTCACTACATTGGCCAAGATGGTGTCGATCTCTTGACCTTGTGAACCGCCTGCTTCAGCCTCCCTATGTGCTGGGATTACAGGCGTGAGCCACCGCACCTGGCCAGTAGTTTATATTTCTTAAAATAATTTTAGAAACATTTGTTTTTAAGTGTATTGGTATAAATACATTATTCTTTTTTTTTTCTTTTTTTGAGATGGAGTCTCACTCTGTCACCTAGGCTGGAGTGCAGTGGTGCGATCTCAGCTCACTGCAAGCTCCACCTCCCAGGTTCATGCCATTCTCCTGCCTCAGCCTCCCAAGTAGCTGGGACTACAGGTGCCCACCACCACGCCTGGCTAATTTTTTATATTTTTGGTAGAGACAGGGTTTCACTACATTGGCCAAGATGGTCTCGATCTCCTGACCTTGTGATCCGCCCGCCTCAGCCTCCCAAAGTGCTGGGATTACAGGCGTGAGCCACTGCACCCGGCCCACAGTCATCTTATGTGTGTTGTATATATCATGTCCAGAGGGGTTAGTTGTGCTTAATGGGAGGAATAGAGAAAACTATATTTACCCCATCTTTCCAGGCACAGAAGTCTCAACCATTGTTTGTTAAGGAGTTCCAATTAGATGTCAACATTTACAAATTTTCTATAACTCTGTTTCTATGTTTTCTTAAACAATCAGAAACACTATTCCCTGAGAGCAGCAGAGGCAAGACCTACGTCATGTCTGCTCCCTTGAAAAGGTCACAGTTACTCTGGTAGCTTCAGTTCTCACCTGAACGTTCACACACATCGATTACTGGCCCAGCCCTCATGGAGAAGGCTGAGCCAAGCTTGAATGAGGGTCTGGGCTATTGCTGGGTGTGTCAGTCACGGTTCAACCAGAAAAATAGAACCACTGGAAGAGACAGACAGACAGATACAGATAGAGAGAGATGGAGAACTGTGTGTCAAGAATTGCCCTGTGTGATCATGAGACTGAAAACTAAATCTAAAATCTCGTAGGGCAGGCAGTCAGGAAGGGTGTCCCCAGTGCAGGGTGAGCCATGAACACCCTGATGCTATTTGGAGTCCAGGGCAAGGAATACCTGAGCCTTCCTGTGCAGGGCTCTGCTGATCACACCCACCAGCATGCTCCACTTACTTAAGGTCAACTGAGAAGGATTCAATGGCTTCTGCAAAATCCCTTCACAGCAGACCACAATGAGTATTTGGTTGAATAAGCAGGCAAAGTGTGTGCATGCTACACAATGGCAGCTCCTCCTGCCTCCTGTCCTCATCCAGCCTAGCTTAGTTGATGTCAATAAACATCATATGGGTGGAGGAACAGGCACACCAAGGGAGGGCTAGTGTCCTGCACACTCACTTCCACATGCTGTCACTCATTTCTCATTATCACAGACATAACAAGCATCATACCAACCTACGCTCATTTTTAAAATTTTTCAAAAGGTATCACTTGCTCCACTCCTAGGTATATACCTAAAAGAATTAAAAACAGGTATCAAACAAGTACATGGATAGACAGGGTCACAGCAGCATTGTTCACAATCACCAAAAAGTAGAAATGGCCCAAATGCACACTGATGGATGGATGGGTAAACAAATTGTGGTATAGCAATACAACAGAATATTATTCAGCCATAGAAAGGAATGGAGTACTCACACATGGTACAATGTGAATGAACACTGAAAGCATTATGCCAAGTGAAATAAGTCAGACACAAAAGATCATATGTTGTGTATATGATATTTCCACAATAGGTAAACCTGTGGGGACAAAAACCAGACTAATGATTCTAAGACTAGTGGGTAGGAGGCAAGGGAGATGGACTGCTGACTGGGTACGAGGTATACTTTTGGGCAGGTTAAAAGGTTTGGGGACCAAATAGGGGTGGAGCTTACACAACATTGTGAATGTATTGAATGACACCAAAGCGTGGACTTTAAAATTGTTAATTATATGCTAATTAACATAAATGTATATATTCTAAACAGTATCACTTTAGGAAAATGTACTCAGAGGAAGAAAGTTCTCCCTGCTGCCCTCTCTGTGAACCTGAAATACCTAATGCAGGCCCGACCTTTCACATATGAGGATGCTAAATCACCTGCCCCAGGCCAAACGGGTAAGGAGACAGAGACAGGGCAGGGACATCACTCTGAAAAATGACGACTCTTTAAACATTAAAACAGCTTCTCTCTGCTAAATATGGTGAGTGTGTCGTGTTGTTTATATTATTTCTGGGAAAGCACATTTTTTCTTTGTTTGTTGGTTGGTTGGTTTGTGTTTTGTTTTTTTTTTCTTTGAGACGGAGTCTCGCTCTGTCGCCCAGGCTGGAGTGCAGTGGTGCGATCTCAGCTCACTACAAGCTCCGCCTCCCGGGTTCACACCATTCTCCTGCCTCAGCCTCCCAAGTAGCTGGGACTACAGGCACCTGCCACCACACCTGGCTAATTCTTTTTGTATTTTTAGTAGAGACCATGTTAGCCAGGATGGTCTCAATCTCCTGACCTTGTGATGTGCCCGCCTCGGCCTCCCAAAGTGCTGGGATTACAGGCGTGAGCCACCGCGCCCAACCAAGCACACGTTTTTAAGAGAAAATAAATGCCACCACATCAGCCTGCCTAGTCAAATTTCTGCTCATGACAAGTTGAGGCTCAAAGGTAAAGAGAAGAAAGCTAGAGATGGAAAATTTGAGAGAAGCCTCACAATGTAAAGAAAGGAAGACACTCAAGGTAAACCCCACAAGATAGTAAATCCACTACTGCATGTCTCCAAGAGCCCTTTCTCTTGAGCTAAACCTAAACCTCGTGGAGGTGAGCAATGCGCACCTGTGACTTCAGCAATAATCAATGCTGTCTCTGATAAGGAAATCCAGTCAGGGGTCCAGAGAGTAGAAGGAGAAAAGAGCAGTCACTGCAGGGCAAAAAGCAGAGGCCACCCCACTGCACCCACCCAGACTCCCAAGACATCTAGGGAAGAAGCTGGGAGGCTCAGACATGGGCCACAAGTACAGAGCACTGTGTTTTGCTGCTGTTCCCATGACTATGTTTGCCCCCAGCCTGGAGGAAACAGGATTTCATCTCAAACTTGCTGCTTTTGTGAAAGTGTTGACCAGCATGCCACCCTCCACACCCCTCCCTGCAGAAGCACAAAGGGAGGTGGGACCGATTCTCAGAAGCAGAGGTCAGCACAGCATCCTGGGGTGGATCGGGTGGATGTATGAGGCAGAGGAAGTGAAGGGGCTGCAGGGACAGAGAGCGACTGGACTGGAGCTCAGGTTTAGGGGGACCTACTGCTTCTTGGGGGGTTTCAGTTTGAAGACAGACTAAGTGGGGTAAGTTAAATGCTCATGGAATTGGTCAGGCTATGGATTTGGTATTTCCTATCCCTTTCCAAACAGGAACTTACAAGGACGTTTTGTGTTTCACAAAGCTCCTTGGAGAGGGATAGTCTATGCTTTTCTTTGGTAGCACATTCCCAATCTTACTAACACTCAATTTCCACAGTCATTTTCTGGTGTCACCTTTTTTTTTATTAATAATAATGTTTGTTCGCTTGTTTGTTTTTTGCATTTCTCAAGCTCTTTTGTCATTAAGGGGAAGCTTTGTGGCCATCCTAACCAGTTCACACACTAAAGAGACTATCTCGGGTTATGCTCAAAACTACCTACACAATTGTAATTTCATAAAGAATGTTCAGGCCAATGGTCCATGATAAAGAATCCTTTGAAGTAGGTAGAGGGAAAACTACTTTCTTAACTCTGAGAGAGGAAATTTAGGAAACTGGTGTTGTATTAACGAAGGATGGATTTCTTCTTTCTACAATAAGTGTTTATGTACATATCCTTCAAGTAACAGAAGCAGATACGTAAATAATTGAATTTATGAGACATTATTTACAGAAAAATCTCTGTTCTATCTGGGATCAAGATATAGAAGAAAAGTTAATTCACTTTCTAGTGTTTACACATAGCAAATGATACCAATTTGAATACTCTTCTAGGTACTTTACATGCCATCTTTAATTCTCACCATAATCCTACAAATTAGTCTGTATTGATCTCATTTTACAATGAGAAAAACAGGCTGACAACCTGCCCAAGGTCTAACAGCTCACAATTATTTTCTTAGCCTAACCCTGGACTTGGGTGACACAATACTCTTTGATTGAAGGAAAAATGCACCAGTTAGCTATGCCCCAAATAGGACCACACATTGACAATAGTGTGGATTACTGTATTTGAAAACCCAAATTTTACTACTGTCACTGATATATGAGATTTCTCCTTCCACTTCATCACTTCAGCCTTTCCTAGAGAAAGTCTGTGGGTTTCTATTATTTTCTGTAATTTCTCAAACTGAATGTCTGCTCAAGGCCAGAAAAACCAGGCAACCTGAAGATAAGTTGCTATCAAGTTTCATTTTACATCTGTTTCTTTTGGTTTCCAAACTGGCTGTATAGATTTTCTTCATTTCTATAATTTTATGAA
This sequence comes from Homo sapiens, assembly GCF_000001405.40. Classification (NCBI taxonomy): domain Eukaryota; kingdom Metazoa; phylum Chordata; class Mammalia; order Primates; family Hominidae; genus Homo; species Homo sapiens. Next base: position 76,287,403 of record NC_000018.10, read on the forward strand.
GGAAAGAATTCATTAATGAAAATAGAGGGAGAAAATATGTAAATTAGTTAAAACAGAAAATTAATATCCATAAAACACAAGGAGTTTCTTCAAATCAATGAGAAAAATCCAAGCAAAAAGGCAATGGATATAAATAAGCTTTCCACAAGAGAGAAATCAAATGACACAAAATTTATGAAAATATGCTCAATCATACCTCTAATCAAGATGAGATCATGAATTCCTCTTCTGTTAATAAAAGAGTAGCTTGTATTAGACTAACTTCCAACGGATAAAAAATATAAACTTTGAAAAAAATATAAAAATCACCTAATTAGAGATTAATGAAAAGGAGGCACAAAACCCAAGGGAACTTAATATTTTAAAGAGGGGCCTGCACAGGGTGAGATGCAGGATTATGTGGCTTTTTCTGAGAGCACACGCTCACCTGGCTGGAATAAAGCTGCTGAGACTCAAGCGGAAAGCCAGGGATTACCGCCTTAAGAAGTCAGAATACGGCCGGGCGCGGTGGCTCACGCCTGTAATCCCAGCACTTTGGGAGGCCGAGGCGGGTGGATCACGAGGTCAGGAGATCGAGACCATCCTGGCTAACAAGGTGAAACCCCGTCTCTACTAAAAATACAAAAAATTAGCCGGGCGCGGTGGCGGGCGCCTGTAGTCCCAGCTGCTCGGGAGGCTGAGGCAGGAGAATGGCGTGAACCCGGGAGGGGGAGCTTGCAGTGAGCGGAGATGGCGCCACTGCACTCCAGCCTGGGCGACAGAGCAAGACTCCGTCTCAAAAAAAAAAAAAAAAAGAAGTCAGAATACAAAATTTGGGACCACCAGAGTGCTAGAAATTGAAAGAAGAAATCACAGAAAGGATGATATACAAATGAGAAGTTCTACTTCCAAATATAAAGTCTGCCCAAAATTTTAGCTAATTTCTGATTTACATATGCACAGGAGAAACTTCAGGAGGATCAGCAGAAAAGATGAGTAAAAGGGAGAGATTTTAGTGGTGACAGAGAAACAGGGTTTGGAGTTTGAGTTCAGCCAGGGTAATTGACTGCTAGAATGTTCTTCAAAAAACATATAAAAAAATCCAAAGTCTGCAGTGTAATAGCCAGACTCTCAAGTACCCAAAAATTAGTAGACATGCAAAAAAAAAAAATCAACCATAGTCAAGAGAAAAAGCAATCAAAACTGACTCCAGCCGGGCACGGTGGCTCACGCCTGTAATCCTAGCACTTTGGGAGGCCGAGGCGGGCAGATCACGAGGTCAGGAGATCGAGACCATCCTGGCTAACATGGTGAAACCCGTCTCTATTAAAAAAAATACAAAAAGAATTAGCCGGGCATGGTGGCAAGCGCCTGTAGTCCCAGCTACTCGGGAGGCTGACGCAGGAGAATGGTGTGAACCTGGGAGGCACAGGTTGCAGTGAGCTGAGATCATGCCACTGCACTCCAGCCTGGGCGACACAGTGAGACTCCGTCTCAAAAAAAAAAAAAAAAAAAAAAACTGACTCCAAGATATCCTATATATTAAAAATTAGCAGAAAATAACTTAAATCAGATATTATAAATATGTTCAAAAACTTGAAGGAAAATATAGTCATAATCAATGAAAAAATTACAAATACAGCAGAGTAAGAGTAACTATTAAAACAAAAACCAAATGAAAATTATAGAACTGAGAACTCCATTAACTGAAAGAGTGAATATAGTGAAGTAGCACAAGAAAGAATCAGTAAAATTGAAAATGAATGTACACAATAATACAATCTGAAGAATAGAGAGGGTAAAAAAATAAATAAATAAAAGGACAGCATCTCACAGACCTAAAGGAGAATATCCAAGTTATAAATTTATACACAGGCCGGGCGTGGTGGCTCACGCCTGTAATCCCAGCACTTTGGGAGGCCAAGGCAGGTGGATCATGAGGTCAGGAGATCAAGATCTTCCTGGCCAATGTGGTGAAACCCTGTTTCTACTAAAATACAAAATATTAGCCAGGCGTGGTGGTGCGTGCCTGTCGTCTCAGCTACTCAGGAGGCTGAGGCAGGGGAATAGCTTGAACCCCGGAGGCGGAGGCTGCAGTGAGCCGAGATCGTGCCACTCCACTCCAGCCTGGCGACAGAGCAAGACTCCGTCTCAAAAATAAATAAATAAATACATACATACATACATAAATTTGTACACATAATTGGAGTTCCATAAGGGCAAAGCAAAAAAATTAAGAAATAAGGTTGAAATGTTTCCAATTCAGTGAAGAATATAAGCTTACAGATTCAAGGCTCTCAGTGAACTCCCAGTAAAAAAAAAAAATTCAAAGAAAAAAGAAAATCTTGAAAATAGTTGAAGGAAAAGACACATTACATACAAGAAAACAATATCAGTGATATTTATCTTCTCACCAGACACAATGGAGGAAATGGAATTAACATCACCAAAGTGCTGAAAGAAACTGTAAGCCCAGAATTCTTTATCAAGTAAAACTATTATTTAAAAATGAACATTAAAAAAAACACTTATTTCTTGTTCTGTATATCTGCATAACAAGTAAATTTTTGTAGTCTGAAGGCAAATGACACCGGGTAGATCTATAAGAAGGAAAGAAGAATACTAAAAGTGGTAGTTGTGTAGGTTGCTATCAAAAGTTATAATTTTCTCAATTTATTTAAGACATATCACTATTTAAAGCAAATATTACAGCAATGCATTGTAAAAATAATAACATGCATAGCTGTAATATACATATAAGAACAATAGCACAAAGGATGGAGGAACTATGCTGTTATAAATTTCTTCCTAATTATGTGAAATAGTATAATATTAGCCTTAAGCAGAGCATTATTAAAGGTGCAGTGTAATCTCCACAGCAATCACTAACACGTAATGTAAAGTGCTAACACATAATGTAAAGTGTAACACATAATGTAAAGTACTAACACATAATGTAAAGTGCTATAGCCAAAAAGACAATTAAAGAATTATATTAGAAGCCTAAAAGAATATTTGAATAACCAACAATAAGAGAGGAAAGGAAGAATAAAGGAACAATGCAACAAACAAAAAAGATAAATGAAAACAAAAGAGTAAACCACAAATAGACTATATTAATAATTACATTGAGTGTAGGTTAATTTTCATCCAAGAAAAAGGCAGGGATTCTGAGACTGGATAAAAAATGTAAACCTCAATGATGTGCTAACTACTAGATTCCTGTAAATATAAATATCAACGTAAAACATAAATGTACAGGTTGAAAGTAAAAGGTTGAAATATACATTACATATATTTTATAAAAATAAGCTGCTAATAGCTACATTTTATTTTCAATTTCCATGGGTACATAATAGGTGTATGTATTTATGGAGTACATGAGAGATTTTGATACAGACATGCAATGTGTAATAATCACATCAGGGTAAATGGGTATCCATCAACTCAAGCATTTATCCCTTGTGTTACAAACAATCCAATTATACTTTTTTAGTTTTTTTAATGTACAATTAAATTATTTTTTAATCAGATTATTATATTTTCCCTATAGAGTTGCTTGAACTCCATATTCTGTTTATTAATCCTTTCTCAGATGAGTAGTTTGCAAATATTTTCTCCCATTCTGTGAGTTGTCTCTTCACTTTGTTGATTTTTTTCCTTTGCTGTGCAGAAGCTTTTTAACCTGATGTGATCCCATTTGTCCATTTTTGCTTTGGTTGCCTGTGTTTGTGGGGTATTACTCAAGAAATCTTTGCCCACTCCAATGTCCTGGAGAGTTCCTCCAATGTTTTCTTTTAGTAGTTTCATGGTTTGAGGTCTTATGTTTAAGTCTTTAATCCATTATGATTTGATTTATATATGTGGCGAGAGATAGGGGTCTAGTTTCATTCTGCATATGGATATCCAGTTTTCCCAGCATCATTTATTGAAGAGACTTTTCTTTATACAATGTATGTTCTTAGAACCTTTGTCAGAAATGAGTTCACGGTAAGTGTATGGATTTGTTTCTGGGTTCCATTGTTCTATGTGTCTATTTTGTTCCATTGTTCTATGTGTCTGTTTTTATGCCAGTACCATATTGTTTTGGTTACTATAGTTCTGTAGTGTAATTTCAAGTTAGGTATTGTGATTCTTCCAGTTCTTTTCTTTTCACTTAGGATAGCTTTGGCTATTCTGGGTCTTTTGTGGTTCCATATACATTTTAGAATTGTTTTCTCTATTTCTGTGAAGAACATCATTGGTATTTTGACAGAGATTGCACCAAATCTGTAGATTGCTTTGGGTAGCAGGGTCATTTTAACAATGTTGATTCTTCCAATCCATCAACGTGGAACATCTTTCCATGTTTTGGTGTCTATTCAATTTCGTCCATCAGTGTTTTATAGTTTTCATTATAGAGATCTTTCACTTCTTTGTCATTATAGAGATCTTTCACTTCTTTGGTTAAGTTAATTCCTAGCTATTTAATTTTATTCGTGGCTATTCTAAATGGGATTACTTTTTTATTTCTTTTTCAGATTGTTCGCTGTTGGCATATAGAAATGTTACTGGTCTTTGTATGTTGATTTTGTATCCTGCAACTTTACCGAATTTATTTATCGGTTCTAATAGTTGTTTTGTAGAGTCTTTAGACTTTTCAAAACATAAGGTCATATCATCAGCAGACAAGGATAATTTGATTTCTCCCTTTCCAATTTGGATGCCCTTTATTTGCCTCGCTTGTCTAATTCCTCTAGCTAGGACTTCCAGTACTATGTTGGATAACAGTGTTCAAAGGGGAAATTCTTGTCATGTTCTCGGTCTTAGAGGAAAAGTTTTCAGGTTTTTCTCATTCATTATGACACTAGCTGTGGGTCAGTCACATATGGCTTTTATTATGTTCAGGTATGTTCTCTCTATACTGTTTTTTTGAGGGTTTTTTTTATCATGAAGGGATGTTGAATTTTATCAAATGCCTTTTCAGTTTCAATTGAAATGATTATATGGTTTCATCCTTCATTCTGTTGATATAATGTATCATATTGATTGATTTGTGTATGTTGAACCACCCTTGCATCCCTGGGATAAATTCCACTTGGCCATGATAAGTGATCTTTTTAATGTGTTGTTGAATTTTGTTTTCTAGTATTTTGAGAGAAATTTTGCATCAATATTCATCAGAAACATGGGTCCATAGTTTGCTTTTTTTGATATGCCTTTGTTTGGTTTTGGTATGAGAGAAATACTAGCCTCAAGGAATGAGTTTGGAAGTATTCTATCCTCCTCCACTTTTAAGAATAGTTTGAGTAGGATTGGTATTAGTTCTTCTTTAAATGTTTGGTAGAATTCAGCAATGAAGCCAGCAGGTCCCAGGCTGTTGCTTGCTAGGAGACACTTTATTATGGCTTTGATATCATTACTTGTTATTGGTCTTTTCAGGTTTTGGATTTCTTCATGGTTCACTCTTGGTAGGTTGTGTGTGTCTAGGACTTTATTTCTTTTGGATTTTCCAATTTATTGGCATATGGTTGCTCATAATAGCCATTAATCATCCTTTGAATTTCTGCAGTATTGATTGTAATGTCTCGTTTTCCATCTCTGATTTATTTGGGTCTTTTCTCTTTTTTTCCTAGTTTGGTGAAAGGTTTGTCAATTTTGTTTATCTTTTCAGAAAGCCAACTTTTCATTTTGTTAATCTTTTGTATTACTTTATTGATTTCAATTTTATTTATTTCTACTCTGATGTTTATCATTTATTTTCCTCTACTAACATTGAGTTTGGTTTGCTCTTGCTTTTCTAGTTCTTTAAGATGTATTGCTAGGTTTTGAAGTTTCTCTTCCTTTTTGATATGGGGGCTTATAGCTATAAACTTCCCTCTTAGTACTGTTTTCACTGTATCCCACAGGTTTTGATATGTTGTGTTTCAATTATTATTTGTCTCAAAAAAATTTCAATTTTCTTCTTTATTTCTCCATTGACCCACTGGTCATTCAGAGCATATTATTTAATTTCTATATGTTTGTGTAGTTTCCAAAATTCCTGTCTTTATTTATTTCTCATTTTATTCCATTGTAGTCAGAGAAGATATTTTATATTAGTTAAGTTTTAGTGAATGTTTTAAGACTTGTTTCGTAGCCTAACATATGGTCTATCCTTGAGAATGCTCCATGGGCTGAGGAGAAGAATGTGTTCTGCAACCATCAGATGAAACGTTTTGTAAATATTTATTAGATCCATTTTGTCTTTAGTGCAGATTAGGTCCAATGTTTCTTTGTTGATTTTCTGTCTGCATGATCTGTCCAATGCTGAAAGTGGAATGTTGAAATCTCCAGCTTTTATTGTACTGGGGCCTGTCTCTCTTTAGCTCTAATAATATTTGTGCTTACATATCTGGGTGCTCCAGTGTTGAGTGTATATATACTTACAATTGTTATATCCTCTTGCTGAATTGACCCCTTTATCATTTTATAATCACCTTTGTCTCTTTTTACAGTTTTTGTCTTCAAATCTATTTTATCCAATGTAACTATCCTGCCCTTTTTTTGGCTTCTGTTGGCATGGAATATATTTCTCCATCCCTTTATTTTCCGTCTATGTGTGTCCTTATAGGTAAAGTGTGTTTCTTGTAGGCTATAGATGGTTGGCTTTTGCTTTTTTAACCATTCACCCACTCTACATCTTTTGATTGGTGAGTTTAGTCTATTTACATTAAATGTTATTATTAATAAGTTAGGACTTACTCTTGCCATTTTGTTGTTTGTTTTCTCGTTGTTTTGTGGTCTTCTCTTCCTTCTTTCATTCCTTCTGGTCTTCCTTTTAATGAAGGTGATTTTCGCTAGCGGGATGATTTAATCTCTTGCTTTTTATTTTTTGTGTATCTTTTGTATGGTTCTTGATTTGAGGTCACCATGAGGCTAGCAATTCATATCTTATAACTGATGACAACTTAACACTGATTACATGAATAAACAAAGCAAAAAGAACATTAATGAAAACTCTACAATTTAACTTTGTCCCCTTGCTTTTTAACTTTTTGTTGCTTCAGTCTGTATCTTATTGTACTGTCTATGTCTGGAAAAGTTGTAGTTATTATTTTTTACTGGTTCATCCTTCTACTTAAGATAACAGTAGTTTATGTTCCATAATTACTGTGTTACAATATTCTGTGTTTTTCTGGGCATGTACTATTACCAGTGAGTTTTGTACCTTCAGGTGATTTGTTATTATTTGCTAATTAGCGTTCTTTTCTTTCACATTAAATAACTCTCTTTAGCATTTCTTGTGGAACAGGTCTGGTGTTAACGAAATTCCTCAACTTTTGTTTGTCTAGGAAAGTCTTTATTTCTCCTTCCTGTTTGAAGGGTGTTTTCACTGTTTAAACTATTCTAAGGTTAAAGGTTTTTCCTTCAGTACTTTAACTATGTCACGCCAATCTCTCCTGGTCTGTAAGGTTTACACTGAAAAGCCTGCATCAGGCATATTGGTCCTCCATTGTAATTTATTTCTTTACTCTTGCTCCTTTTAGGGTCCTTTCTTTATGTTTGATTTTTGGGAGGTTGATTATTAAATGCCTTGTGCTGGTCTTCTTTGGGTTAAATCTGCTACATTACTATAAGCTTCTTGTACTTGAATATTGATACCTTTCTCTAGGTATGGGAATTTCTCTGTTATTATCCCTTTGAATAAGACTTATACCCCTATCTTTCCCTTCTAATGCCAATAATTTTTGGATTTGCCCTTTTGAGGCTATTTTCTAGATCTTGTAGGCAAGCTTCATTCATTTTTATTGTTTCTTTTGTCTCCTCTGACAGTGTATTTTCAAATAGCCTGTCTTCAAGCTCACTAATTCTTTCTTCTGTTTGATCAATTCTGCTATTAATAGACTCTGATACATTCTTTAACATGTTGATTGCATTTTTCAACTCCAGAATTTCTGCTTGATTCTTTTAAATTATTTCAATTACTTGGTTAAACTTATCTGATAAGATTCTAAATTCCTTCTCTGTGTTATCTTGAATTTCTCTGAGTTTCCTCAAAACAGCTATTTTGAATTCTCTGAAATATCACGTCTCTGTCTCTCCAGGATTGGTCCCTGGTCACTTACTAAGTTCATTTTGTGAGGTGATGTTTTCTGGATGGTCTTGATGCCTGTGGATGTTCATCAGTGTCTAGGCATTAAGGAGTAAGGTATTTATTGTCATCCTTGCAGTCTGTTTTGAGCTGCCTGGAGCTGGGGGAGGGATGACACAAGCACCCCTATGGCAACCACCACTGGGACTGTACTGAGTCAGCTCTACAGCCAGCACAGCGCTGGGTCTCACTTACGGCCTGCAATAATCCAGGCTCCACTCTGACCCAGGGCAGGTCCAGAAATGCTATCCAAGAGCCACAGCCTGGAATTAGGGTCCCCAGGAGCCCACTTTTTGCTTTACCCCCCCATGGCTGAGCTGCTGCATAAGCTGCAAGGTACTCTTCCCTCTGTTTTTCTCAAGCAGAAGCAGTCACTCCTCATAGCAGCCACAGCTGGGAATATTCTGGATCACACCTGAAGCCAGCACGTTTCAGTCTCACCCAAGGCTCACAGCATATACTACCTGGTTACCACAGCTGATTATTTATTGCTAAAGGGCTCTTTAGTCCGCAGGTGATGAATCCTGCCAGGTGTGGGTCCTTCCCTTCAAGGCAGTGGGTTCTCTTCTGGCCCAGGATATGTCTAGAACTGTCATCTGGGAACTAGGACCTGGAATGAGGGTCTCACAACTCTGCCTGGTGCCCTATCCTACTGTGTCTGAGCTGGTATCCAAGTTGCAAAAGAAAGTCTTCTTTTCTCTTCCCTCTCCTCAAGTGGAGGGAAGGAGTCTCTCCAGGAACTGCAAGCTGCACTGCCTGGGGTTGGGAGGAGGTGATGCAAGCACTCTTGTTGATGCCCCATCTGGTGTCTCACTAGGTCGTGTGCCCTACACGTCTATTGGCTTTGAGCCCAGCACAGCACTGGGTGATGCCTAGGAGTTGCAGTCTTTCCAAGTTTATTGAGCACCCAGAGCACTTTAGCTCATGGTGGCAAGGCTTGCTGAAACTCAAGTTCTGATCACATGGATGAGCAATTCCACTCTGGCTAGAGCTGATCTAAATGCTCGCTCTGTGGACATTGGCTGAGTTCTGCCGGGTGTTGGCAGCACTGAGTTCCAGTGCAAACTCCTGCAATTGCCACGTTCTCCCTTCCCCAAACACATAGATTCTCTTTCCACCCCACACAGCCGCCGCCAGAGAGGGGGGAGGGGTGGCATCAAGACTGTTTCAGTGACTCTTTCACTGATATGAAGTTAAAATCAGGTACTGTGTCTGCTCACCTGATTTTTGGTTCTTATGAAGGTGGTTTTTGTGTAGATCATTGTTAAATTTGGAATTCCTGTGGGGAGAACACCACAGGAACACAATTGGTGGAGACTTCTGTTGGGCCATCTTGCCCCACCCCTCTCTAGCCATAGCTATATTAACATCAGAAAAATAGGCCTGGAGGCAAGAAGTATTACCAGACAAAAAATTTCAAAATAATAAAAAGATCAATCACCATAAAAATGCATGCCCCTAATGAAAGCTTTGAAATACCTGAAACAAAAATTTGCAGAACTAAATGGAGAAATAGACATATGTAGGATCATAGTTGGAGATACTAATTCCACTCCATTAGTATTTATTGGACAACTAGATCACATTCTTTACTAACCACTGAGCAACTGTAGACTGCACACTGTTTTCAACTGCACATGGAAGGTTCATCAAAATAGATCATACTCTGGGCCATAAGACAAGTCTTAATATATTTAATGGAATCAAAATAATAACAACACACATTCTCAGACCACAATGTTGCTAAATTAAAAATCAAAGTATCTAAAATGCCCTGATTTTTGGATAGCAAGTGTGATGGTTAATTTTATATATCAATTTGTCTGGGTCACAATGCCCAGATATCTGGTCACATAGAAGTCTGGATGTTTCTGTGAGGGTATCCTTGTATAGTTTGTACATTTAAATTGGTGGATGTGGAATAAAGCAGACTGTCCTCCATAGATGGCTGGACCTCATCCAGTTAGTCCAAGGCCTCGATAGAACAAAAGGTTGACCTCCCCCCAAGCAAGGGGGAGTTCTCCAGCCAACTGCCTTCATACTTCATCGCAACATTGGCTCCTCCTGGTTCTACAGGCCTTTGGACTCAAAATGCAACTCTTTCCTGAGTCTCTACCTACCAGCCTCCCCTATGCGACTTTGGACTTGCCTCACCTCTACAATCATGTGAGCCAATTCCATAAAATAAATCTCTACACACACACACACACACACACACATCCTATTGATTCTGTTTCTCTGGAGAATTCTGACTAATATAGTAAGAAATGTACTCCAATACACTTCTAAATAATCAATAGGACTAAAAATAAATATAAAGGGAAATTTTAAATTATTTTAAACTGAATGATCATAAAAACACAACACATTGTTAAAAGGAAAACTTCAGACAAATTAAATTCAACAAAGTTTAACTGAGCAAAGAACAACTGGAATATCCTGCAGCCCCCTGAACCAGAATAGGTTCAGAATGACTCCAGGGATGCCACCTGGTCAGTTAACATTTGTAGACAGAAAAAGGAAAGTGACTCCAGGGATGCCACCTGGTCAGTTAACATTTATAGACAGAAAAAGGAAAGTGACACACAGAAAACAAAAATGGGATGCAGGAACAGCAGGACTGGTTGCAGTTGGGTGCCCAACTTCTCTGAACCTGGGTGGAACAATAGGCTGCCTGTGGTTGGCTGACATTCACTTCTGTGACTGGCTGGCAGGGCACCCGCCTTCTCTAAACCTGGGTGGAACAGTTGGCTGCCTGTGGTTGGCTGAAGTTCACTTCTGTGATTGGCTGGCACTCAGCTCCTTGTTACAAGAGCAGGTTGCAGTCTGTTTACTCATCAAATTGGGTTACAGCCCACTATGCGTAGAGAAACTCTTATGCTGAACCTCAAATATATACAGAGGAAACATTAAGCCAAACATAATTTAACAATATCAAAAACTATTGGATGAGTTTAAAGCAGTGCTTAGAGGGAAATGTATAGATTTAAGTGCTTCGGTGTGGCGATTCCTCAGGGATCTAGAACTAGAAATACCATTTGACCCAGCCATCCCATTACTGGGTATATACCCAAAGGACTATAAATCATGCTGCTATAAAGACACATGCACACGTATGTTTATTGCGGCACTATTCACAATAGCAAAGACTTGGAACCAACCCAAATGTCCAACAACAATAGACTGGATTAGGAAAATGTGGCACATATACACCATGGAATACTATGCAGCCATAAAAAATGATGAGTTCATGTCCTTTGTAGGGACATGGATGAAGCTGGAAACGATCATTCTCAGCAAACTATCGCAAGGACAAAAAACCAAACACTGCATGTTCTCACTCATAGATGGGAATTGAACAATGAGAACACATGGTCACAGGAAGGGGAACATCACACACCAGAGACTGTTGTGTGGTGGGGGGAGGGGGGAGGGATAGCATTAGGAGATATACCTAATGCTAAATGACGAGTTAATGGGTGTAGCACACCAACATGGCACATGTATACATATGTAACAAACCTGCACATTGTGCACAGGTACCCTAAAACTTAAAGTATAATAATAATAAAATTAAAAAATAATAATAATAATAAATAAAAATAAAAATAAAAAAGAAGAAAGGCTTAAAATAAATGACCTAAGTTTTCACATCAAGGAGCTATAAAAAGAAGAGCATATCAATAATAAAGTAAATAGAAGGAAGGAAATAATAAATATAAAAAAGGAAATTAATGACATTTAAAATCAAGAAATTTAATCAAGCCAAGCATTCGTTCTTTGAAAAGATTAATAAAATTGATCAAGAAAAATGATGGAGAATACAAATTACTAATATAAAAATAATAGAAATGGTATCACTGCAAATCCTACACAACTGAAAGCATAATGAGGAAATATTTTAAAACTTCATGCTCAAAGCCTCTGGAATGTCCATCACCAAGAGTGAAGCCTGATGTGAACTATGGACTTCCAGTGATAATGATGTGTCAATGTATCAATGTAGGTTCATCACCTGTAACAAATGTTACAAATTATAACCAATGATAGTGGGAGAAATCTATGAGTGGGGATGAGCAAGGAATGTATGGGAATTCTCTCTCTACATCCCATTCAATTTGGCTATGAACCTAATACTGCTCTAAAATATAAAGTATATTTTTTTAAGTCTCAAGACTTAAAAAAATTTTTTTGCCAATAAATTCAATAACCTAGATGAAGTGAACAAAATCCTTGACTAGCCATGTATGTATTATAGAAATTTAATTCATTATCAGAAACTACCCATGAAGAAAATTTCAAGCTCAGATCATTTTATAAATGAATCTATCAAACATTTGAGAAAAAAAATTATACCAGTTTTACATAAGCCCTTTCATAAATACAAGAGGAAGAATTATTTTCCAATGCATTTTATGAGGCCAAGCAAATTATATCAAAACTTTACAAAGACATTATTTTAAAATTATAGATCAATATCTCTATGAACATAGACACAAAATTAACAAAATATGAGCAAATTAAATCCAGAAATACATAAAAGTATAGATAAGTAGCATTCATAAATTTGAATACTCAATATTGCTAAGATATCAAGTTCCACAAATTGATATATAGATTCAGTTCATTCCTAGTCATAATCTTAGCATGCTTTTTCACAGAAATTAACAAACTGATCCTAAAATGAACATAGGAATTCTAAGGACCTAGAATAGTCATAAAAATCTTGAAAAAAAGAAGAACAATGTTGGAAGTCTCGCACTGTCTGACCTCAAATATTATTATAAAGCTACAGTAATCAAGAAAATGTGGTATTGACATAAAAAAGAAAGAAAGGTTATTTAAAATAAAGATTGGAGAAATAAACCCATACTTATATGATCAAACAATTTTGGAAAAAGACATCAGTTGAACTAAAGGGGGAAAAGGGAAGTTTTTTTTAACAAACCATTCTTCAAAAATTGAATATACATATGAAAAACTAAAGATCTTTGACCCCTACCTTATACTATACACAAAAAGAAATTTGAGAAGTAGCACATCTAACCATAAAAGATAATACTACAAAGGTTCTACATAAAAACAGAGGAAAATATGTTCAAGATTTGGAAAAAGGAAAAGAATTCTTACAGACGACATTAGAAATTGGTAACTATATAGGAGAATTGAGATAAATTAGCCTTCAGTAATATCAAAAACTTCTGCTCATCAAAGTTACCATTAACAAATGAATAGGTCACAATAGCTAAGACATGGAATCAACCTAAATGCCCATCAATGGTAGACTGAATAAAGAAAATGTGGTACATATACACCGTGGAACACTGTGCAGCCATAAAAACGAACGAGATCATGTCCTTTGCAGGAACACAGATGGAGCTGGAGGCCATCATCCTTAGCAAACTAACACAGAAACATAAAACCAAATACCACGTTTCTCACTTACAAGTGGGAGCTAAATGATAAGAACTCATGAATACAAAGAGAGGAACCATAGACACTAGGACCTGCTTGAGGGTAGAGGGTGGGAGGAGGGAGGGGATCAGAAAAAGTAACTATTGGTTACTAGGCTTAGTATCTGGGTGATGAAATAATCTGTACAACAAACCCCTGACACAAGTTTACACTTGTGTCAAACCTGCACATGTACCCATGAACCTAAAATAAAAGTTAAAAAAAAGAAATGAATAGGCAAGCCACAGACTGGAAGAAAAGGTTTTAAAAACAAATATCTGATGATGTATTTGTCTCCAGAACACACAAATGTCTTGTACAACTGAATAGTAAAAAACAAACAACTCAAGAAAAATGAGCAAAATACTTGAATAAATAAGCCACAAAAGAATATACATGAATGGATAATAAAAAGGTGAAAATTGTTCAAAATCATTAGTGACTACGGAAATACAAATTAAAACTAAAATGTGATACCACTAAACACTCACTATTATGAGTAGCATGAAAAAGTCTGTCAGCACTAAATGTTGGTGAGAATGTGGGAAAATGGGAACTCTCATATATTGTTAGTGAGAGTGTAAAATGGTACTAACACTTTGGAAAGCAGTCTGATAATCTCTCTTAAAACTAAAGATACAATTACCAAAGTAATTGCACCAACCTTAAATATAGTTTATGGTAGTTTCATTCACGTTAGCTAAAAAGTGGAAAACAACACAAATGTTTATCAAGGGAATGGTTAAACGATTGCGGTATATTTCCATGATGGAATATTATTCAGTAATAACAAGAAATGAACTATAAGCACATATAATAACATGGATGAATCTCACATACATTGTGTTAAGCAAAAGGAACTGGATCAAAATCCCGCATCCCCTGTGATTCTCCCAATAGGAAGCTCTAGATTGAGCAACAGTAATTTTTGGTGAAAAAGAAATCAGAAAAGTGGCTGCTACTCATTCAGAGGATATTGAATGGCAGGGGAAGGATATTGAATGGAAAAAGGTTTTCTAGGATCTAGGTTGTGTTTACGTGAGTGTATGCCTTGGTGAATACTTACGCAATTGTACACTTAATTTGTATTTTACACTCTGTAAATTTTATCTCAAAAAAATAACTACATAAATCATTAAACTCAGTCGATTTTTTTTTCTTACAGTGATATTGTTTAGCAACCGTGAAACTACTTTCTGTGCATGCTGGTGTTGAGCTTATGTGTAAACACACTGAGAAGAGCAGGGGCTGGATTCCTCACTGGTGGGGAAGTGAGCCACAGAGACTTAGACTGGAGTTGGGTGTTCAGTATTAACTCACCATTTTCAGTGCCTAGCTGGCTAGCTAAACAATGACACAGAGGCAAGGGGAGGTGATAAGGAAGACAGACATGTGTGGACATACAAGCTTAGCACTATCAGCTGAGAGGCTAAAAGCAATGACACACCCACAGCTCCTAAATACTTAGGTCTTGGCTTCTAAATCCCCTTCTTCACAAAAGGCACCAGGGTTGCTTGAAGAACAAGTTGATTCCAGGGCTGAGACAGGGAAAGTACATCGAGAATCTGGAACTTCCTGTTGCACCAGAAGGAAAGGGGGTTCTCAAAGAATGACAGGGACATACTAGAGACAGAGCTATGAGCTTGAAGAAGCCCCTTCTCAAATTTGCTCCTCAAAAGATATGATGATAGTAATGAAATGAACCCATTGAATAAAAAGGGAATCCATGAGTCCATACAGAAATAAGTAACAGGAAATCTCTACCTACTATAAAATGCAAACCAATAGATATGGGGTTAGAAAATGGTCAATGGATGCTAAACCTTGTGGGTGGATGGATGTCTGATGAAGAACAAGATGTTTACCCAACTCAGAGGAAATTTACAAAAGAAAAATTAGTGCTTTTACAGTGATTAAAGCAGACGGACCTCACATGAAGTGATCAACATCACCAATATCAGGACAAACCGATATTACATGCCCCCTGATATTTGTTACACCGAGGGGAACACACTATTTCTATGGTATTTCTGCCAGAGAAGTACCAAGAGACAGAGAGTAAAACAGAAATCACGACCAAACAAATAGGAGGAGATGGAAACAATTAATTAATTTAAATAACAGATATCTAGAAGTTGCTTAGAAAATTCCTGCAGTTTTTCAGTAAGTTTGAAAATATGTCAAAATTTTAAAATACCTAAAAAATAAATTATAAATTTTAAGACTAGGTAAAATGTGATTCAATTTTTAACCAACCTTTGAAAGAATTTTGAGTTCAAGTTGTGTAAAATGAGCCTTCCCATCACTATGGATTAGAGCATGTGTTAGTCAAGCCCTTTTGGACAATTTATTAATATACTTCCTAGTTAGACCTTGCAATTCTAGCGATTTACGTTTAAAACATGGATAAAGATTGGTAGGTGTGTAAATTCAAGTGTTCACAGAAACAACAATAAAAATTTTAAAGAATAGAAAAAACTACAGGTACTTTAATGCAGAAATGGAGGCTTTTCCATTCCATGCTTTGCTTGCCTCCTTTAGAAATATCCCGCATTCTATATACACAATAATAAGCAAATTCCTAAGGTCCCAAACATTGAGTAATCTCTTAATTAATACTAAAAGTAGTCTCAGGGGAACTGAATGAAATCTCTTTCAACAGAGTAAAGTGTTACAAGAAAGACAGTGACCAACAAATGCAATGATCCCAGCACAGACTGAATGGCAGTGGCCGGGGGGCCGAAGGCAGGGGAGACAATTTCCTCCAAACCAACGCATTTTCAGACTTCTCCTGGAACAGTCACCCTTGCCCTGATCAAACACTCCTCACCTCTACAAATAAATTCTAATACATTTTTGGCCTAGAAAAATTTTCCTTATTGGGAAACTAGATTTGAAATAGCTTTCTCACCCTTAACAGGTAGTTTTTAAACATCAAAATGAATTATTGAAGATAACATTATTTGCTTATTATATTTAAATGTGAAAATTGCCCTTAAATGAAGTGAATAAGGAAAAAAAAATTGTTCCAAAAAAAAAAGAAAAAGAATAGCTAGTATAAGTCAACCAGCACTTCAAAAAATTTTCCTACAAAATCTGAATCCAAACACAGAAGACTAACATATACTAAATTCCCAACATTTCTTCTAGAAATGACTCCTCACCCATTTTTTAAACTTTATTTTTATATATCATAAAATGTATCCATTTCAAGTGTACAGCACAATAATTTTTACTAACTTTGTGGAGTGGTTACAACCATGAGCATGAATTAGTTTTAGAACATTTTTATCCTTCATGCCCATTGACAGTTAATACCCATTCTTTTCCCAGCCTCATGCAAATTATTAATACACTTTCTGGCTCTATAAATTTGACATTTCTAGACATATCACATAAATGGAATTGATTAATATATGGTCTCTTCTGTTTGGCTTCTTTCTTTTAATGTGTTTTTGAGGTTCATCCATGATAGAGTATGTGTCAATCGTTCATTCCTCTTAGTTAACAGATATTTAGGTTGTTTCCAATTTGGGGCCATTAAAAATAATGCTGCCATGAACATTCATGTGCAAGCTTTTCGTGAACACATATTTTTATTTCCCTTGGGTAGATATGTATAATAGTAGAGAATCATATGGTAGTCTTATGTATAAGTTTCGAGGAACTATCAAACCGTTTTCCAAAATGGCTGCTCCATTTCACATTCTTAAGAGCAGTGTCAGAGAGTTCCCATTTTTGCACATTCGTCAATATTTGTTATTATGTGTCTTATTTATTATAGTCACTCTAGCAGGTGTGAAATGGTATGTGTTAAGGTTTTTAATTTACATTTCTTCTATAACTATAGGATGTTGAGCATATTTTCATATACTTCTTAGTCACTTATACAACTTCTTTGGTGAAATGTCTCTTCATATCTTTGAACATTTTGGGATTAAGTTGTCTTTTTCTTACTGAGTTTTAAGAGGGGTGTGTGTGTGTGTTGTTTTGTTTTTGTAAATTATGCATACAAGTCCTATATCAGATATGTGTTCTATAAATATTTTCTTCAAGTCTGTTTCTTGTCTTTATTTTCTTAATTGTATCTTTTGAAGTGAAAAGATTTTAAATGGTGATGAGGCCTAATTTGTCCATTGCTTTTTTAATAAATCATGCTATTGATGTTGTATCTAATAAATCTTTGCTTGTATCAAAGTCTTGAAGATTTTCCCCTGTATTTGCTTTTCAAAGTTTTCTTGTTTTGGCTCCTACAGTTAAGTCCATAATGCATTTTGAGTTCATGTTTGTGTGTGGTGTCAAGTGAGAGTCTAAGTTTATCTGTTGCACATAGTATCAAATTGTTCCAACACCTTTTCCTCAAATAAATGGGTTGGAACCTTTGTCAAAAATCAATTTACCATAAATATAGGAATTTATTTCTGCATTCTAAATTTTGTTCCATTAATCTATAGGTCTATCTGTATGCCACCACCTTATCATCTGGATAATTGTAGCTTTATAGGAAGTTTTGAAGTTGGGAAGTGAAAGTCTTCCACCTTATTTTTCAAAATTGTTTGGATTTTTCTAGGTATTTTGCATTACCATATATTTAAGATTATGTTATCAATTTATGCAAAAAATTGCTGAAATCTTGAATGAAAAGATTAATTGGGGGAGAACTGTCCATTTTAACAATATTGAATCTCCCAATCCATGAACATGGAATGTCTCTTCATTTATTTATAACTTTTTTAATGTCTCTCAACAGTTTCATATTTTTCAGTACAAACCTTGTACTTCTTTCGTTAAATTTATACTAAATATTTTATTACTTTGGATGCTATTGTGAATTAAATTGTATTCTTAATTCCTCTTTTTTTTTTTTTTTTTTTTTTTTGAGACAGAGTCTCGCTCTGTCACCCAGGCTGGAGTGCAGTGGTGCAATCTCAGCTCACTTCCACCTCCAACTTCTGGGTTCAAGTGATCCTCCCACCTCAGCCTCCCGAGTAGCTAGGATTACAGGCATAAGCCACCACACCAGCTATTTTTTTATTGTATTTTTAGTAGAGACGGGGTTTCACCATATTGGCCAGGCTGGTCTTGAACTCCTGACCTTAAGTGATCCACTCATCTCGGCCTCACAAAGTGCTGGGATTACAGGCGTGAGCAACCGCACCTGGCCTTGATTTCATTTTTGAGTCATTCATTGTTTGTATATAGAATACAATTGATTTTTTATACTGACATTATATCCTGTGACTTTGCTGTATTTATCTATTAGTTCTAATAGGATCATGTCATCTGTGAATAGGACAGTTTTACTTCTTCTTTTCAATCAGCATGTCTTTTTTTTTTTCCTTGCCTGATCGTACTTGTTAGAACATCCAGTGCCATGATGAATAAGAGGTACAAATGGACATCCTTGTCTTGTTTCTGAACTTTGGGAAAAAGCATTCATCTTTGACCATTAAGGAAGATGTTAGCAGTAGGTCTTTGCTATAAGATAATACTAGCCTCATAGAATGCATAAATGCCCTCTATCAGGTTGAGAAAGAATTCTCTTTTATTCCAAGTTTGTTAAAGAGTTTTTATCATGAATAAGTGCTGAATTTTTAATGATTTTTCGGCATTTATCATATATTTTTTTGTTTTTGCTCTTTATTCTATTAATATCTTAACTGACTTTTTGATGTTAGAACAACTTTCAATTCCTGGGACAAACCTCACTTGGTCAGGGCATATAATCTTTTTTATGTGTCATTGGACTTGGTTTCCTAATATTTTAGTGAGGATTTTTGCATTTATATTCATGAAGGATATTGGTTTATAGCTTTCTAGGCCATTCAGAGGTGAAATCTGGGGCCCTTTCCGACCTTTGCTAGGCATGCACATGGCCCTGGACATGCTTATGGCGGTGTAGATTACCAAGAATGTATCAGAGCTTTTCAGCGCCCCCTATGGACAGCTCGTTCCCCAGATCTTCCCTTCAGATTTTTGGCCAAGTTCTTTTTGTGCCAAATGGTATCCAGCAACTATGATGTTAAACAATTACAGCTGATTGTTTTCAACAAATGCCCTGGAAACAGAGCTATTTCTGCAGAGTGAGCTGTGAGTCAGGTCAAATAACAACTACCACCTGTTAAGGGAGTTTTCAGAGAGCGGTAAGGCAGGTCAAATAGTGGAGTTGGGGCTTTTTGAGGCATTGCAACTCCTGTCATGCTTCCTTTGGGAGCTTCGAGGCTGCTAGTTTCGACAGCAACTGTGGTTTCAAAAACACTACAGAACTTGAGAGACTTACGGGAGCAGGCCGTATTGAAACACCACAAACTTTGCTATTTTAACTGAGAAGCAGCTGCTTTTCTTTAAGAAATGCTTCTTAGATTGTTGCAAGCCTGTGGTTAATTTCCAGAGTTCTGAAAAAGTAGATTTTTATAATGTTGCTAGAATTTTTCTTGCTTTTATGGAGGAATGGTGTATTAGCTTCCTGTTGCTGCTGTAGCAAATGACTACAGCTGCAGTGGCTTCACACCACACAGATGCATCGTCTCAGAGCCCTGGAGAGCAAAGTCTGAAATGAGTCTTCAGGGATAAATTCAAGATGTCAGCGGGGTGCCTTCCTTCTGGAGGCTCTAGGGGAGATCTGTTGCTTGCCCTGCCCAGCTTCTAGAGGCTGCCTCCATTCCTCAGCTGGGGCCCCATCCTTCCTCCCAGTCAGCAATCTCATTGCTCCAACTTCTCCTTCCATTGTCATATCTGCTTCTCTGCTTCTCATTCTCTGCCTCCCTCTTCCATATATAAATGAGCCTGTGATTACATTAAGCCCACCTGGTATTCCAGGATAGTCTCCCTACCTCAAGATCCTTAACTCCATCTGCAAAGTCCCTTTTGCCATGTAAGGTAACACATTTAAAGCTTCCATGGATCAGGACATGGACAACTTTGGAGAGCCATTATACTGCCTACCACAAGCAAATTTAAGGAGATCCTTACTCTGCCATTCCAGAAGCCTTTCTCCTTCCTTCCCGATTCTTAACCACATAATTCTACAGTGTTGACCTTCCCTTCTGACTGATGAAAAGAGCATGCGACTCAGGCCTGTGCCAACTACTTGTGTCAGTCAGGTTTTGCTAGGTTATTCCTCATAACAAACAATCCCCAAAAATCTAAGTGGATTACAACAGTGACTTATTTATTGGTCATGTTACATACACATCACCATGGATCCACTGCAGTTCTACTGGTCTCTGCTCAACTCTCTTCTTTATTTCAGTATTACAGCTCAAAAGAATGCCTCACCTGAGACAGGTAAGACATGTCATTTTTCCTCAATCTAAAATAGCTGTTCTCAACCAGAGGTTATGTTGCCACCCAGATCCAAATTTGATTAGAGGCATATGTGTGACTTTTGCAGCTCTGAGAATATAGTTTGCTTCTGATTCTGAAGGATAAATTTGGTAAACCACTAACAACGAAGATAAATTTTCCCTCTAATTGGCTAATTGAGCATTTTGTTCATATGATTGAGAACTTTCTGAATAAGTAGATAAATGTATAGAGGAGAAAGAGGCAAAGAAAAAATACCAATCTGAAATATCTATTGTCTCCAGTTAATCTTTAGTTACAAGAAAATAAACAACACTAATGTCTGAATTAAGGAAGAACAGGGGGGAACATAATAAAACAAATCCAAGCAGAGGATAATAGATTATTTCGACAGAATACTCTAAAATTTCTTGTGCAAAAGAATTTACCAAGCCAATATATTCAATCAATTCATAGAATCTTCAAATAGGAAGATTCATATGCACAGTTCCAAAGTATTTGTACTGATATTGTATTACACTGATTTTGTAGCATATTTACCATAGAAATTAAGTTTTCCTCAAGCTAATGGTAAAACTGACTTACATTATTCCAACATAAAGACCCCAAAAATATATGTTAGATGATAAAACCTCAGGCTGGGATAAACATTGTACTGTGTAGAGTCCATAGAAAGTTTATCCATGTAGATTTGAATTTAATTTTCTTTCTCAAAGCAGAGTCTCAGATTAACATTTTTAAGTCTTTAAGTTTAGAATATTATATATTATGATGATCTACCAATAAATTCTAGTAAATTCAAGAAAGTTAAAAATAAATAAATAAATAAAACACAAGGATTAATTCACTATGGAAGACTGAGGTTAAATCAAAGTGTAAATATTTTCTTAGCATGACTTTGATGAAATGACTCTTCTTCTCTACCCATAGTAACAAGTATCAGTGATCTCACTTGACAGGGACAAGAAGTTTGTTCCTAACCCACCTCAGGGTGCCTGATCTGCTGCCAGCCAGGGTACAGTACCTCATAGGGGATACAGTTCAAGACAGGAAGTACTAAAGTAACACCACAGTCTAATTATCCACTTCTTCCTAAGGACACAGATGGTGAATGATTGAAGCCAATCTGGCTACTGAATTTCTATTCAAATGTCTAAAAGAGAAGTCCTACCATGGAAATATGGAAGCAACAACATGAAGATACCTCCTTTCCTCCTAACACAACCAAAGGAAACACCTTTCCTCTCATTCCTCACCTAGGTGTAAATCCATTTGTTTGAAAAGGGAAAAATAAGGTTTGGCTTGGAGCCTTAAAAGGAGTAAAGTTTAGCTAAGTATTTAAACAGCAGTATCTTGTTCTGTGTAAACTGAGATGATGAGAGAGCCTGCAGTGCCCTTTGCGTTTGTTTCAACAGTTACTTTTTGTCCCACTCTATCAGCTTGTGCTGGGAAATGTTTCAGAAGTCTCAGAATCAAAAACTAAAATTCAAACAAGTGGTGGCGGGGGGGTAAGCATGGTTCATTTTTGCTTACATTTTTGGGAACAGCTGATCTAGTTGCTGAGAAAAATGGGCAAAGAAAACCCACCAAAACATGCTTTGAAAGGTGGGACTTCCACAAGCTATCTCCCAGCCAGGAAAATGCAACCTAGTGTCCAAAGCAAAAAGGGAGTTGGGCTAAACCTAAGGAAAAATGAAGCAAAATAGCAATAAATTCGGGTCAGCCCAAAGGAGATGAAATGTCCTCTTCAGTCTTGTAGTTGTCTCACATTTATTTCCACAGTAATCTCTGTTTCTCAAAAACCCTGTGACTTTGGATGTCTTCTTTCAGGACAGAGTTGGGTGGTGCAGTTCACTGACGAGCTCATGGATGAGGGGCAAGGAACATGCCCTCTGGAATGGGCTGGGAGTTGAGGAAAAGGCCCAGTGGTCAGAGCAAGACATCCAAAGGGCAGGGTTGAAGACCCCAGAAGTCATCACAGGCCACCAGAGAGCCATCATGGTGTCCCAGTAGGTATGGATCCCACAGTGATGGAGACTTGGGCAGCAAGTGATCCTCAGAATGTCCAGTCCAGGTGGCATGTGGCTTCTTCCTGTGCACGCCAGGAGCCCTGGATGCTCCACTCAAGTGTGTCCACTCCCTCACAGCTGGAAAAATCATCTTCCAGAATGTCATTCCTTGCTCCACATAAGACTCGACCCCTCTACATTGCAAAGCCACATGCCCTCTCTTGATCTGATCTCTTCAAACCAATATTGAGTTGGCTGTGAGTTTCAGTTCCTTCCAAGACACCGCCGTGAGCCCAATATTTTACCCCTTGGGAAAGATATGTTCCTGGCTCACACATATCACCTGACATACACACCACCCCACTGATACACTGTACACACACACGTGGCCCAGGCTCTTGGCATACTGGCATAGATCTTCAGGGTGCATTATTCCAAAGGAATGACCTGACCCCAGGAAGTGCTTGGTATCCAGAGAGCATTTCCAGAAACTCTATCAGCAGGAAGCAGGGCACAAGCCCTAAAGTGCAGTACAGGGCAGGACAGTGTAGAGTGACTGGTACTGCAGCAATGACACGTGCTTCCAGTATACTGCATGGGCTAGAAGCTAAGAAAAAAGGCCATCTCCTAGATTTCCACGCAGCTAGCAATGCAGTTGCAATTTAGATTCTGCTCCCCTCCCTCAGGAGACCTGAATTTGAGATGCATTAACCAGTAGAGGCTGCTTACAGCATCTGTTTCACTGGTGCAGGTTTTAGCAGGTCCACGTGGCTCCGGAGCCAGTGGTTTCGAGAGTAGTTCTCCCATCATCAGATGGCAGTTAGGATACTGTGTCCTAGTGAAACAGTTGTGGTGGGGACTTTCTGGTCTGCAGACTGTGAGTGTGGAGATGTGGCCCCAAAGAAAGGATTGGGGCAGCAGCTCCCCAGTGGAAGCCGGGGTACCCTTGCCAAGTTCCACTCTACTGGTCAAGGAGCCGAGCTGTGTCTGCTTCTCCAGCCTTCCAACAATTCTGTGAACATCTAAGCCCCTATGTGGAACCAACAACTGCTTGGCACCTAGGAGGCATTTATTGCTGTCAGCTGAACATAATAAATAATAATAAATACTTACTGGCACAGTAGATGATGACAGAAATGATGCGGGTGACTGCACTCAGGGCTTGTCATTGGGTCTCGGTCATCTGAACACACTGCATTGCTGATGTGGGACGCTGGAGCCTATGGCCCTGTGTGGAATGCAGCCAGGCTGGTATCACCTGCCATCACCTGGGATGTGTCTATCTGGTGAAGGACGGCTGTCGCAGCAACACATCAAGGCCCAGGGAACAAGCACTTTGGAGATGCTTGGCTGCTTCTCCCCACACTGAAGAATTGAAAGAAAAGAAATAAAAGGCTCAGAGCTTTACCTCCTTGGCTCACTCGTGGACACAAAGTGGTTTTACGATGGCTCTAAGTTTTCTCCGCAGGCCCTGCATGCTTCAACACAGGCTCACACTCACAGCACGGCCCAATGGCCTCCACAGAAGTCGAATTGTTGGTTGGGAAAGAGTGGGACCCAGTCATGGGGTTGGCGACATTTGGTAGCACTGGTGTAAGTCCAGTTTCACAGAACACCAGGACATCACGGAGCCTCCCACGCCTGGTGATGCTGATGCCGGCACCTGATATGTGATTGACGGAGATCCTGCCTTGTGCCACCATCGTGGGTACAAATACAGATAAAACACCACAGTCTCTGACCCCCCAGACGTATCATCTACAAGGAGAACTGGATGTGCTTGTAGAGAAACAGAAACAACGCGCTGTTGGAAATCATAGCTGTAAACCAATTTGGGCTGGTGTGGGCGTTGGGTTTGGGATTTGGAGACAGTACTACTGAGGAGGGTTTTCATAAAGACAGTAATATTCGTTCCAGCTTTTGAAAGTGAGCAAGGAATTCTCAGGTTAGTAGATGGAAAAACGTCTGAGTACAGAACAGAATGACATTTTTGGAGAATGGCACATAGTTCAATACAGCTGGATCCCAAATTTCCCTGGGAAGGTCAGAAGGAAATTAGTCTAAAAAGCAGGCCAGGCATAGTGGCTCACGCCTGTAATCCCAGCATTCTGGGAGGCCAAGCTGGGTGGATCACCTGAGGTCAGGATTTCGAGACCAGCCTGGCCAACATAGTGAAACCCCAGCTCTACTGAAAATACGAAACTTAGCCAGGCATGGTGATGCACAACTGTAATCCCAGCTACTTGGGAAGCTGAGGCAGGAGAATCACTTGAACCCAGGAGACGGAGGTTGCAGTGAACTAAGATCGTGCCACTGCACTGCAGCCTGGGCAACAGAGCAAGACTCCATCTCAAAAAAAAATTAATTAAAAAAATAAAAATAAAAAGCAGGCTAATGTCTTATTAATGACTTTTTTGCTTTACAAACAAGTCGGGATTCATCCTGTAGTTAACATGGAGCTAGAAAAGTCCTCATTAGGGTAATAAGACAATGAGATTTCAATTGCAGATAAGTTGTTCTCCTATGATGCGGAGGAGACGAGTTGAGCCTGGCTCCAGGCAGGCAGTCAGCAGGCTGTTCACAGAAGAGATGGAATGATGCTGGCCTGAACCCCCAGACTTCTAGGCCAAAGGAAGGGAGCTGCCCAGGTACATGCCTCCACAATGCAGGGGCGGGGGCAGGGGCGGGTAGGGCAAAGGAATCTAACTGCTCAGTTCCTTCTTCCCAGACCCTTCTTCAGCGGCTGAGGTCACCATTTAGATCCAAGGTCTATGTCATTGGCCCAAAGCCCATGGCATCCCCCTGGCTGCCACCATCAATACATTCTCCTTCAAATAGAGTCACAGATCCTATGCCTGGAGGGATGGCTCCGGGCAAGGGAAACCATACATGATGTTTTCCTAAATACATAGAAGAATGGCATTTTATTTCAGACATAACATTTTAACAAGTACAAGGGCAGTTCAAAGAGAGCAGGCAGCACATAAAAATGGACAGCTACATCTCAGCACCTAAAAGAGGGCATAGCTGGGGAATCTCAGCCCTGCAGAAAAGGCAAGCATTCATGGGGGAATGGAAGCATGTATCCATGAGTCTCTAAAGTATTAAATAGCACAATCATTGCATTTGGAGGGAAATCATGAAATAAAATTCAAAGCAACATAATTGGCAGTAGCCAGATTTAAATTTTGTGAAGAAAAATCTAGGGCGGGGCAAAGTGGCTCACACTTGTAATCCCAGCATTTTGGGAGGCTGAGGCAAGCGGATCGCGTGAGCCCAGGAGTTCGAGACCAGCCTGGGCAATATAGCAAGGCGCCATCTCTACAAACAACACACAGATTAGCCAGGCATGGTGGTGTGTGCCTGTGCCAGGCATGGTGGTGTGCACCTGTGGTCCCAGGCACTGGGGAGGCTGCAGTGTGAGCATCGCTTGACCCCAGGAGGTCGAGGCTGCAGTCAGCACTGATCACTCCACTGCCCTCTAGCCTGGGAGAAAAAGCAAGAACCTGTCTTAAAAAAAAAAAAGAAAAAAAAATTAAGCCAAACACCACAAGATATTTCCTCAGAAACCTCTGTACATGATCACAGCCCATGGGAGTGGCACAGCCCTGAATCTTATGAGACTAAACAAAGCGTCGGTCAAATATTTTGAGAAACAAAAGGCAAATAGAAGGGATCTTTTACTAATGCAAGTTGAGATTACTGAGATTTGAAAATATATAATATGGAAAGACATTTTTGTATTGGGGAAGAGGAGGAAGAGAGCTCCATTATTTAAGGGAATATGTGCCTTTTTATTTAAGGCACATATTTAAGGGAATTATTTAAGGGAATATGTGCCTTTTTTTATCCAGCTAAAATCTGAACTAACTAAATAACAACTTTCTGTGCACATCAAAACAGTCCCAGGGAAAACGAGCTCTTGGCAGGGATTCCAAGCTCCTGAAAACACTCACCCACTTGGAGAGACACAGCTCTGACTGGCTAAAGACATGGGCACTCTGAGCAGGGAAGGTTTTATCAGAATTCCAAAAGATTCCATACACACCCTCTACGGAGGGGGCCCTTTAGAAATACCCGTTTTTGCTTATGTTTGTATTTCTTTTACTGTTATTTGAATCTCAATGGGAACCTCAAAATGAAAAAGGAAAGACTGTTTTCTGAAATCAATTCTCTACTCTTCCGCCTTCCTGAATGAAAGCCAGCACTCATCAAAGACTCCCGTCTTTATAGGTGTAAATACACCGGATGGGTAGAAAGCTCCCCTTTCCCATTCATTACTGTCATCGATTTGAAGAGAAAAAAGCAGGGGTCATTTATTAGAGGTTACTTTTCATGCAAAACACCCCATGTTAGCTGTCATTCAAAGGACTTTAGTCTACGCCCTCACTCGTATATTAGCAGGGCTTCAGGTCATAACCTTTTATGGCATTTGGAATTCCAGAACCTCTGATTAGTGCAATATTTACATATCCTCCAGTAGAAACGGTCCTCCATGGAAATGCATGAAGTGTTGTAAATTTGTTTGGCCTTTAGTCTAGACTATACATGAACTCTGAATTCAAAGCAGGGTGCATTAAACGATATTACTTTATCTTGTGATAGTGTTTCCATTAGTGGGACTCCAGTTAACCCTTTAGAGATAAACCAGCCTTTCAAGCCAGGAACATCAATTGAGGGAGGTTTTTTCAGTAAAATTAATAGTTGCCACTTACTTGAACTACCTTGACCATCTGATCCCATTTATATGTTTCCATATGAGAGAAGTATCTGTGTCAAAATCAGCCTTGATTTAATGGCCTCAGTGGGATTTGAAATGGTGAGAATTTACTGGAAGTTTTAAGAACATTAATGAATTATTGCATCATTACCTTAGAGGAAGACATCACTAATCTTTGACTTTCTGATCTACAATAATAAGGGAGCATCTTTTGTTGGCATTTCAAGATCAATATATGCTTTCTGTTTTTAATTTGCCAAATTATATTGTTCCACTAGCTGAGACTACTAAGTCTGCACCTGACTTGTGAATTTAACCAATGGGTAGGCGGTTGAAAATTGCCATACTTCAGTATGAAAAGAGTGGCCCAAAAATCTACCAACTCAATATTACTTTACAGGGTAATTTTTTTAATAAAGTTTATGTAGAAAAGATGTCCACAAGCTATGGCAGAGGTCTGCCAGGAAACAGACGACTGTATGCTTATTAAAATTCCTATGTCACTCAAACTGAGGAATGTGATGTACTTTTTTAGAAACAGTTTACAAATCTCCCTTAATCTGCTACTCCAGCTGCACTGGGGCTTTGAAAAGACACATGTGTTATTGTTATCTTCTTCCAAAACATGGTCTTCCTCCTGTGAAATCGGATGTGTGGATGCCTAGTGTAACATCCAATTTCAAAAAGAATTTCATCTCAGACAGCCTAATTCCCACCTGAAACTTTTGAGCATCATTTAAAATACGTTTGGTTGCAAGGGTTGTCCAATGAAGACATAGCTGCATTTTTTAATTTTATGTTTTGAACTGTCCACTCCGCCCTGAATTGTGAGTGTTGGAATCCATCTTCCACATGCAAAAAAATGACAGGGCTGGTGAGTGGTAAGAGGCAGGAAAGGGTTTGAAGATCGAAGGTGGGTGTGACCTGTGGACACTTACAGCACTCAGTCCCATTTACATCTCCTTCAAAGTACAGAACGATGGACATGTTAAACATCACTCCTTCACTTTAGTCTTGAGACCATGACTCACAAGCTGCTTCTGCTTTTTCATCTGACATTGCTTCTCATTCCCTGTCTTCCAACCCTGTTCTCTTTTCTTGAGAACAGTTTCCATCTTTCTGACTAATCACCCACCCAGAACCTTGTAAACAAATGATACGTATCTAATACAGCTGCATTTTCCAAACACCTGTTAACAGCAGATAACAATATCATATTAGAATTCAATCCATAAAACAGAAAAATATCATATCTGCATTTTATAAGTCAAAAGAATATTAAAATTAGTCATTTCTTCCCAGCCTCTAAAAAGATATGTTAATTTTTAGCTTGGTTTGAGAAACAAGCATGGTTGAAATAACACAAAGTGTCTCAGAAGGAAATCTTCACTTTAGCGTAAGGACATTCAGACTTTTTTTTGGACCCCTGGGTATTTGTTGCAATCAGAAACTTGGTTTGACAAATAAAATTAGCAGCTACCCTTACTGCATGCGGATATTGGAGCTACAGTAAGTTATATATATTATATTACTTAGTACTCACTGCTAATACCCCTGTTGGTGTGGAAATTGTATCTTCAGCTGGGGACCCTGAGGTTCAGAGAGGGAAATTAACTTGTCTAGGGTCACGGCTGGGTTAGCGGTGGCAAGAAAACGATCTGAGCTCTCTCCCCATCTGTTCTCCTGCCCGGCATCTCGGTTGTGCCGCAAGGCACACCAGGAGGGGTTGCACCTTGAAGATGCCCTTGTTGTGAGGTCAACCTGATGCAAAGGAGCTTAAAGCTGCCCCTGGCCTGAAGGAGGCAGTGAGTAGTGACCAGACACGAAAATACAATGAAAAAGGTGATTCTCGTCTCTTTCGGAAACAGACTGGCCATTATCCGTCTTTCTTATGGGATCTGCAGTCTTCTTGGACCTATTAAAAATGCAGGTATAAACAAACACAAATGGTTTGAGGATGACCCAGTGTTTTGGATTTTCCACTCCTTGGTACACTTTTATTACTGCAGGGAGTCACAGCATCTGCCAAAGTAAAAAATTGTCACACAAAGAATAAATATCTGACTAAATGGGTAAAACAAAATCAAGTGAACAGGACATGGTCTCACAAGCCACCTGTAGCTCTCCCAACACACATGAAAGGAGGCTGAGCATTTTATCATCATTATAATCACAATCATTTTATAATCACAACTGAAACCTACAAAATGACAACCAGCCTTCCAGGACAGGCTATGCACACATTGTGTGAGGGAAAAGGGGGGACACCCACAAACTCTACAGCATTATCCTACTAAAGTAGGTCAGAGCAATGAACTTGAGTACTGTGTGAGTAATCCACTCTGTGAAGAGTCTAACATGACTCTGATGGGTAGAAAGGGAAGTTTAACTTCAACTGCGAGTCCCAGCCACCTACTCTCTGTGGAGACATGCATACCATTGTGTTATTTCTCTTTCTTATGCATAAAAGTGAAATTCTAACATTCTGTTTAAAAGAAAATAAACATTTGTTACCACTTCTATAGAATAATTTTACTTCTGTGGTCATAAAGTCATCACTTCTACAGAATAATTTTATGTCTACTGTGGTCATTAAAGTCTACATGAGTGGGGAGGGTGCAGAGGGGCAGAGAAAAGTGGAGGATGTTTGTAAGAGCCCAGGTGGGCTCTTTGGAAGGTGCGAGGTGCGCGAGGGAGGAGCTAGTGATTGACGCGTGTGGTCATCACCTGTCCCTTATTGCAGCCACAATCTGGAGCTGGGCACAGGTACCAGCTTGTTCTCTCTAGCAGCCCTTGCTAGCAGCCCTTGCTCAGGTCCCTCCACAGCCATTTCTACTCAATCTGGGTCATGTCCCTTTTCCTTTTACAGTAAAGAGGGGCCGGGCGTGGTGGCTCACACCTGTAATCCCAACACTTTGGGAGGCGAAGGCAGGTGGATCACTTGAGGTCAAGAGTTCGAGACCAGCCTGGCCAACATGGTGAAACCTCGTCTCTACTAAAAATACAAAAATTAGCTGGGCGTGGTGGCACGCGCCTGTAATCCCAGCTACTCAGGAGACTGAGGTGGGAAAATCGCTTGAACCTGGGAAGCAGATGTTGCAGTGAACCAAGTTCATGCCTCTGCACTCCGGCCTGGCCCACAGAGTGAGACTGTGTCAAAAATAAATAAATAAATAAATAAAAAGCAGTAAAGAGGGAAAATCGGGAACCTGTTCTAAGCGTCTCCTTGTCCAGTGAGTCGCATTCCTGGTTGTCTTGCTCTCAAATTGACAATGGCTCATTCTGCCCAGCATGTGGATTTGATAAAGGTGCCTGTGCATTAACGTGGAAAGAGGGGCAGTTATTTATTTCACTCATCAGTCAGGACCCTAGGTAGGAACAATTCTCAAATACAACTACAGATTCAATTCTGGAACTCAGCTTTAGCTTCAGCAATCGCTTCCACCACAGAGAGAAATGCATCCAGCTCTCTTAGGAACAGGTATTCTTCTCTTCCACGGGAATATTGGCTTGACTGATCCCTGGCAGTTTCAGAAACAGAAACAAATCCATTTGCTTAAGAAGACAAAGCCACACACAATACTTAACTCATTAGAATGATTTAGCCGTGGCTGGGTATTGGCTTTGGCTGAGAGCACTGGAAGAAGTCCTGTGTATACAAACTTTTAGATTTCATCCCAATACTTTGTCTCCCATCCAAAATATTCCAGATCAAAGACCATGCTCCAAGTCCTGTGGGGGGAAAAAAATGGCTACATAAGAATTACCCTGTAATGGAGACATTTGCCAAGCTGGTTTTAAAAATTAAGTGTAAATAAACATGATTTTATGTACGTGGTGGCCGTGAGTTAAACAATCTGGTAGAAAGGCAGGCTCCATCTCGTTTCTTGTGCACGCAGATATTTGCTAAGCAAACGTAACCACAGTGATAACAAACAACCACATTATTGTACCCAAATGCATCCTTTTCCCCAACAGTTATTTTTGTTCCCCTTCTCTAAAAAATGTTCATACACAGAAAGAAAATAATCATGGTGTGGAAGTCCAGAGCTCACAGATCAATACTGCCCATTCTGCAAGTATGTTTCTGTCCCTTCTCTCTTTGGCTTTTTGAGCATAGAAGATATAAAATAGGCCTTTGAGAATTCCATGAAATAACTCTACTTTATGCTCAAATCACCCATAAAATGCACAATGAGAATCATGAATATAATTTTTATACCCAAGTTGAATTCCTAGGCGAGGCAGCAGTTGTTGTACTTTGACTAGTTGACTGGGCTAGTTATCTTCAGCAAAGTGCAAGGATAGGTTGTAGACTCCACTCTGTGCTGGCCAATCAACTCTGCTCTTTTCTGTGGCCACAGACAGCTCACCTAATACCAGGTGGATGTCTTATAATTAAATGTCATCAGTCACAGAGCATTTGGGCAAGAGAATGGGAAGGAAACCACATCATCCTAACTCCAGAAAGCTAACGCTACTGAACACTAGTCAGTCTTACATCTGTGTGTGGTGGACTAAAGGAGTGAGAGCTGAATGAATGTGTGAATAATAAGCTTTGAAAATGGTGAAGTGCCACACAAATACAAGTTTTCACAACAGACCAAATCCAGAAGGTCTGGCAAAAACAGAACTGGAAAGTCATTTTTATGCATACAGTCTGAATCAGGTTTCTTATTGCAAGCGCTTCACTGAAGTTGTAAGTGATTTGTGATTTGATCATGAATTGAAATATGGCACAGATTTAGAAATTCCGAGTTACAAGAAGCTGCGAGCCGATCTAAACCCAATGCCCTCACTTTACTATTAAAAAAATATTCAGCTACTCGGGAGGCTGAGGCGGGAGAATGGCGTGAACCTGGGAGGCGGAGCTTGCAGTGAGCGGAGATCTCACCCCTGCACTCCAGCCTGGGCTACAGAGCGAGACTCTGTGTCAAAAAATAAATAAATAAAATAAAATAAAAATAAAAAAAGATTAAGTTGTTGTGAGGATTTAATGAGCTTATGCACAGGAAAGTCTTCTCACTGTTCCCAATGCAATAGATACCTCCTCAAAGGTTAAATTACATGCACTGCACTACGCCTGAATTTGTAACACCTTGCCAGGTTACCCTATGCTCTTCCATGCAACTTTGCAAATTCCCATTGTCACCTCCCCTGCGGAGTCTTCCTCACTTCTCCCATCCTCAAAGCAAAATTAACCCTTTCTTCAGCATTTCCTTCAGAGATACAGAGAGCACTTATGTTACGCAAACGGTTGTAGTTTCTTTTTCATCTCTGTCTCCCTGTTTCTAACAGTCTGACTTGTACCCAGTATGTGTTCAATAAATTCATGTGAAACCTATTTGTGTCATTAGGGGCTTAATGGCTGGTAACCAGAAGTGTCATTTTCTCCGGAGACGCAGACTTTGTCTTGGCCATGAGTCATTCAAATTAGTAATTCCAACAGAGCTAGTTGGTAAATATCACCACGCAGCTATATGCAACCAGTACTAAAATTTGCTACTGGCTAAGGCTTTTCTTTGGCAACAACAAGAAAAGACCCCTGTTAATAATGGAGGAGAAATCACCAGGCACTCTTACTGCACTGTAGTTAGCATCTCGAGTTCTCTCAGAGAACGGCAAACTTCTAATAAGAAGTTCAAAGACATCCTTAAGAACGTGCCATTCAAGTTACATGAATACATTTAAGATGTGAGGAGAACCCTCAATGTAAAAATTACAATACAGGCCGGGCGCAGTGGCTCACGCCTGTAATCCAAGCACTTTGGGAGGCGGAGGCGGGTGGATCACCTGAGGTCAGGAGTTCGAGACCAGCCTGGCCAACATGGTGAAACCCCCGTCTCTACTAAAAAACAAAAATTAGCCGGGAGTGGTCACAGGCGCCTGTAATCCCAGCTACTCAGGAGGCTGAGGCAGGAGAATCACTTGAACCTGGAAGGTGGAGGTTGCAGTGAGTGAACTGAGATCATGCCATTGCACTCCAGCCTGGGGGAAAAGAGCGAGACTTCATCTCAAAAAAAAAAAAAATTACAATACAGACAGGCTATCTTATTCTGCATAGAGTTCATGTTCACTTTTGCTGCCTGAACACAGCAGATCAAATAGTACGGTACCTACAGTAAATCTAGCCAAGCCTTCCAAAGGGGACCCTCTTCAGTGAGAAGCTAAATGTTACTTGGTGCAAATGATTCAGCAGCTGGTATAGCTGAGTTTATAAGCTGGGCTGAAAAGTTTGATGTGGTGAACTAGGTTATAACATGTGATGCGTCACAAAGTCATTGATAGATATATTATGTGCAAAGAGAGCGCCAGGCCAACTCAACCTGTACAGTTTTTTTTTTAGCTTTATTATGTAATAGTCCTCAATTCATCACAAAGATGTTTAAATCACAAAGATTTTCAGAAGATTCCCCCTGCTTATTGGTAAAACTTAAAAGGCAATTTTTACAGCTCTGTTTTCTTAAGAAATATAATGAGTAAGCATATTGAGACATTTTTAAACACACATAGGAAAATATTTTTGTCATGTAAATTTTCCAGGGTATGGTTCAGAGAGGCAGTCATTTGTGTGAAGCTATATTAAGATGCTTATTTAAAAAATAACTCCAGATTTGACAAGTTACTCTGCCTTTAAGGGAAAATATTCAGAGAGTTCATTAAAAACCACAGAGAGAAAACTAAAACCTTCTAAGAGGTATATCTCCATTTCTTCCAAGCTATGCAATTTAATTCAAGCCTTTTTTTCTAAGTGTCTACATTTATTCAAAAGTGACCTAACACGAAGACTGGATAATTACTGGAACGTCTACACTGATCCAGTACTGATTACTGCCCTGGCTCTTACATCTCAGTCATCTATCTCAAACATTATTAAATATTAGGGATTCCTGTGATTTGTTTTGTCATCTCTCTACTTCCAACTTTCCTGCCACTCACTGCCAAGAGATTGTGAACAAAAGCCTGCTGCTTTAATCTCAATTTGTTACACTAAAAATGCAAAATTAAAGAAAAATGAGGAAAGTTTAATATTACCAGGGAATGTGATTGATAACGTTGTGTCATGTTATGAGTTTTAATATTATAAACTGAGTTTTATGTTACTCTCTTCTAATAGTGACATATTTAACATTTTAAGACTGATATAATAATTTTATGGGGTAAAATGGATATTATTAGATGATTAGACTGTAGTACTTTGTCAAATTCTTGTATATTAAATACAAAAAAAATACAATAAAAATAAGAGACTCTCCTACCGTCTGCTGAGTGAAAGAAGATAATGCATCCATCTGCGTGTCCTCCTTGTGCTCAGCGCCATCCCAAACCCTGCTCAGGGCTCTGAGTCACATCGTTTCTGTGGCACCAGATAAAAACCAAGCATTGTCTCTTATCTTCGTAAACAACTTACAATCGTTTGTGGCTGGCTATCGCGGCTGAATCTTTGTTTTATTCACAGGCGGTGCTCCCCCGAAAATCTCACCCATTCCTTGGAATACATTTCCAAAGCAAATTGGAATCCAAGTCTTGAAGGACAGTTCCTAGGTGACCAGTTAAAGAGGGGTTGATAGGAGAAGGCCAAGGGATGCAAAGCTTCTAGAAGAGTCTGTTCAAGCAATACCACGTAAGCCTCTTCAATAATAGTAAAAAGCAGATCAGATTGCGGTAGTAGAGTAGAAGTTGCTCGCGGGGGCAAAGATTTGACATAGTTCACAATGTGGGCAGGCATGAGACCTAACAGTGGATATCCACGGAGGACAGAAATAAGGAAAGCTGAGAAATCAGGTTTTGAACTCAGTTTCCAAGTGAGCTATGATCTAACACCATGCCACCAGCAGCGAGTGGGAAAGTGAGTATGCAGAGACGTGGGGAGGTTCCAGCTCTCCAAACCAGCTGAAACCAAACAGCAACAGGGCTCGTCAATTACTATCATCAACAACCACATGCCATCTGTGTTAGCTCTTTCCATGTGCTGATACTGAGTTAAGCATTTCATATACATATGAAACGCATATACTCATCCTCACAGTATTTTTAAAGCATACACTACGCGTATTCATTTACAGATTAAACTGTAAATCCTCTACTCTCCTTCCTCTTCTCTTTACACACACTTCTGACTCACAGCCTCCCTTGAGGCAGGAACATCGTGATATTAAAGACTTTCATCTGCTAGGTGAACCTGGACAAGGCATAAAATACTCATCCTTTTCTTGTTCTACCTCTTTTTGAGCAATAAGTTGCTTACAGAGAGGAAGAGAAAATTAAGAAGATAAGGATACCAGGAATAAAAACAAAACAAACCAGCATCTTCAAGCCCCCCATTTCACATTGGCTTAAGATTTGGCATGAGCTGGGGGGTTTGACAGGGGCACACGCAAAGAAAGAACCCAAACTGATTCTAACAGTACAGCTGTCAATCTGGTGTACCTGGATCCAGACCTGAGAAGTCCTGTTAGCCCATCACCTACACCCAGGTGAGAACAGGCAGAGGCTCAAAGCCTGGGCTTCTCAGTACCAGTTCACCTGTTAATGATTCTCCAAAATCCACGGTTTGGATAAACAGAGGCCTCCAATCACCCTTGAATTCACATTGACAATTTTCTGAAAACAGTAAAAGCGAAAAACAAAAATCAAGCTTCACTTTCCAATGCTCAGAATGCAATTTCATCCCAAACATCTCTGTGGCTTTTCTCCTCCCTGCCCTCTTGCATTCTCATGCACATGTATTCTATGTCTATATTGGTATTGACGTGACTATCAATGCAAACATAGACATAGGTATTACTAAAGGTACAGATGTAGGTTTAGATTTAGAGTATATAGATATACATATATCTGGTTATATTTCTGTTACATTTTGCAATCTAAATATCTGTGGTCATATTAGCAAGCCAAGTTTCTTAAAATCTAGTAGAAATATATCAACCAAGAAGAACAGCCACCAGGCCAGTACCCCCAGTTTCTTACGGGCTGCCTGGTTCGTCTTTACCTTTCGCAGGTCATTTGAGAGGTAAAACAGGATCAGTAACGTCCCGTCTTATTTTCCACCCAAAGAACCTGTAAGAAAAGCAGGCCCTGAGGCTGGCAAACATTTAGGTATTCTGACTCACAAAGTAGAAATGCAGCCCAAGGTCAAGCCCAGGTGGAAAAATCCATATCAGTAAATGCAAACGCTGAGCCTCATTTCCGGCACAAATGATGGATTTTGGTGTGATTTATTATTTCAATAATTCAAGTTCCCTGACCCAAAGGGGGCTTGTAGAGCAAAGTGGTAGCCAAAAAGAACAGATAATATGTGGAAACAAGCCTTCATTCACACGACTGCAGCCTAAAAGATGTCAAGACAGCCTCGCGCCAAGCCCAGGACCCCATGGAGATCAGGGTTGGAATTGCAAGAACAGGACTGTGTCATTCAGACAGTCTTCCTGTCACCCTCTGCTTTCAGGAGGTGCGACATCAGTAAAGACTGTTCACCTATCCCTTCCAGACAGGCAGTTTCTCCCTGTTAGGCCAGTGGTAAGAACTGCGGGGCAAGGGGCAGGCATTCATCGGCTGGGAAAGGAAGAGCAGTCCGCAGAGTGAGGCTGAGTTATTGCAGTTGTGCCCAAGCTGGCCCACTGTCTGCAGAGTTGCTGAGTTTGAAGTTATTTGGAAGACTGTGTGGATGTGTATAATTCCAACACATTGTTGGTACAGAACTTGTCTGTCTTCCTATGTGGAGTAAGAGTCTCAGCCTGGGTCCAGCCCCAAGACCTTATATTAACTCCACAGTTTTGACAAAAGCCTCTAAAATGTATTTGGGCTTGGAAAATAGTTTATTTCCAGTTGCTTCTTGTTAAAGAAAAGCAATCTGCTAACCAAACAAATTTTTGAAATATATTATAAGTCAAAACTTTGCTCAAAAATTATTGGTGTTTTCTAAAGACTCAAACTGTTAGACTAGCTTCTTAGTTGTACAGATCTACCCAAAATTTAGCCACCTAAGGCCATCAAATGGATGAATTTAGTCATGATAAGAGTAAACAATTTTATATTTGGTCACTGGCTTAAGATGTTTAAAAACGCTTCATGGAGGCTGAGACTTACCGTCCTGGGGTGATGGGTTTTACAAGGTAGGCCCTGTGGCTTTTGTTAGACGATACAACTAGTTGGAAAGGGCTGCACCCTCTATATGGTGCTTTATCCACTCTGCCTGAATAAACCCTACTCATCCCTCAAGTCTCAGCCAAGTTCCCAACACAGCCCTTCTTTGGAAGTCTCCCCTGATACCCCGGTAGGGTGAGGTGGCTCCAGGAAGACCCTCTAGCCTCCCGTTCGGTTCAGTATCTTTATCACGACAGTTGCTGACTACCGGCTCACTTCTCCTCCTGCACTCTGGGCTCCATGAAGGCAGAAATCACATCTGTCTAGCGTTTGTATACCTGATCACTGAATGAATGGATGTGGGCATCTTTCAATCACCTCCTCGCTCTGACCCCCTGTACCCAACATAATTCCAGGAGCAGGGTCAAGTTATTGCAGTCATCCCATGTGGTAGATGTTCAAAGAACATACCAGTAAAATGAAGCAGAAGGTGGAGAAGGCTTGTGGCCTCTGCACTTATTAACAGTGAATTTTATTGCATAAAAAGTAATATTATTTTCATGTTTGAGATTGTCACGTGTGCCCACACAGGTGCTAGCAGTAAACAAGCTCTACAACACCAGAGAAGACTCCAGTTGTCTAAGTGAATCTGATGTACTGAGAGCACTAGAGCAGCAAAGTGTTACTGGGAAAAAAAAGTCAGACACTGGGGCCAGGCAGAACCAAGTTCAAATCCTTGCTCTGCACTTTTACAAGAGTGACGTTTGATAAGTTAATTAACCTCTCTGAACCTCCAAGTGGCAATATTAATATTTTCACATCCCCAAAGTGCAAATAATAAAATCATCCTTAAAAGATTGTTAGTAGATATAAATAAGATATGTATATGAAGAACATAACAATATGTTTTAGACTAAAATAACTGATTAAAATGCCAGGAGAAGCCAGGGTATGTGGGAAGAGCAGAGAATGAAAAGCCAACTTCGAATTTAGTGAGAGAAAAAAGCTCAGAAGACATTTAGTGATTCAGCTGCACTGTTATTAATGTTATTATTTATAAAGCATGTTGAATGCCTAAGACATTTTACCAAACACAGACAATAACATGGTCTCTATTTTTACTTAACAATCACAAAGACATAAAACAAGCCTGCTAATGTCTGACAGAGTAAGATGTGTTAATGGTGTTTTCAAGAAATGAAGAATCCATGTTGCTGTTCTTACTGCTTCACATTACTTATGTTGGCAAAGTAAGTAGGTTATCACATACGCCCTCCCAAAAACCTGGAGAAGTTAGAAAAAAGAGAGAGAGGGAGACTTGTCATTGGCAATATCATTATCCCATAACTAAAAAAAAAAAATTCTTATCAAAGTTAGAATGGCACCAGAAATGTCAAGAAAGAGAAAAATAATTACTATTCTGGAAGGAATAACTAGAACTACTAGTAACTGTATACTTTAGATCAAAACCCAAGTCTGGGCCAAGATATGAAAGAGGTAAAACTTCAAAGGCATGTTGCACTGATGTGCTCCCTTGGGGTGGATTCTTTCTCTAACTCACAATGGTCAGGTGATGGCACTCGGCACTACCGACAAGGTGGGCTGGGCGCTGTGTCTGACCCCTGCAAGGTGGGTGTTCTATACATTACTGCTTGTAATCTAGGGAGATGGTTGGTTTATCTTGGCTCTTGCCCCTATCAAAGCTAAAGAAACATCCATCTCATAAATGAGGGTGTTTATAGGGAGCACTTTGGTTGAGTTTCAAATTGTCAAAAATTATAAAGCAGCCATTTTCTAAGTCATAGTACCACCGAGCTAATTGCAGGGACTATTTTCTATTATGACATGTTCATGGCACAATACGATGGTAGCACACGGACTTGTCAAAACAAATAAACCTTTTTTTTTAATTTAATGAAATCTATTGCACAAAGAGCTAAATAAATTATGGGGTTGAGGTAAATGTCTACTACACCATCAGCATTTAATACCTGAAGAAAAACAGTGGAAACTTTCAGGAATTGACTGAAAAATTAACCGAGCACAAATGAAAGGCTCTGTTACGATGGAAGGACATACCAGGGGCAGTGCACCAGGGTCTGAAACACAATTTACCACTCAGATTGCAGATGACTGTGTGCAGAATTTCAGAAGAGATGGTAAGGCCATGGTGTGGCTAAGAGAGGAGACAGAGAGATCATTCTCAGGTTATCAGAGAGGATTCATGCACGGCCACTGAAATGCAGAAATTGGTTTAGCACCCAAATTGCTACTTTCTTGTTTTCAATCAGAGAAGAGATAATTGGACCAAAACCAGAAAGGTAAGTAGACAATCACTGAATGGACAATAAAAAAAAAAATAGAAAGAAGCCTCCTTTAAAAGGAAACGAATGGCTGCCTGGTCATCAGCAAGACAGCTGATTAGAAGCCCCTAGTCCTCGTCCGCCCTACCAAAGAAAGCCAGAACAACAAATAAACAAGCACATTTGGTGAAAATAACTGAGGGAGAACACCGGAGTGCATCAGAGAAGTAACAGAAACACTGGTGAGCACAGAAACCCAGGATAGCCATGTAGACAGCAGAAGGAAAAGCCAGGCCTCCACCACCCCATCGCCAACCAGGATCAGCCAGGAACCAGAAGGAGCTTCTGCCTATGGCCAGGAGGCAAACAAGAGGATTCCAGCAACCCCCATCAACACCTTGGACACCTACAAAACACCTCACCACTGGGGTCCCCTGCGGTCCCCACCAGCACCAAGTCCAGCTGAGGGAGCTGCCCAGAGGCCACACAGCTGTGCTTTCCCCAGAAAAGGAGCCAACACTGTCCCCACTCCCTGTGCAGCTACGTTGCGGTGCAGTCTTGGAACTGAATGATGGCTGGAGCACGCCTTGCTTCCGGGGCATGTAGGTATGGCTCCCCTTCATCCCTGAGGCTAAGCCACTAATGAACCAGCCCACCCTGGTGGCCCGACATCCCTAAGCTGAGCTGCAAGCAACTGTTATCTCTCTCCCCAGAAGACCAAGCAGAGGTGGGTCCCTTCCACCTATGCCTCCTGCACCCTCTCCAGCTTGAGCTGAAGCAGTGCCCTACCTCCTGAGAAAATAATATCTTGGCCACTCCGAGGAGTTATGCCTCCTCCATGCCTAACTTGAAGTAGAGCCCTGCATCCCACAGAAATGTCTGAGCCACACAGAACAGTCACATATTCTGCACTTGAGCTGAAGCAGCACATGGACCCCTGGGGAATCAGTGCTCCGGCCAAGCTCAGCAACACAGCAGCTGTGCATACCAGGACTGAGCTAATGTACTATCCTGCATCTCAGGGAAACACAGCAGTGGCTGAGCTGAGACACCCTGCCCTACAGTACAAACAATTCTAATACCCTACTTTCCTGGAGCTGGACTAGCCCTCTAGAGTCGGAGCTGGACTAGCCCTCTAGAGTCTGAGCTTTCGAGACATCCCTCTCTCCAGGGAGTGTAGTCATCACTATGCCATTTTCTGATCCCTCCATGCCCAAATTACAGCTGTGCTCTGGAGTCTTTGCTGCCACTGAACCTGTCCTCACAGAGTCTCAGCTACTGCCCCCCACCCCCACCCTAGAGTCTAGAGTCACTACTACATGGTGTTTCAAACCCTGGGACCCAAGACGCCACTGAGCCCTATTGGCTCACATTCCCAAACTGCAGCCATATCTGCTCTTCTGGCCCAAACCTCCAGAGAATTCCTTCTTCCCCAGAGTCAGGCCAGGGTTGTGCCCTGCCTCCCAAGGGCAAAATCACAGGTACTACTCAGTCCCCAGGCTTGTACTACTAAGAGGTACCTCAGAGGCACAGATCCTGGCTCTGTGAGCAACCTACATTTAACCCTGCTAGAGACAGCAAACCTGTACCCCCAAGATTCCAGTGTCACAATAAGTTTGTGAGACCCTGAGGCTAGAAATCTGGCCCCACCGCTGAGCCAAACACTTGCACCTGGAACACAGCACTCCAGCAGCTGTTTACAGGCAGTCTCAGACCTGAAATCAAGAAGGAATCTTCTCAGCTAAGTTTCCCCAATGTGGAGAAAAAAAGAATAGGAAGACCCCAAAAGCCTTGACACAGAGGTCATTAACAACCTATGCTGCCACTGCCATAAGTGCCTACAGCCTAGATCACTGAGGTGCCCACAGTTTTTGCTGATATTGAAGACAACTGAAGAAGCTGCATGGAGATTGTGCCACGGCACCTATCTGGAAACTGTTACTATACCCTTCTTAATAAGCACGATAAAACCCAACTGCAAGTGAAAAGCCTTTCTCTATGAAAGCCACTGTAGAAAGTTTGGAAGAAGCAACTGTTCCACCAGATGCACAGACATCAATACAGGAACACAAGGAGCATGAAAAAGCAAGAAAATATGATGCCACCAAGAGAACATAACTTGTAGTAACAGAACCCAATGAAAAGGAAATTAATGAAGTGCCAGAAAACGAATTCAAAATAATGCTCTTAAGGAGACTCAACAAGATACCACACATACAGGAAAATAATTCAGTGAAGTGAGAAAAATAATTCATGGATAAGGAGAAAATTAAACAAAGATATAGAAATCATGAAAAAGAACAGAACAGAAATACTGCAGCTGAAGAATGCAATGAATTTAATTTTAAAATGCAATAAGAGCTTCCACAGCAGATTTAATCAAGCAGAAAAAAATGATCTCTGAACTTGAAGATAGGTTACTCGAAATTACCTAGTCAGAGAAAAACAAAAAAATGAAAAAGAGGGAAGAAAGTCTGTAAGACTTATGGGGGACACCATTAAGCAAAAAAATACACATATTATGAGATTTCCAAATGCAGAAGAGAATGAAAAAGGCATCAAAAACCCATTTAATGAAATAATAGCTGAAAATTCCCCAATTCTGGGGAAAGATATGGACATCCAGGTCCAGGAATCTCAAAGATTCACAAATAAATCCAAACCAAAAAAGATCCTCCCTGAGGCACATTATAGTCAAATTGTCAAAATTCAAAGACAGAGAGATTTCCAAAAACAGCAAGAGAAAAGTGTCTAGTCACATATAGGGAATCCGCATTAGACTAACAGCAGATTTCTCCACAGAAACCTTACAGGTCAAGAGAAAATGTGATGATATAGTCAAAATGATGAAAGAAAAAATTGCCAGTCAAAAATATACTCAGCAAAGCTATTTTTCAGAAATGAAGAAGAAATAAAGTCTTTCTTTGACAAGCAAAAACTGAGGGAATTCAATACCACTAAACCAGCCTCACAAGAAATTCTCAAAGTAGTCCTATATCTTAAAGCTAAAAGACAAAAATCACTACCCTGAAAACATGCAAAAGTATACAACTCACTTGTAGAGGAGATATACAAAAGAGAAAGAGAAAATAACCAAACTTTATCACTACAGAAAACCACCAAACCTCAATGATAAGCAATAAGAAAGGAAGAAAGGAACAAAATAACCAGAAAACAATTAACTAAATGACAGGAATAAGTCCTTACCTAACAAAAATAACATAAGTGGAAACAAATTAAATTCTCCATTTAAAAAATATACCTGGCTGAATAAATGAAACAACATGACCCAACTATATGCTGCCTGTAAGAGACTCCCTTCATCTGTAAATACACACACAGACTGAAAGTAAAA
This sequence comes from Homo sapiens, assembly GCF_000001405.40. Classification (NCBI taxonomy): domain Eukaryota; kingdom Metazoa; phylum Chordata; class Mammalia; order Primates; family Hominidae; genus Homo; species Homo sapiens. Next base: position 76,330,727 of record NC_000018.10, read on the forward strand.
AGATAGAAAAAGATATTTTGCACAAACAGAAACCAAAAGCGAGTAGGAGTAGCCAGACTTATATCAGGTAAAACACACTTTAAGTCAAAAATTATGAAAAGAGACAAAGAAGGTTATTATACAATAGTGAAGGTATGAATTCAGAAAGATGATGTAACAATTGTACATAGATATGTGCCCAGCATGGGAGCACCCAGATATGTAAAGCAAATATTATTTGATCTATACGGAAAGATAGACTCCAATATAATAATAGTTGGAAACTTCAAAATCCCATTTTCACCATTGGACCGATCATCAAGACAGAAAGTCAATAAAATAAATATCAGATTTAAACTGACCTCTAGACCAAATGGACCTGACAGACATTTACAAAACATTTCATCCAACTGCTACAAACCACACATTCTTTTTATTAGCACATGAAACATTCTCCAGGATGGACCACATGTTAGGCCATAAAACTATTCTTGACCAATTTAAAAGAATTGAAATCATATCAAGTATCTTTTCTGACCACAATGGAATAAAACTAGAAATCAATAACAAGATAAACTTTCAATATTATACAAATATGTGGAGATTAAGCAATATGTTCCTTAAAGATCAACAAATCAATGAAGAAATTAAAAACAAAATTTAAAACATTTTTGGAACAAAAGAAAATAGAAACACAACAAACCTATGGAATATAGCAAAAGCAGGATGAGGAGAGAGGGTTATAAACACCTACATCAAAAAAGTAAACAGATTTCAAATACACAGGCTATGATACATTGCAAGGAACCAGAAAAACAAAAACAAAACAAACCCCAAACGAGTAGAAGAAAATAAACAATAAAAATAAGAGAACTAAATTAAATTGAGACTTAAAAAAATACCAAACATCAATGAAAGAAAAAGTTGGTCTTTTGAAAAGACGTTTTTAAGTCAACAAACCATTACCTAGACTAACGGAGACAAAAAAAATAAAGACCCAAATAAATTAAATCAAAAAAGAAAAAGAAAACATTACCACTGACATCACCGAAATATGGAAGATTATTAATGAGTATTACAAACAACTATATTCCAAAAACTTAGAAAACAAAAAGGAAATGAATAAATTCCTGGACACATACAACCTAACAAGACTGAAACCCCCAAAAATTTTGAGATAGAAAACCTGAACAGACCAATTACAAGTAACAAGATTGAATATTTAATAAAAAGTCTCCCATTAAAGAAAACCCCAGGACCCAATACTTTCACTGCAAAATTCTACCAATCATTTAAAGAAGAACTAATACCAATTGTCAAACACTTGCAGAAAATTAAAGAGGAGGTAATTCTTCCAAATTCATTCTACAAGGCCAGAATTACTCTGATACCAAAACCAAACAGTGAGAAAGGGAAGGGAAAGGAAGGGGAAGGGGGAGGGGAAGTAGGGCAGAATGGAAGGGAAGGGAAGGGAAGAGAAGGGAAGGGAAAGGAAGAAAGAAAAAGAAAACTATAGGCCAATACCCCTGATTAACATAGATACAAAAATCCTCAACAAAATACTAGCAAACTGAATCCAGCAGCATATTAAAAAGATCATTCATCATGATCAAGTGGGATTTATCCCAGGGGATACAAGGATGGCTCAAAATAGAAAAATCAATAAACATGATATAACATATTAACAGAATGAATGAAAAAATCATATAATCACTAATAGAAAGAAAAAGCATTTGATCACATTAAACATCTCTTCATGATAAAAAAGAAACTCTCAACAAGTTAGGTACAGAAGGAACATATGTCAACATCATAAAGGTTATATATGACATACCCACAGCCAACATCAATCTAAATGAGGAAAAGTTGAAAGCTTTTCCTCTAAGAGTTGGAAGAAAAGAAGGATGCCCATTTTCACCACTTTTATTCAACATAGTACTGGAAGTTCTAGCCAGAGCAATTAGGCAAGAAAAAGAAATAAAGGTCATCTAAACTGGAAAGAAGAAAGTCAAATTATCCCTATTTGCTAATGACATGATCTTATATATTGAAAACCCTAAAACCTCCACCAAAACCTTTTATAGCTGATAAATAATTTAGTAAGGTTGCAGGATACAAAATCAAGGTAAAAAAATTCAGTAGTGTTTCTGTATACCAACAAGAAAATAGCAGAAAAATCAGTAAAGAAAGCAATTCCACTTACCATAGCTATTAAAGAATAAAATACTTAGGAGTAAATTTAACAAATGAGGTGAAAGGTTTCTGTAAGAAAAACTGTAAAACACTGATGAAATAAACTGAATAAGACACACACACGAAAGGGAAAGATATGCAATGTCCATGAACTGGAAGAATTAATATATTTTAAATGACTGTACTACCAAAAGCAATCTACAGATTCAATGCAATTTCTATTAAAATACCAATGACATTCTTCACAGACATAAAAAAAAATCCTAAAATTCATTTGGAACCACAAAAAACCTCGAATAGCCAAAGCAATTTTGAGCAAAAAGCTGGAGTCATAATATAACCAGACTTCAAAATAAATATATTATAAAGCTATAGTAACCAAAATGACATGGTACTAGAAAAAAAAAAAACTAAAAATGTAGAAACAGACACATAGATCAATGGACCAGAATAGAGAAACCAGAAATAAAGCCACATGTTTACAGCCAACTTGTTTTCAACAAAGACATTAAGAACATTAACTGGAGAAGAAATAGTCACTTAAATAAATGGTATTGGGAAAACTAAATATCCATATGTAGAAAAATAAAACTAGACCCTTGTCTCTCACTACATACAAAAATCAACTGAAAATGGTTTATTGACTTAAATGTAAGACCCAAACTATAAAACTACTAAAAGAAAACATAGGTGGTACATTTCAGGACCTTGGTCTGGAGAAAATTTTGTGGAAAAGACCTCAAAAGCACAGGCAAGAAAAAAAGCAAAAATAGACAAATGGGATTATAGCAAACTAAAAACTTCTGCACAGCAAATGAAACAATCAACAGAGTTAAGAGACAACTTGCAGAATGGGAGAAAATATTTGCAAACTATTCACCCTGCAAGGGATTAATATCCGGAATATACAAGGAACTCAACAGCAAAAATAATAACAATAATAATCCAATTTTAAAAATGGGCAAACGAACTAAATAGACCACTCTCAAAAAAGACATGCAAATGTCCAACGGGTATACGAGAAAATGCTCAACAGCGTGAATCATCAGGGAAAATCAAAACAAAACCAAAACCAAAGTGAAATATCATTTCACCCCAGTTAGAATGGCTATTATCAAAAGTATATATATATATACAAATATTGGCAAGGATGTAGAGAAAGGAGAACTCTTATACACTGTTGGTGGGAATGTAAACTAGCTCAACCATTATGAAAAACAATATGGAGTTTCCTCAAAACAACTAAGAATAGAACCACTATATTACCTAGCAATCCTGCTACCTGGTATATATCCAAAGGAAATGAAATCGGTCTGTCGAGGAGATTATCTGCACTCCCATGTTTATGGCAACACTATGCACAATAGACAAAGTATGGAATAAACAGAACTGTTCCTTAAGAAAAGAATGGATAAAGGAAATATGGTATATATACACAATGGAATACTATTCAGCCATTAAAAATAAAGAAATTCTGCCATTTGTGGCAACATAAATGAGCTTGGAGGACATTGCATTAAGTGAAATAAGCCAAGCACAGAAAGATGGACACTGCATGGTTTCACTCATACGTGGAAGCTAAAAACGTTGATCTCATAGAAACAGAGAGTAGAGCAGTGATTAATAGGAGGGCAGGGGATGGGGGATAGCCGGAGGTTGGTTAATGGATACAAAATTACAGCCAGATAGGAGGAATAAGTTCCAGGGTTCTACAGCACTATATAGGGTGACTTACAACAATTTATGTTGTAATTTAACAACAATTTATGGTACATTTTTAACTAGAAGAGCAGATATTGAATGTTCCAAACACAAAGACTTAATGTTTGAGGCGATGGATATGCTAATTACTCTGATTTGATCATTGCACATGTATTGAAATATCACACTGTACCCTATAAATATGTACAATTACTACACATCAATTAAAAATAACAAAAGCAAAAGGAAATGAATTAAAATGTGTAGGGAAACATTTAGCATGGGTCCAGGGAAATAGGCCCTGCCACACTGTGCTGTTGAATCAGCCTTTCTGGGTGGTCATTTGGCAAGCGGTAGCAATTGTCTTTAAAAAGAGCAGCAGTTTCCTATCCAGGGGATGTCCCAAAGAATCAAATAAGAACACGTAGATGGGTGAGCAAAATATACTTCTCAGGGATTTGTTTATATTAATTTTAAATATATATATAAAATAATTGATAAGCCCATCAAAACAGAATTGGTGAAGCAAATAGTATATCCACAAAATGGACAGCTTTGCAACCATTAAAATGGAGCTTATGAGCACAAAAGCTGTTCACGTAGTAAATTAAATAAACCATTTATAAAATAGTATGCAAAACACAATCTCATTTGGGACAACCGTATGTTATATCCAATTTTATTATAGATCATATATAAAATATATTATTTGGAGGCATATATTATTTGGAGGAGTAGTTATCTCTTCACTATGGGGCTTCAGACTAGTTTTTTTGTTTGTTTGTTTGTTTTTTGTTTTGTTTTGTTTTGGCTTACTTGTCTTTTCTAATTTTTTAGAAAATAAACATATTTAACATTAAAGTAAAATAATTTGAAATGAAAAATAAAGGGACATTAGAAGAAAATGTTGACACTAGTGCAAACTAAAAAAGAAAGAGGAGGAGAAAGGAAGGAGGAAGGGGAGGAGAAAAGACATAGAAAAAAGAAAAGCTCCACAAATACGTAGCGGAGAAAGGGAGACACAGCAAGGCAGCTATTGGTGCCACTGACAGGCTTTCTTCCCTCAACCTCTGATCAACCAGGTTCATTTGTTTTTACGCACTGGTCATAGCCTCCCTCTCTGTTTCTGAATGTAATTTTTAAAAATAAAACCCTGCATAACAGGGTGGTGAGGACAGCAAAGGCTGCTTGACTTCGGGAGCCACAGTCCAAGGGTCTAATAGTTCATCATTAGCTGGAGATGCAACACACATCATGTGCTACCCATTGATTTTTTTTCCTACCAATTTATTTAAAAGAATAGTAACACTATTATCTAAATGAGATAACACTAAATCTAAAATGAGGCCAGACTGCCTGGACAATAGTAATTCATTAGACAGGCTGGCATTCACTACCATGACATGTCTTTAAAATAAACATGGGTGCGAGACACACCAACAGCCACACAGATCTATAATCAGACTGCTGCTGGCTGGAGGAGGGTGATATTGGGTAAGATCAGAGGCTCTGTTCACCAGGTAACCCCAGATGGCATCCCCAGCACTTGGAAATGGTGAGGGGCTAGGAGCTGGCAGCCCCTCCCCAATAAACAAGAGGCCCCTCTGCATAAAGATGCAATGCAGCACCCAAGGGAACACAGAGGCTCCCAGCCTGCTTGCCAGGGACAGCAGCTGCGCTCCGGGAAGCACCTGTACACCGCTTCGATGGTGACGTGTCTCAATAGCGTTTCCCCATGTGAAGCTTTCTTTGGTTTACATTATTTGGAGAGTGAAGGCAAGTCCACTGAATGCGGGATGGATATAATATCACTTTCCACATTCCAGATTACTGGAAATTCCCACTTTTTTTTTTTTTTTTTTTTTTTTTTTTGCAATCGCTTGCAGGGTTTGGGTGTTGCTGCCAACACAAACCTGTAAAACAATGGTTTTTCAAAAGGGAAAGCTTTTGAATGAACACCCGAAGGGCACAGGTTTGCTTCCCAGGTCAACTCCCTGTCATGAGAAGCCAGCTGTGGGTTCTTGCCTCTAACCTCTGCATAGGATGAGGCCCTTCTGTACCCCTTTTAACCCCACGTCAGAGACCCTTTCATGCATTAGCAAGAACACTCACAGCTAATGTGGCTCTAAATCATTTTAATGTGGGGAAAAAAATCAAGCAACTTCTGACAATATGTGAAAAGCATGCATAGTTTTCATACAAAGAACAGAGGGGCTGTAACAATCACTTGATCCAAACTTTTATTTTTGGTTATGTTAGGTTGTGTTTAGTTGAATGCCTCCCAAGGACACACTTAGAAGAATCACATACATCATCTGATAGCATTTAGTCAACATCACTTTACAGGGAGCACTGTGTTTACATCTCTGCAAGTGAAGGATTCCAACACGAGCACATTCACATGGGAGAGGTGAACACGAAGAAATGCTAAACAGGACGTGCAACATCAATGTGTGCATTTCCTGTGTATGGGACACCCTGCATCATGCCTCACCACCGAGCCTCGTGTGCTGTGTGGTCCATAAGTATCAACGGGTATTTCCTGTGTATAGGACACCATGCATCATGCCTCACCACCGAACCTCGTGTGCTGTGTAGTCCATAAGTCCCTGGGACATCCACAAGAGCCTGCTGAGTTCATTCTGGAATTCCAGGAGAAATTATGCGTTTGCAGTTTAAAGTAGAAAGAGCAGTGAACTTGGAGGAAGAGAACTTGGGGCCTCACTAGCCCAGCTCCAGCCCATCAAAAGGGCTGTGTCCACAAAGCACAACTTTCTGTGCCTCCGTTTTTCCAAACTATAAAGCAAAGTTAAAAAATATCCCACAGACGTACCCCTAGAGGTCCTGTGACAATGAGGATAAGAGCACAGAACAGAGTGGAGAACGCCATCAATTGTCCATGCTGTTGTTCCAATTTCGGCATGTGCAGAGTAAGGCACATAGTCCCTGACATTGGAAGATGAGAAATTCTAGATATGTTGATTGGCAAAACAATCTGCCTTAATTAATTTGCATTTGCTGGAAGCCTCATCTGCCCTTTAGAAGGTGCCGTGACAGTATATGGATCATTAAGCCAAGGCAGTGTGTTCTCCCTCCATGGGGCTGGAATTTTGGTGTGAAGAGTAAGAGAGATCAAGCTTTCTTCCTTCACTTGATTTTCTTTCTTTTCTCTTCCACTTTAGAGCAGTAAAGTGACACTTATGGAATAGATGAAGAGAGCCTGCAGGCAGCAGAGAGGTTCTTCAAATGAGCCAGTGAAGGGCCAGGAGCAGTGAAGAGGAGCTGCCTAGGTTGGAGATGGATCAGAGGGATGAAGACATGGGTTATAAGATATAAAAGAATATCGGTGAAGTTCACACATGCTTCAGATCAGCTTAACAGGGTGGAAGTCAAAGTTCTAGCCGGGAAAAACAATTGTGTGGCTGAGCTCCCCTGGTCCTGTCTCCGGGGTGCCTTGAGCTGATGGTGGACCAGGATTCAGGATTCAGGATTCAGGCTCCTGACTTGAAAATAAGTAAATCAGTTGGATTCTAACTTTGCACCAGGGTCTATGTAGGGCCATGTAGGGCCCTAGGCACAGATTTGTTTGCATAGAACACATGGTGGGCAGTCAGGAATCACTGGAGGGACTCACTAATCACGTATCTCCCATCTCTAGAACACGTTGCTTGACAGATGAGAGAACCACAAGTCACCTATGTATGTGAGTCGGACCTGAAGCTACACTGAGGTTCGGTTTGTGAGACACACACATTCACGCATCCAAACCCAAAGAATGGACTCGGAGACAGGAAGAACAGCTGAAGCGAGACTTTTAATGGTGGTCTTGCAAGATCGGGTGTCTGGTAGGTGGGCACACCCACGGCAGTAACAGCAGGTAATTTATCTACTAGCAGGCAAATCCCTCCCCCAGTTCCCCACTGGTCAAGTACTGGGGGGTTACAATCTTCCTGGAAGTCGCCTAAGTTCTATTATCCGCTTATAAGATTATACCCCAAAGTTTCAATTTCCCAAAAACAAAACTTTCTTCCCTTTTATGGGCTGACCCCTCCTCTACATTCTGTTCACTTATCATAACCTAGGTGCATGAGCCATGCGGTTTGTTACATTTGCAGGCTGGCTACCAGTACTTAGATTTATCATGCCTTGAAAATGGACCATTTAAAATGTTTTCTTACAAGTATGTCTGGTCATGCATGAAGAATGGGTGGGGAAAGAGTTTCTAGCCAGTGAAACAATGTACCTAATATCATCATGCCCACTGGGCCCCAATGACTCATATCAGGGAAAAGGGGGGCCCTGGGAAGAAGCTGAACAATCTATTCTCACAGCAAACTGTGGGGGACACTGTGGGGACACTGGGACTCTTGTTGGGATGTGCCAATGACAGAGTTGGGGGACATACTCCCTCATTATGGATCACAGCTGGTATGCAGCAAGGGATGCCTCTGGAGCAGCTGAGTCTTGGTGCCTCGGGCACAGAGTCAACACTGTGAGAGTGGACCCCCTGCCCGCCATGTGTGCCCCATGGCCCTTGGCAGGCAAAAGCAGAAAAGAACAAGACTCTGTGACCTGGAGGGGCCCTGGAGATATGAGAGGCTCAGGGACAGTCAAAGCCAAGACGAATGCTCCCACGGAATGCTGTAACTTGTGTTATCTTTTTAATCTCATGGGATGAATACTACAATAATATTGGCAAACATTTATTGGGTACATGCTGTGTGCTGGGAGCTGGATTATACATATATTGTTTTATTTAATGGTAACAACAGCCCTGGGTGGTAAGCACAGTTATTCCCTCATCCTCTAGATGGGGAAGCAGAAGCTTCAGGAAGTTTGGCAACTCCCCAGGGTCATGCAGGAAGTGAGCAGCCAAGCCGATATCAAGCCCAGACAGGCTGATTCCAGGGTCCATGCTCTTGGCTCTGATCATCAAGCAAGCTGTGCCCAGGACTGGCTTCTGGGGCATATAACCAGGGACCTGTGCTTGGGTTCTAATGCTCTGTGAGTGCCATCTCGAAATTCATAATGATTTTATCTTTTAATTTGTGTTTTGTAACTGAAATCCACTGGAATAGTGGAGCATGTGTCAGGGGCTTGGAGCTTTGATGGGGCTTACACACAGTACTAGCGTAAAGGTAGCAATGGCCTTGGAGTCATCCATTCATGTGGGATGGGATCACAACTACATGGGAGAGGAAATGCCAGGCTGAACCTCTTGCCCCACCAAGGCTCCACACACTAGCCCAGGATGGACAGCACTTGTGCCAGGTCATGGGGTGGCCCCCAGTGCCCATGAAGGTCTGTGCCAGCCCCACAGACGTGCCTGGACCTGAAGGAACATGATGCTATATAGTAACTAAAAATCACCATGATAGCAGAGAGAGAGAGACCCAAAAGAGAGGCAAAATCTTTCTATGGCACCTGTACCTCTAATGACATCTTTCATCTTGCTTCTTTAACAAAGAGCCTCCCTCCATTTTCATTTTACACTGGGCCTTACAAATTATGCAGCTGGCCCTGTGTGTACAAATTTCTGTGGAAACACAAAAGACCTGGCAATTAAATCTGCATGAAAAATTTGGGAAGGGGTTCATAGGGAATTTGAACTGGATAGTGATACATTTGTTTGTGTAGGTATTCATAAATATCTTTTGAATTAACAAATAACTCATGTGCAGGCCCTTGCACAATAGGATTGGAAGATAGGCAACTGAAGCAGAGGACACAAAAGAGGCAAAGATATAAAGATTCATGCATATATTTATTTTATTACCATACATCCATTGAGTGTTTTCCTGATGCCAGGCACTGAGCTGGTCACTAAACCCCTCCAGGGAGTGGGAAAAACTCTCCAGGGGAAGCCCATGATTGATTGTGACTGGAAGCTATGATACTGGGGATGAGAGAAATGACAGTATGAAGAGAGTTGAGTTTACAACGATCAGTTTGGGGTCATGTGAAGGGTGACTGCTTCAGGAAAACAGAAGTCAATCTAGGTATTCTCGGTTTAATGCAGGAAATCATTGGAGGCTTCCATAGCCTCCTGGAAGGCTGGAGGGTGAAGGGTGGAATCCAACTGCTCAAGCAGATAATTTACAGGATACTCAATGCCACCAAAGCTTTCAGACATCTCAGCAGGAGCTGTCTCCCAAGCACAGCTGCAGGCAGCACTGAGTAGATGATGCTCAAGAATGCACCTTCCACCTTTGTTTCTGCCATCGAATCTACTGGAGAGTAACAGTTCTCCTTATCTTCCACCTTCCAAACCTCCCTACAGTGCCTCTTGGCAGTCTTTAACCTGGAACCCTGCAGCAGAAGGAATGCTGGTCAGTGTAGCTGCAGGCTTCTCTTCTGCAGGGCACAGGAGACTCTGGAAGAGATTGAGGCACAGTTGACAACAGATAATTCGGCACAGCCAATGCCAACCACAAAACTATCTGAGTTTTAATACTGTCCAAAGAGTTAAATGGTAGTTCAGGATTTCATTTATAAAGCTGATTATAAGCTTTGTAGTGGGTAGATGGAGGTAAGAGAAGATGGATGCAGAAAATTCATTTGGGAGGGTCTTAATTTTCTGAAGGCAATACAGAGCAGGATTAAGTTAACACAGTGGTGGAAGACTTCCTTGAGAGACATTTTAGAAGAAGAATCAACAATAATTGATAACTAGTTGGCTTTTGGAGGGATATAAGAAGTGTGAATTTACATCCTGTTGGTGTCCATGATATCAAAAATGCCATCTAAGAAAAGTCATAGAAATATGGTGTTTTCTTGTTGAATTAAGTGTCACTAGGATCTTTTTCATACCTTTCAGTATTTGTCATCTAAAAATCAGGCTCCCGTGTCCTCATGGCAGTCATTGAGAGGGATGCTAAAGAACATGTGCCCTCTGCAGCCTCATACAAATTAGTCCACTCACCTCCACTGCATTTCACCTCAAACCTGACTTTTCATTGTCATCCAGGTGTCTGCTCCTCCTTTGGTGTTTCTCTTACTCAGGAGATGCCCCTCCCATTATGCCTCCTAGAAATCTGGAAGCTAGCCTTTGCCTTCAGCCCAGTTCCCATCCTGTCTAAGCCATGACAAAATCTAGCCACTTCTGCCTCTTAAATATATATTGATATTGACCACTTTTTGCCTTCTTTCCACCACCCTTTCAGACCAATTCACCATCTTCTTGCCCCCCAAACTATAAGAGACTTCCCCTTCCAATCCACTCTCCACCCAAAAGCCATGATAGGCTTTGAGAAACAGAGTTTAGATAATGTCATAATCTGCTTTGAAAAACCTTCAATGTATTATGTTTTCACTTAGCATTAGGAATAGAAGTCCTGGCCCTAACATAACCCATACATCCTGCATTTCTGGCTGCTACACAGCACTCCAGTACAATTCTGAACCATTCTGAGCCTCACCATTCTTTACCTACACTTCTACTCTCATTTTTTCTACTAAGCCAAGTTCCTTCCTTTGAAATGTCCTTCCCCCTCCATTCCCCTGGCAAGCTTCTACTTTTCCTTCAGACTTCGGCTTCTATATTACTTTAGGTAACAAGTCCCTGACCCCCTTCCTCCAAATCTAAATCAGGACTCTCATTTTTAAAATGTTAACTTGTTGCTATATATCTATTTGTGTTGGTATTCATTAAATATCTTTTGAATTGACACATAACTCATGAAGAGACCTTCTCATTTGTATTAACATCCAGCTCATATTTTTCATTTTTCTGCAAGAACAGCTTGCCAGATACCTTGCTGCCGTCCAGATACATAATCTCTCTCTTAATTTTTTCACTTTCTAAGTTTTTAAATCTTTCAAAGGAGGAAATGCAGTTAGACTAACAATGCTTGTTTTAATAATTTTTATTTATTCGAAGTTCATTTTCAGAATACCAATTCTACATGAGCTTTGGGCTAAGAGATGAAGACATGGCAGGGCACACTGGCATTGTTCTTGGTGAATTGCTTTTCCTTCCAGGTGCTCTCAGACCATTTCTTTAATAATGTCTTCCAGAAGACTGCTCAAACAAACCGGTATATAGCGTGTGAATCCACCATCTTATTACTTTTAAAACAAGAGCAACACATCTGTCTACTTTCTGGCACTTCCTCAGTTTTCCCAATCCCTCAAAGGTCACTGACGTGCTCTCATTTGCCTGTTGTTTCCATGTCTTCAGCTGGAAGTGATGCAGTATAGGACATTAAAATGAACTTCAAACATCCTGGAGACTCCGTTGCAATTCCTTCTGCTACCTTTTCTTTCCCTCCCTCCTTTTTCACCTCGCTTCCCTCCATCCTTCATCAAAATGCCAGACATAGTGTAAGGTATTAGGCACATAAACATGGCCCTGTCCTCAAGAAGCATTTTCAACAAATCAACTCATGGTTATATAATCCAGAATGTATCTAAAGGTAATAAACAGCCCTATCTATGCCAGACATCTTATATTATAATCACTTATTTGCCTTGCAATTATGTTTCTAAGAAAATATTTCAGTGACATTGTAAGTTCATCACAACTGAAGAGTTCACTATTTTTTCTCCTCTGCAATCTTACATTTAACAAGCTTCTTCATCATTTCCTAAAGTAGTACTATTATAAAAGAAATAGTCTGGAAATCCCCAATGACAATTTTCTTCCAAGAAGCCATTTTAAAATTGCATAACTGATTTACAGTGGCTGCTAAATTCTTTCTATTAATAGTGCAAATTTAAATTCTGGTTCTCCATCAGACATTGCAGAAAGGGAATTGCTATTTTGGTTAATCACAAACCCAGCAGGTGTCCAGCAAAGGGCCTGACTTCTGTGGGCTTCCCTGAGGTGCAAGGGCAGCTGAGCGGTAGACATCCTATGATGTCTGGTGCTGTGATAGGTGCACGCTGCAATCTGAATTCTATCCACCACTCCATGGAAACTGCCCTACTACATCAGCAGAGACGGGCTATTTCAAAGCACAATGGACTCATCTAGATTCATGTTTGCTTTAACTTCAGCTTTTAGTGAGGCCTGCCAACTCCATATCTGAACCCATAACTAGCTACATTTCCTCTTCCCTTAGTCCTATAGGAGCATCATCACCTATTGATACTTTGACTTCTTTTTCATCTTTATTTTCTTCTTAGAGAGTTCACACATTTTCATGACGTAAGCATGAGTCTAATCAAACATGAATCTTTATTTTCAATCTCACCTCCTCCATGAATCTTCTGGCCTATATTTCCAATTAATTTTAGCACAGTGTGAATTACATATGAGGATAATGGTAATGATGAGGACGATGGCAATAATGATGGTGAAGATGGTGGTGATGACGATGGTGATGGTGATAATGGTAATGGTAATGATGATAGTGATGATGAAAATGGGATGATAGTGATGATGGTGATGGTAATGATAATTGTGATCATGGCAATAATGGTGATAGTGATGGTGATTGATGGTGATGATGTGATGGTGATGATAATGATGATAGTGATGATGATGGTGATAATGGTGATGGTGATTATGATGATGATGATGGTGGTACAGATAGTGGTGATGCTAACAGTGATGATGATGATAGTGATGGTGGTGATGGTGATGATGATGGTGATTATTATTACGGTAATAACGGTGATGGTGATGGTGATTATTATGGTAATAATGGTGATAGTGATGATGGTGAAGATGGTGGTAATGATGATGCTGATGATGATGATGATGATAATAATGGTGACGGTGATGATGGTGATGATGGTGATGGTGATAATGATGATGGTGATAGTGATGATGGTGATGGTGATGAGGGTGATAATGGTGATACTAATGATGGTGATGGTGATAATGGTGATGATGGTGATGACAATTATTATTATTATTATGGTAATAACAGTGATCATGATGATGATGGTGATGGTGATGATGGTGAAGATGGTGGTAATGGTAATGATGGCAATGGTGATGATGGTGATAATAGTGATGATAGTGATGGTAATGATTATTATGGTAAAACAGTGATGAGGAAGGTGATGGTGATGATGACGAAGGTGGTGGTATGATGCTGCTGCTGATGATTATGATGGTAATAATGGTGATGATGATGTAGGTGATGGTGATAATGGTGATGAAAAAGATAATGATGGTATCATCAGAACCTCAGCCTTGTCCTGGGAAGAATCCCTATCTCAGGAAAATATGGTCATTCAGAAGACAGTTTAGAGAGACAGAAAAGGACAAACCTATTCAAAGTAACCTGCTAATCTCAGAAAAATAAAGATACCACTTTTGAGCCCCAAGTCTAATCAAAATACATGAACTTAGTACATGTCACAGTGATTTAATGTTTTTAGAAAAGGAGGCTGATTCCTCAGGCATTATAGAGATAAAACCTATGAAAAGAGAAGAAATTACAGAAATTCAGAACAAGACTAATCATATAGGTCCAGAGCTCTCCATATGCAAGTCCTCATGTATATCAAAGAGGGAAGATTTTAGTGGAATTTAGTTAGCTTTATTTTGCTCACGAATTGCTTTAGGAGTTCATCTTTTATGTTATAAATTTACATAGATAGACACACATGAGCTTTCCCCAGAAGCCTTCCCTGAACCCTAAGGTTTGGCTAAGTCTGCCTCCTCTGTTCTCCCAGGGTACTGTGCATACTTCTATTGTTGCACTCAGCACATTATTTGTGGTAGACTTATTACAAAAATACCTTCAAATCCTTAGCCTTCCCTGTATTCACATTTTTTGCAATACTGCTTGCAGACCATCCAGTCAAGAGGTGGAATCTATTTCCCCGCTAGGCTGGCTTTGGGAATTACTTTGGCCAACAGAATGGGGTGTGTGGAACCAGATGCTGGTCTCCGTCTTGCATATCTCCACTCTCAGTCTGGCCTCTCTGCCTTCATCACCAGGGTCCTGCTGAAGAGTGAGACCCAAAACGCAACAGTTGCTCCAGCTGAGCCCCAGGCACATGAGAAAGCTCAGCCATGATCAGAAATGCCCCCTCGCTGATCTGCAGCTGACTGCAGATGCATGAGTGATCCCTGGACCTGGCCAGCCCAGGTCAGCAAAACCAC